>NC_000002.12:11850535-12157291 GCF_000001405.40 Homo sapiens
CATTTCTTAAAATTGCTTCGGGGCAATCCCAGAATCAATTTTGGGTAGCTCTTTGGCTCCTAGAGGCTGTCGGCCGTGGGGTGGGGGGCATATTTTATAAGACCCCAGGCTGCGTGCTGTGGCTCACGCCTGTAATCCCAACATTTTGTGAGGCTGAGGCGGGTGCATCACCTGAGGTCAGGAGTTTGAGACCAGCCTGGCCAACACGGTGAAACCCCATCTCTACTAAAAATTCAAAAATTATGCAGGTGTGGTGGTGTGCTCCTGTAATCCCAGCTACTCGGGAGGCTGAGGCAGGAGAATTGCTTGAACCTGGGAGGTGAAGTCTGCAGTGACCCGAGATAGGGCCACTTCACTCCAGCCTGGGCAACAAAGTGAGACTCTGTCTCAAAACAAAACAAAACAAAACAAAACAAAACAAAACAAAACAAACAAAACCTCCTGGACTTCTGCTCTTCAAGCTTCCGACTAATGTGAGTGAGGCAAAGGAAGTTACCCTTGGGCTGGGAGAGTGCCAGGTGGCATGCTAGATGACATTGCATCTATGATAGTGCATTCCATGCATGATGGGATTGCTTGGAGAAGCAGTTTCTAATTTCCAGAGGAAAAATTTAGGGCCCCCAAAATAGGTATCCTGACCAAAGTCACACAAGGAGTAAGTGATAGAGTCAAAATACTAAATTTAGTTTCATTTACTGAATCCTTACCATGTGGCTCAATAATATAGCCACTGTGTGACGGGTTTCTATTTCTAATTCTTCTATTTGTCTAGTTATTCTAATGATTCTAACACATCTGTCTAATCGAATCCTCACACTAATGCCTTACAAGGTATCTTTGTCACCTTTTTACAGATGAGGAAACTGAGGCTCAAGGGGGTAAATTAACTTACCTGCTGTCACCCGTGGCTAGTAAATGGCTAGGCTTGGATTGTACCCCATTGATGTTGGGTGAATGGATGACATCAAAGCCTGTTCTCCACCACATTCCTCCAGGCAGAAAGTTTCAGGGTGGCCTGGAGGAAGCCTGCACCTTGTCAGGGGTTGTGGCGTCTGGATTTTCACCATCCGCAATCTTTAGGATTTAATTGCCCTCAGCCCCCAACTCCAAGTGATGAGTTTACTCTGAGCAGGGCTCTTCCTGGACAGTTGAGCCCCTGGGGAAATCACATGACATTTCTATGAGACCATTAGTGAGGCTTTGACATGATTACAAATCCACACCGTGAGACTACAGTTCATCATACAGACTCTACCTGAGATAGAGGTGCCTTAAGGAGCATGGAAACCACTGTGACTTGGGCAAGAGCTGGGGCATCTAACCGGGCGGTGGGAGGGTTCCGGAAAGAGTGATAGAGGCTGACAAAGAGAACCTTCACTCCACTGGCTCATGAGGGAATATGATCGTCATCTTGCAGATGAAGAAATGGGCCCAGAGATGGTGGGTGAGTGGTTTAGTTACATTGAAGTCATTTTTTCAGGTAGTCACCGACTCCAGCTTCTCTGTGCCAAAAACTTACATGCTCATACACGGGAAGCCAGAGATCAAATTCCATCTCTGCCCCCAAGAAACCCATAGCCTAGTGGCAGAGAGACAAATCATAAGAAGGCATGATACAACAGATCAGGAACTGTATTTTTGGCCGAGTACCCTAATGTTCACAGATATGAGAAGAATGGTGGAGAAAACACCCTTCCTTTTTCCAGAATAACTACAATGAATTGGCAGTCTGTAGATTTTAAAGAATGTTCACATGTCAGCCATGCGCATTGAATTCAAGTTTAGTGGGTGCGGTGGCTCACGCCTGTAATCCCAGCACTTTGGGAGGCCGAGGAGGGCGGATCACTTGATGTTAGGAGTTTGAAACCAGCCTGGCCAACATGATGAAACCCTGTCTATACTAAAAATACAAAAAAATTAGCTGGGCATGGTGGGAGGCTGAGGCAGGAGAATTGCTTGAACCCTGGAGGTGGAAGTTTCAGTGAGCTGAGATCACATCACTGCACTCCAGCCTGGGCAACAGGGTGAGACTCCATTTCAAAAACAAACAAACAAAAAATGAATTCAAGCTTAGTGGATAGATGAATACTGCTCTGTGAAGGTACATTTTGTGGATGTGTCTGAGATTGCATAAGCTGTGAGTGGCGGAGCTGGACTTGAACCCAGGTATCTCTCCTGGTTTCCAACATCAAGTTAGGTGAGCGGCGGCAGAGCTGGAATAGTGAAAGTCCTTATTTCCTCAGAATAACAAAGGATAGATGGACGGACATAAAGTAGGGAAGGCTGGAGTGATATCATCCCAAAATGAATCTCCTGAGAGGTTTGTGAGCTGCAGATCAGAACTGAAAGTGGCAGAGAGGCTGAAAAACATCTTCTCAACTGGAACAGTATGTGGCTTTCAAGTTGTATTTAGGGGGAGAGGAAGGAGAACCGCTATTTCAGGGAAGGGAACTGCAGAGACCCAGGCAGGGCCAACTCACAGCAGAGTGTTAGGCAGGCCAGGGAGGGGGAAGGGGAAGAAGGAAGGAACAATGATAGAACCCTGATTGTGTGCCGAATACTTTCCACACGCGATTTCATGTCATTGTCACATAAAACTATGACAAGGGATTCTGCTGTTACTTTTGGGTGAAGGGAAGTGGCTTGCTCCTGCCTGTGTTGTTGAGAAGCAGCAGAGGTAGGTTTGGAACTCTCATCTGCCGGACTCCAAATCCTGTTCTCTTCCCCCTTCCCCACACCATCTTCCCACCCTATTCTTCATGCTTCTGACTGTGGCAGCCTTTTGGCTGTCCCCGGCGGTAACGTTTCCATGCAATGACACAGAGCCAGTAATACATGTCAGCTTTAGTCAGCTCTGAAGAAGAAGGGGTCAGTTTTAGAGAGGTGGGAAAAATAACGGGAACAATCCTGGTTGGGGGCCAAGTCTACACCAAAGCCTAAAACTGTGGCAGGCAGGTGCCTTGGGTTGTGGGGGCCTGGAGTGCTGCCCACACAAGTGGACCATGGGTCATGAGGCCAGAATGGCAATTGGGGTCAAATATGATGGCCTGGAACCCCCATAGGTGATAAGGTTTATTGGAGGATTTTAGTGAAAAGAGCATAAAGAAACAATGATGAAAACACTTGCGCTGTTTGTGAGGTGGCAAGGGGGACACTCACAGACATGGAGGTCTTTATCTCACCATCTTACCTAGATGCTGAGAGGAAAATGCTTTCCAGGGACAGGGTTGGCGCTGCGTTTCTGGGCATCTCAAGTAGCTGCAATCAGGACAGAAGCCCTTCTTGGTCGCCTGCCCTGAATGGCCTGAATGTTCAGGGCTGAAGCCTTTGGAAGACTACCTGTGCATTCGCCTTGATGATGCAGGGTGAGGGCTTAGACCCACTGCTTCCAGAATGCCTGTGCATTCACCCCGATGATGCAGGGTGAGGGCTTAGACCCACTGCTCCAACCCTGTCCCTGGAAAGCATTTTCCTCTCAGCATCTAGGTAGGATGGTGAGATAAAGACTACCTGTGCATTCGCCCCAAATGATACAGGGTGAGTGCTTAGACCCAGTGCTCCCAGAATGCCTGTGCATTCACCCCGATGATGCAGGGTGAGGGCTTAGACCCACTGCTCCAACCCTGTCCCTGGAAAGCATTTTCCTCTCAGCATCTAGGTAGGATGGTGAGATAAAGACTACCTGTGCATTCGCCCCAAATGATACAGGGTGAGTGCTTAGACCCAGTGCTCCCAGAATGCCTGTGCATTTGCCCCGATGATGCAGGGTGAGTGCTTAGACTCACTGCTCCCAGACTACCTGTGAATTCACCCCGATGATGCAGGGTGAGGGCTTAGACTCAGTGCTCCCAGACTACCTGTGAATTCACCCCGATGATGCAGGGTGAGTGCTTAGACTCAGTGCTCCCAGAATGCCTGTGCATTTGCCCCGATGATGCAGGGTGAGTGCTTAGACTCACTGCTCCCAGACTACCTGTGAATTCACCCCGATGATGCAGGGTGAGTGCTTAGACCCAGTGCTCCCAGAATGCCTGTGCATTTGCCCCGATGATGCAGGGTGAGTGCTTAGACTCACTGCTCCCAGACTACCTGTGAATTCACCCCGATGATGCAGGGTGAGGGCTTAGACTCAGTGCTCCCAGACTACCTGTACATTTGCCCCGATGATGCAGGGTGAGTGCTTAGACTCAGTGCTCCCAGAATGCCTGTGCATTTGCCCCGATGATGCAGGGTGAGTGCTTAGACTCACTGCTCCCAGAATGCCTGTGCATTTGCCCCGATGATGCAGGGTGAGTGCTTAGACTCACTGCTCCCAGAATGCCTGTGCATTTGCCCCGATGATGCAGGGTGAGTGCTTAGACTCACTGCTCCCAGACTACCTGTGCATTCGCCCGGATGATGCAGGGTGAGTGCTTAGACCCACTGCTCCCAGACTATGTGTGCATTCGCCCCGATGATGCAGGGTGAGTGCTTAGACTCAGTGCTCCCAGACTACCTGTGCATTTGCCGCGATGAAGCAGGGTGAGTGCTTAGACCCAGTGCTCCCAGACTGCCTGTGCATTTGCATAGATGATGCAGGGTGAGCGCTTAGACCCAGTGCTCCCAGACTGCCTGTGCATTTGCACAGATGATGCAGGGTGAGCACTTAGACCCACTGCTCCTATTCCTTTTGCCTTGCTAGGCCTCTGCTGAGCTGTAGCTCATTCATCCATCACCCTGCACCATGGCGACAGGAGACCAAGTCTGTCATCTTGGCATTTCCCTTGTAGTTGGAAGGACAGGCAGTACAACGTCAGCAAGAGAAGGCTCTGAAAAAAGCCAGCAGTGGAGGAGAGGCAGCTACTGCAGGGCCCTGGCTGGGGAGGTGGGTGCTTTAGATAGGTGGTTAAGGGTGGCCTGTGTCTAAGCTAAGTAGTGAGCGTGAGCACAATTCATCCATTGGGTGAGCTGAGAAATGGGCTTCCCAGGCAGGGGAAGAGCAAGCACAGAGCCCTGGGAGCTAGAAAGGGCCGACTGTGTCCCCGGCGGGGAAGGATGGGCCAGCGTGACAGCTGCGGAGGAGAGGGGGTGTGACCCATGGCAAAGAAGAAGAAGGCAGGTGGCAGCTTCCTCAGAGTCTGCTCAGCCATGGTGATAAGCTCGAGTGGATTTTATTTTAAGAGTGTGGGGAAGTAACTGAGGTGTTTTAAGGAGGGGGGATGTGGGAAGAATAAACAGCAGAGGGACAATTAAGAAATATTTTGAGGCCAGGCAAGGTGGCTCACGCCTGTAATCCCAGCACTTTAAGAGGCCGAGGCGGGAGGATTGCTTGAGGCCAGGAGTTCGAAACCAGCCTGGGTGAGGTAGAGAGACCTTGTCTCTACACAAACAAATTAAAAAAAAAATTAGCCAGACGTGGTGGTGCATGCTACTCAGGAGGCTGAGGTGAGAGGATCGCTTGAGCCCAGGAGGTTGAGGCTGCCATGAGCTGTGATCATGCCACCACTGCACTCCAGCCTGGGCAACAGAGCAAGAACCCATCTCAAAAAGAAATGCTGTAGAGGTAGAACCATGGGGATTTTTTAATTGTTTCAATATGAGGCTTAAAGGAAAGGGAGAAATCAGGGATGCCTCCTGCATTCTTGGGTTGAACTAGCGAAATAGCGGTGGCAGGACAACTAAGACAAGAGCCCATTGAAGTTCGCTGTAAACATGTTAAATCTGCAATACCTGCTAGGCAGTTGGGGAGATGAGGCCATTAGACTTGAAATCCAGGAAGTCGTTAGAATCTTGATAAGAACAGTTTCAGCAGAATGCAAGTGAGGAAGTAGAAGCAGTGAATGTGGATGACATTTTGAGGAATTCTGCCATGAAGAAGAATACACGGAAGGGGAGGAGGTGAAGGGGATTTTTTTAAAAGCAATTTAAAAGTTTACTGGAATGTCTCATACATATCAAAGAGGATCCAGTGTGAAACCCATGGTAAGATTTCTTAACATTTTTTCCATTGTCATGTATTTCCACTTTTTATTTGGAAAGGTTGAAAGTTATAGAAAAGTTGAAAGAATCATACAGTTAAGGCCCATGGACTCTTTATCCAGATTTTTTCTCTAGCTCTCTCTCTGAAGACAGGAGCAATGGGAACTTGTGTGTTGCTGGAGGTAATGACCCAGGAGAAAGGGAGAGCTTGAGGAAGGAGGGAAGAGAGGAGATTCGAGGGGAGCAGAGTGCTTGAGAAGGCAACAGGTGGCATTCTTCAGTATAAAGGAGGGCCCCACCTTGGATAGGAGCAGGACGCTGCCGTTGTAACAGGAGGGAAGACGTGGGAAGGTGAATGTGTTTCTGGTAGCGTCCCCCATGAGAATTGAGGGGTTAAGGGACTTATGTGGGGGAGAAGAAAAGAATTAAACAGCTGTGTTAGAGAGGGGAAATGATATTACAGGACTGCTGGGCAGGGTTGAGTGCCCATCTGAGATTTGTGGTAGTGGGATTAGAGTGAACCAATAAGTTTTGTTGTGTGGACTTTCTTCAGCAATATTCAGTGACCTGGATAGGCAGGGACAGGGTGATTGGTTGTATTTAACCAGGACTGGGGCTTATCCAGGGGACAGTTCGATGGAGGGACAGCAATGGGGTGGCTGTGGTGAGGGACCAGAGAAGCACACCTGGGTCCAAAGGGGCAGAAACACGGGGCAGGGGGGTGGGACCACCTCTGGGAACATAGGGAGCTCAGAGGTTTGGCCTCACTGAAGCATGACACCCCATTCCATGGGGAATACCAGGGCCAGGGATTTAGAGGAAGCAAGGATATGGTGGACAGTTAGGGGCCATTTGAAGTTGAGAGGTCAGAAGTGGTGCAGTCCTTGTCACGTATAGAGTCCAGGATGTACCCTTGGGCATGGATTACCAAGGTTGATGGGACAAAGGTGGTTCACAGTGAGCAGGACAGACACCAGCACAGAGGGCACTGAGTGGGTCATCCTTAGGGACTTCGATGTCATCATGTGTAGTGGCAGGAGCAGAGTTGGGCAGGAACACAGTGGGCCACAGTATTCAAGGAGCAGGGTGAATGATAGGTGGTCGGAAGGTGGCTGTGAGAGAATGGAGGTTGGGAGGAAGCGGGTTTGGGGCTTGAATCACTCTAGGGCATGTGCACCAGAAGGGGTGAGAATCAGGGCTGGCCTGGGAGGTTGGGACTTCTAGGACTGAAGTGTGATGTTATTATCCCTCCTGGCCTCTGCAAGGAACAGGGACAATCACTTTGGACTACTGCGCTGCATGTCTCGCTTCCAGGTACTTGTGAGCAGTAACTGCGGTGATGAGGTGCACGTGTGCTGGAGTCAGAATGTGCTGGCTTCTCTATCACTTTCTAGACGTGTGGACCTGGGCATGGCATTTTACCCCAGTGGCTGCATTTCCTCTTCTGTAAAGTGGCACTCATGACGTTGTTTCATTAAATGAGATGTCTTAGTCCATTTTGCATTGCTGTAAAGGAATACCTGAGGCTGGGTAATTTATAAAGAAAAGAGGTTTATTTGGCTCATGGCTCTGCAGGCCATACAGGGGGCACAGCACCAGCATCTGCTTCTGGGGAGGCCTCAAGAAGCTTAAGATTATGGCAGAAGGTGAAGGGGGAGCAGGCATGTCACATGGCAAACAAGGGAGCAAGAGAGCCAGGAGGGAGCCACGTACTTTTTAACGACCAGATCTCATATGAACTCAGAGCGAGAACTCACTCATCACCAAGGGGATGGCCCAAGCCGTGCATGAGGGAATCCACCCCCATGATCCAATCACTTCCCATAGGCCCCACCTCCAACACTGAGAATTCCACCTCAACATGAGATTTGGAGGGGACGAACATTCAAACCATGTCATGAGGTAAGATGGAAAGCACTTTGCTCTCTGCCTCGAGCATATATGGGATCACTAGATATTAAATATTATGATTATTATACGAATAATATTTTTGGAACATTAAGTCACTCTGTTTTCATCCTTGGTAATCCTTTGATCCAAGCCATCCTGTTGTTCCTATGATGAAGCCCTCCATGGCTACCTCAGGCCTGGGGTCTCCACAGTGTAGATAGACTGTGCCTGCCTCAGTAAAGCAGAGGCTTGGAGCCTGGGGAGGCAGGAGAATATGCTTTAGAGCAGCGCTCCCCAATATTTTTGGTACCAGGCACTGGTTTCGTGGAAGACAATTTTTCCATGGACCAGGGGTTGAGGGTATGGTTTCAGGATGAAACTGTTCCACCTCAGATCATCAGGGATTAGATTTTCATAAGGAGTATGCAACCTAGATCCTTTGCATGCACAGTTCACACTAGAGTTTGTGCTCCTATGAGAATCTAATGCTGCTGCTGATCTGACAAGAGGTGGAGTTCAGGCAGTAATGCTCCCTTGCCTGCTACTCACCTCCTGCTGTGCGGCCTGGTTCCTAACAGGCTGCAGACTGTTACCAGTCTGTGGCTCAGGGGCTGGGGACCTCTGCTTAGAGGAAGTTCCTTCCAGAGGGGATGAGGAAGCTGAAAGTCTGCCCCTTCATGTCCAGAAGCACATGAGAAAGAGAAGAGAGGGAAGTGGAGCAGGATGGTGGTTGGCCTATCTTTCCTGACCATGCCCTTTGGGCCAAGGCTGTGGAGTGGGAGGTGCATTGTTTGTGTTGAGATAAAAGATGATACAGAGAAGCTTTGCTGTGCTCCTGGTGGGAACCCTGGAGAAGTCTATAGTCGAGGGTGACCATGCACCAACAAGGGGGGAGAGTGCAGCAGCCACTGAGGGAGGGGCTGTAGGATAAGGTGGAGTTCATGGTCCCGGGTGCACCAATTCACACACTTCACTGGAACACACCTCGCTGCAGAGAAAGCGTGTGACCCAGAGCAGGCACTTATTTCTTGGCGAGCTAGTTGTTATGTACGGGCTGAACTGTGTCCCTGCAAAATCCACGGGTAGAAGCCTTAACCCTCAGCCTCACAGAATGTGAGTGCATTTGGGGATAAGGCCTTAAAAAAAGGTGATTAAACTAAAAGAAGGACTTTAGGGTGGGTCTTAATCCCATCTGACCCATGACTTGGAAGAGGAAGAAATTGGGACACACAGGGCGACCAGGATGTGAGCAAGAGGGGTGGCCACGTGGGGACATGGAGAAGGTGGCTGTCTGAGCCATTGGCACACCAAGGAGAGAGGCTGTATTAGTCTGTTTTTATGCTGCTGATAAAGATATACCCAAGACTGGGAAGAAATTGGTTTAGGCTGGGTGTGGTGGATCCCAGTAATTGTGCCTGTAATCCCAGCACTTTGGGAGGCCAAGGAAGGTGGATCACTTGAGGTCAGCAGTTCAAGACCAGCCTGGAGGACATGGTGAAACACCATCTCTGCTAAAAATACAACAACAGCAAAAAAATTAGCCATGCATGGTGGTGCATGCCTATAATCCCAGCTACTCAACAGGCTGATGCAGGAGAATCTCTTGAACCTGGGAGGTGGAAGCTGCAGTGAGCCAAGATCACACCACTGCACTCCAGCCTGGGCGACAGAGACTCCATCTCAAAAAAAAAAAAAAAAGTGTTTAATGAACTTACAGTTCCACTTGGCTGGGGTGGCTTCAGAATCATGGCGGAAGGCAAGGAGGAGCAAGTCACATCTTACATGGATGGCAGCAGGCAGAGAGAGCTTGTGCAGCAAAACTCCCATTTTTAAACCTATCAGATCTCATGAGACTTATTCACTATCATGAGAACAGCATGGGAAAGACCTGCCCCTATGGAACTGGGTTCCTTCCATGACACGTGAGAATTGTGGGAGTTACAATTCAAGATGAGATCTGGGTGGGGACACAGCCCAACCATATCAGAGGCCTTGGAAGGAACCAACCCTGCCAACACCTTGATGTTGGATGTGAACTGTGAGGACGTAAATAAATCTCTGTTGTTTTAGGCCACCTAGCTTGTGATATTTGTTACAGGAGCCCTAGCAAACTAGCACACTAGGCTAGACAATGCTGCCGGGGACTGACATCTGCTCATGTGCACTTATGCCTTTGACTGTGGGCTGAAATGAGCCAGTGCCCCAGGTCTGCTGGCCAACATTGGTTCACAAGCCACCTCCTCCAGGAAGCCTTCCTTTATCCATCCAGGAAGAATATGGGGTCTCTTTCTCTGACTCTTGAACCCTTGTGCAGATTTCCATGAGGGCATCTTGCATCTGCCACTGCTTTTATAAATGGCTCTGACTCAGGTACTATTCAGCAGCTCCTCAAAGGGGACCAGAAGCATGTCTCTCCCATGGGTGTACTCTCTGAGTGCTGCACAGAGCCACCTGCACTTCTTGGCCCTTTTGCCTGCTGTACTACAGCTTCCCCATGGGGCTTATTGTCTTCCTGAGTTGCTTAGGATTTACTTCCTGGTTTTACCTGTCTTCTCCCACTGGCATGTGAGCCATGTGTGGCTGAGACATTTGGTCCATTTTGTCCCTGCTGCAGCTCCAGTGCCTAGGACAGGGCCTGGGACCTGGTAGTCACTCTATGCATTTTTGTTAATGAATAAATAAATGGGAAATAAAGGTGCAAATATCTCTGCTGCTGATGGGGATTCTGCTCTCCCAGAGGGAAGGTCTTGCTGTTTGGATGTGCCAGTTATTCTCTCTATAAGATCCACACTCAGCATTTTTCCTTGCCTCTATGTTCCCCAAATAAGGTGATTTTTGGCTTTTGCAATGAGTGTTTCTGAACGCTTCATGGTAATACTGTTCTGGAAGGCTGAGCAAGGGTTTGCTAGCCTGAAACTTAGTTTCACAGCCAGCAAGATACGATCTTCTGGCTTTTCTGCCTTTGCCAAGCTCTACTTAAATCTGGTGGCATGTCTAGTTGCAAGCTTAGTTAGTATTATGTTCCCCAGTTAAGGAGTGGGCTGTGTTGGTTCTCCCATGCTGTGCCAAGGATGGGATGGGCAGAGCCCCGCTGGAGGCAGGCCTTGCATCAACTCTCCACCGGTCCACACCTGGCCCACAGTGGGCTTGCAGCACACGTGCCTGTTGAATGAATAACAATGGGTTCCAGTTCTGCTGTCCTTTCTGCTGTTTCTCTCTCAGTAGATAGAAGTTTCTCTCAAACCCTTTTCAGAGTTGATATCATTCCCACATGGGATGAGGAGTCGAGAAGGGGTAATTTAGAGAAAAATAACCCAAGGAAGTGAGTAGTCTCTCCTACCTGGTCTCTAGCCCCCTCAGTGTGCAGGGAGAGGCTGTGGAGTGGGCAGGGCACTGGCCTCGATGCCCTCGGAGTGAGCCCTGCTGCCCCACAGACAAGCTGAGTACCCTTGGGCACATTACTTCACCTCTCTGAGCTTCTTTCCTAATCTGTCAGGAAAGGATAACATCTACCCTGAAGCCGAGCTGTGCAGCTACAGTGGCAGAGGCATAGTAGATGCTCAGTAAATGTTGGTGTCCTTCTTCTTCCTGGAGGGATCATTCCAATCCAGAACTTAGGGGCTCGGGACAAGGCTGAAAATCTTGGATGAGTGGATTGACTACTGGTTTTTGGCTATTTTCATGCTCTCATCTAAAAATCATTCATTTAATCAATAGTCACGGTGCATGTCTCTCAGGCAGTCTGGAAGTCATCTTTTCTAGGTAAATACCAAGACAGGTCAGAGCCTGAGAACAAGAAATGAGTGTTCAATGCTGGCCTAAAAGTGTCTGGGGAGATTTGCTGGATGTTGAAACTTTCAGCTCTCAAAGCTTCTGACATGCTGCTGTTTTTTGAAGGTAATTTTTCTCGATGACTAGTTGTGCATTTCCCTCCATTAGTTAGGGGCCTCCCTTTTCCCTCCCACATTGAGAAGGGCAGTCAGTCACATCTGTGGAAAGGTGCCAGGTCAGGCCAAGGGGCTGAGAGCTGCCTGGGTCCAAAGCTAGAATTGCAGCGGCTGGTGATGGCCAGGTTCCCTTTCCAGCTGGCTCAATTCCTTTTCTTTTTCTTAGAGGATTTTAAGAAACTGTGTTCATTTGTTCATTTATTCATTCAATGAACTCTTACTACTTACATCAACAGCATGCACACATGAAGACAATGCTTTAAGTGTTATTGTCAACTCCAAACATATTCCCCGGGTAGTCAGAGAAGGGAACACTAAATGGTGATGGGGTAGGGAAAGGTTTCAAAGAGTGGGGTGATGTTGGATATAGGCCTTGACGGTTGAACGGGAGTTTGCCCGAGGGCGATGTTCATCCCAGTCAGAGAGAATGGAGGAATAATGGATAATGGAGGAATTAATTGCAAGGATTCAAAGATGTTACCTATCTCAGCGTTTAGAGATGTTGATGTTTACTGTGTAACAGTTGATGACTGGTGAAGTTTTTGCCTGTGTGTAGGAGTGTTGGTGTGTAGGTATGTTTCTGTGTTTGGGGGAAGGATGTGTGTGTGTGTGTGTGTGTGTGTGTGTGTGTCGGGGGGTGGGATTAGGACGGGATGGATGGACATGTTGGTAGAATTCAGCATGAAAAGGCTTGATGTACCTGAATATCACTAGACCTTTGAGAAGATAAGGGTCCTCCACTGAGACATGAAACAACTGGGTGGCTGGCGAAAAGCTGTCACAATAGCAAAGGGTTCTTCAGAACTTCAGTGGTAGCCTGTCACCTGTCACCTTGCACCGGTTTGAGACTCTTTGAAATCTGGTGCCTGCCTATGCAGCTCCATCGTCTTTCTTCCTTCTGTGGCCCCTCCAGGACAGCTAAATGCTAGGTTGAGGTCAACAAGGAGTAAAACCTACCCTAGGCTTTGAAGTAGTTTGTAATCTTGTCAGATGAAACAGGAGGCGGGGAGGATGTCATGCACTGGGCGTTTCCGGAGAGCCATCTGCAATCGCAGCCACCACTCTCGGTTTGCATTGACTTTTTCCTATTTTGTTGGGTTCAGACAGGCATAGTACAAAAACACAAGTTACTTCTCAAGCCATATTCAGCCATTCACTCAGCCAGCATTTATGTTCCAGGAACTATTCCAGCCTCTGTGAATGAGTTCAGAACAAGGAATGGTTATTCAATGGCAACAAATTCGTCCATTCTTACCCTTGGTGAAATTAATCACCTCCCTGAACCTCAGTTTCCCATCTGTAAGATGGGCATAGCAACTCTTTCCTAACCAGAAGGTACCTGTGGAAGCCTCTGGCTCAGCAGGTGAGAAGTGTGTTTGTGTTCCTCTCCCCGACGCCCTCCCTCAGTACTTGCTTCCCAAGACATTGCTTTCCTTTGTTGGGTCAGAGGTGGGGTGTCGTTCCCCTTGCCACCAGCAGATGGTGCCCAACAATCCCCTGCAGGGAACCGAGGCTGCCCGCCTCCCCCAGTCTCCCCACCATCCAGCTCCCTTCCGCCCCTTCTCTGGGACACGTCAGTCATTCCAGGTCCCAGGCAGAAAGTTACACAAAACACTTTGTGTCTGTCAGCAGATTCCTGGAAGGTCACGCTGAATGATGAATGCTCCTGGGTAGGATTGGAGGGCTCTTTTTTCTTTCTTTTTTTTTTTTTTTTCCTTTTCTTTCTTTCTTTTTTTTTGTCTCCCATGAATTGCATCACTGGGCAGCCTCTTGGCTGTATTCAGCCGACTCCTGCGGTTTTTAGACCTTTCCCAATTGTTCGGTGTCTGCTTCCTCTCCAGGACCCTTCTGGCCAAGGCAGGATATTCAGGGTTGGCTGTGGCCAGGGAGCTGGCCATTGTCTAGCACATTCCATACACACACCCTGCCCAGCCCATCCTCCACTCCCAGAGCCTGGACAGACTGTGGTCCTTGGGACAGAGACCTGGTGCATTGCTGTGACCCCAGGTGACAATCTCGCTGCCCTGATTTCCAAATAAGGGGAGCCTGGCCTGGCAGAGAAATGAGCCTAATTTCCAAAGTTGAATTTCCGCCAGGATCAGAGCCTTTATATATCCTGGTCTTCGGTGTCCCCCTTCTTCCTGACCACATATAGACTGCTTATGATATTTTTTAACTTTGCCAGCTCTTTACCCAAATTGAGTAGCCATTTTGCTTTTGTAGATATCCTGAGTTGGCTCCAATTTAACATCCTGACCCATCATCCTGGTGTTAGGTATTAGGACCATGGTCCTGATATTTTGCTTGAGGAAAATGAGCCATACCACTCAGAGGTGTGGCATATGTGGCATGTGAAAGCACCTTTCTCCTCCATCAGTGGCCTTACTGATGCAGGGCAGTGGGAGTGAGTGTATGTACACAGAGCAATACAAATGAACCCTGCTCTCAAAGTCTGCGCAAAGGGGAGTGAGAAGACAGAGCAGGTGTAGTCCCTGGAGTGAGCCCTGCTGCAGAATAGATGGAAGGGGTGGGTCCAGGAACCCCGAAATGGAAGCAGCAGTGGCTCTGCTCCCCATCACCCCGAGCAATCACGTGGGGATTTGTGTCTGTCTCTGCAATTTTAGGCTCTGAGGATCTAAAGCTCTTGGTGCCCGGAGGGGAAATAATTATTAATACCATCAGGGAATACAGTAAAGAGCCCACTAAACGTAAAGCTGCAGTTGCTGCCCGGTCATTTTGGGTTCATGTGCCAATAGATCACTGGGCAAGGAAAGGAGTTACTACCTCGGTAGGAGTAATGAACCCAGCCAGGTATGGTAGCTCATGCCTGCAATCCTAGCACTTTGGGAGGCCGAGGCAGGTGGATCACCTGAGGTCAGGAGTTTGAGACCAGCCTGGCCAACATAGTGAAACCTCGTCTCTACTAAAAAGTTAGCTGGGCGTGGTGGTGGGTACCTGTATTCCCAGCTACTCGGGAGGCTGAGGCAGGAGAATTGCTTGAACCTGGGAGATGGAGGTTGCAGTGAGCCAAGATTGCGCCATTGCATTCCAGCCTGGGTGACAGAGTAAGACTCTGTCTCAAAAAGAAAGAAAGAAACAAACAAAAAAGAGTAATGAACCGTGCTCATCACGAGGAAACAGTGAGCTGCTGCTTTCATAATGCTTCACAGTGGGGGCAGGAGGAAATGTGTTGGGCATCAGGTGATCCCTTGGGCACCCCCGGCACTCCCACACTCAATTCTAAGAGGAAATGGAAAGGTTCCGCAGCTATGGCCTAATAAGAACAAGAAACCCGGGGGCTAGACCCTCCCTGCACCCCGCTGCCCCAGGTGAAGATCTGGGTACCATCTCCCTCAGGAAAATCCACATAGCTCAGCAGACCTCCCAGCTGCTGGGGAGGGAAATGTTGTATCGCTGGTGGAAAAGGGAAATGGTGAGTTTCGGAGACAAACTTGGGACCCACTCAGCAGTGGAGGCGGCAGTTCATCCTAACATCCTTGCTCTTTTATGTTTCTCCAGAAATTGTGATCAACCAGAATCCAGAACACGCTGTGCTTAATGGAGTGAACTGCCTGTGAAGCGCAGGTGTGAGGGGCGGATGATAAGTGACAGTGCCGGTGCCCCCAGCGCCCTTTTACCTGATGGCTCACCCGGCCTACAGCTGCGCCCTTCCCTTTGAATCGTCTTGGGTAACGGGTGCTGCTTTGGAAATGCCTGGAAGGTCATGTCCTTTGTCTGGGGATGGCTTCCAGCTGTGGTTGACTGATAGCAGGGGGCACAGAAGGCCAGACACAACTTGCCTCAGGTGGGCCGACTCTGAGGGTTTGTTCGGCCTCCACGTGGACTTCAGCTGAGCCTGCATCTTTGCTTGGCTTTTCCCACTGGCCTATTCTGCTTCCCTCTCCTTAAGGGTTCTCCCAGGAGAACTCCCTTAATAAATCACTTGCACAAGGATCCCTGTCTTAGCCTTTGCTTCTAGAAAACCTGACCTAAGATAAATAGGTCGTGGGAACACGAGAGAAAGAGATACTTATTTTATCTGAGGGGTCAGAAGAGTCTTCCCAGGGCAAGTCTTGAAGCTCTGTGTAGGAGTCTGACTGTGCAAAAGGGTGTCCCAAGCAGAGGCGATGGCATAAGTAAGGTACAATCGTCGTGCCTCCTGCCTGAGAATAGCCAGCTGTTTCGTTTGGCTGGAGTGCTGAGCAAATAGGGTGGAGTGGGCTGTGAGTGGCAGGAGAAGCAGATGGGCATGACTATGTGAACATCCAGAGGAGGAGACTGGGCTTTAAGCTTAGATCTCAAATACTTCTGCATTCAATTCTTCTCTGGCTCTGTGGCAATTGACTCAGACCCCAGAGACCACCACTAAGGAAATAAGTTCCTATTAAGTTGGAATAGGAAAAACACCCTATGTCATATTCCAAGTCAATGGCAGAAGTAGGATATGTCTTAGTCCATTTGGGCTGCTGTAACAAAGTACCATAGACAGGGTGGTTTCAACAAAAGTGCACTTCTCACAGTTCTAGAGGATGAAAGTCTGAGATCAAAGCGCCAGCACAGTTGGGTTCTGATGAGGGCCCTCTTCTGGGTTGTGGACTGCTGACTTCTCATTGTTACTCACGTGGAGAAAAGAGAGTGAATTAGTTCTCTGGCCACTTATAATGGCATGATATGCTTTGGCTGTGTCTCCACCCAAATCTTATCTTGAATTGTAGCTTTCGTAATTCCCACGTGTTGTGGGAGGGACCTGGTGGGAGATACCTGAATCGAATCGTTGGGGGAGTTTCCCCAATACTGTTCTTGTAGTGAATGAGTCTTATGAGATCTGATGGTTTTATAATGGGTTTCCCCTTTCACTTAGCTCTCATTCTCTCTTAACTGCTGCCATGTAAGACACGCTTTTCACCTTCTGCTATGATTGTGAGGCCTCCCAAGCCACGTGGAGCTGTGAGTACATTAAACCTCTTTTTCTTTATAAATTACCCTGTCTGGGGTATGACTTTACCAGCAGCATGAAAATGGGCTAATACCGTGCACTAATCCCTTTCATGAAGTTTCCACCCTCATGACCTAATTACATCCCAAAGGCTCCACTTCTAAATACTATCACATTGGGGATTATATTTTAACATATCAATTTTGAATTAATACAACACTTAGTCCATAACAGGACATAAAACTCAAGCCCCCAAATTCTAGCCCAGGGATTTATCCTTTATTCATTGTTCATAATAAAATTCTAAAAATACTAATATCATATTTTTAACCTACTCCTAAGCTGTGGAGATGGAGATATTTTGATTCCTCTCTTCTTAAGATTTTTAAATGCTTCTTTCTTCCCAATAATTACTGACAAGAGTAATTCAGATTCATGTCATATTTATTTAGCCTTACTGTGTGTCAGCTGCCTTCATGTACATTAACTCATTTGATTCTTCCAACTTCCCAGTGAAGCAAGCAGTCTTATTCCCACATTATAGATAACAGAATGGAGTCACAGGTTAAATAATGTACCCAAAGGAGAAACCCAGGATTTTTCCACTTTACTACTAGAGTACATTTTTCCTTATATAATTTAGTTCTTGTTGCATAACAAACTGCCCCCAAAATGTTGTGAATTAAAACAACAACAATGTATTTATTTTATAATTTGTGTGTTGCCAGTTTGGGGTTGGGGTCAGCTGGGTGGTTTTCTGCTCATCTAGCTGTGATCATTCTTGTGTCTGTGTTCAGCTGCTGGTTGGCTAGGCAGCTCTGTTAGTCAGCTTAGGGCTGGGGCAGTGAGGGAACTCGGCCATATATCTGTCATCGTCCAGCAGATCAGCCCAGGCTCTTTCACACAGGGGTTGGTAGGAGGATTCCAAAAGCAGCAAGTTAAGACAAGCTCCCACAGGTAAGTGCCATCAAACCTTTGTTTGCATTACAACTGCTCACAATCCACTGGCCAAAACAAGTCAAGAGGCCAAGCTCAGTGTGGTGTGCCACTGCCCAAGTGCCCAAGGGCATGGATATGGGGAAGTAAATAATATGTGGCAAAATTTTCAGTCTACCACATTGTTTTCAAAAAGTGTTTTCTTAATTGTAAAAGTATGTTTGTGTGTATTCATGTATATAAATGTTAGTTTTGAAAATTTGGAAAATACAGAAAAATATAAAGAAGGAAAACAAATTACCCGTAACACACCAGAGACAATCACTGTTAGTGGCTTATTTCCTTATCTGTTTTATGAGCATTTTAGTGAGTGTATGACTGTGTGTATATATGTTTCAGTAATATTTTCTTTTAAAACAGTGGTATTAGAGTCTGTCTTTTTGATTGACTATATTTTGAACATTTCCACATGTCATTCAAATAATTCTTGAAAATATGGTACTTTTTAATACTCTATCATTTCTCCCCACCATATTTTATTTAACCCTACCCTGCCTTTTTACTTATATTTTTGCCATTTAGGTTGGTTTCATTTTTCTTTCTTTCTCTTTCTTTCTTTTTCTTTCTTTCTTTCGATTATAACAAATAACATTATAGTGAATATTCCGGAATAAAAATTTTTCTCCACATTTCTGATGATTTTCCTAGGACAGATTCCCAGAAGTCAATTACAGGATCAAAGGAGATAACATTAGTAGGGCTTTTGATATGTATTGCTAAATTGCTTTCCTGGAATTTACTCTCCCACAGCACCGAGGGAAAGGGCCTACATTATGGTACTCTCAAGGGCACTAAGTATTATCTTAAAAAAATAAAGATCAATTAGGTAAAAAGCAGTACCTTTATTTAATTTGTGTTTCTGGTTGCCAGTAAGGATAAACATTTTAGAAATACTTCTTGACCGTTTATCCTTCTGCAAATGTTCTCTTCCTCAGACAAAGGACATATATTTTAAGTTGATTTGTATGATGACCCTGTGTTGAAGTCATTGACATGTTATCCTATACATTAGAAATGTTTTCCCCTTTAGGTTGTCATTGGCCTTATAATTTTGTTTGGGGATTTTTTTCGACACATAGGAATTTAGCATTTTCTATTGTCAAATGTATTTTTTAATTTTTTGTTTTGTAACATTCATTACTTTTATGCTTACAATTTCATTCTTGACCCATCTCTTAAATAATGTAAAACATAATGGCTCTGCCACTGAGAACAAGGTTTGGAAAGGCTGTCTTTGAAACCAGAGTTGACAGGTGGAGCTGATTCTCTATTGTGATGTTTTCTCCCAGCTGGGCCTGGGTAAATGCCTTCAGGATCCTGTTTACTGGGCACGAGGCTGATCAGCATGGGCCTGTGGAGCCTTGGAGTTTAGCTCTAAGCGCATCAAGGAAACTGCGCCACTTTCGTACCCATGGCTTTTCTTCTTAGTGGACCTTTCCTCCTGTCATCCAGACCCTGAGGTGGGTGGAGACTCTTCTTTCTGTATTTTACAATCTGATTTGAGTCGTCACCAGGAACCCCAAAGGCCCATGACCCATAGTGGTCTGTGTCTTTCCAAGTTGTGAATTAGAATCCCAGTGGCTATGAGGCTGTCGGGTGACAAGGAGCTACTTTGTAGTGAGTGATCAAGGCTATCTTCGTGTGGCACCTGCTTTGTAGTGACTCCTGTAACACTACTTGCAAAGTAGTAAAACTTTATTTTTCGATGAAGCTTGCTCCTGAAAGAGAACCAAAATCTTGCACCAATGATGAAAACAACTGGTGCCTGAGGTTCGCTTTTGCGTTGATGGAGACCTGAGTTTGATTTCTTAGCTGAAGCTAAGAGGGAATATGATTACAGTGGAAAAGGCAAGGATTCAGAGCTGCTTGGAACTGGGTTCAAATTGCTTCTCTGCTACTTGCTGTGTGGCTTTTGACAAGTCATTGAATCTCCCTGAGTTTCTACTTCCTAATCATTAGGAGAGACCCCAGTCCTGCTGTCCCTTTCCTGGAAAACTGGTATGTCTGGAATGAGGCAACGCAGGCCAAGTTGTTGACACACACGAGGCTCTGAGTGAATGGCAGATAGCATTTTTATCTAGAAAAAGAAAAGCAACCTAAGTAAGAAAGTGATGGAATTAGGGATTGTGGCAATTTGTGAAAATTTCAGGAATAATGTTTTGGAATGTCAGGGATCTGTTACTGAGATTTTCCAGAAACATGAAGTGATGGGTTAGCAATGAGGGAAAAACACAAGCACCGCACACCTTGCAGAAGCATTGATTTTGATATTAAAACTCACAGTAACACACAATGGAGTAGGCTGCAGATCCACATGAACTATAGGGTAAAACAAGGCTTTGTGAAATTGCTCACCAGTGGAAGGTCTCTTTGGCACTTAAATTGCCGGGTGCTCTGAATTCTCCTTTTACTGTTAGGGCTGCTTTTGGGGAGATGTTTGAGAAGCTGTGGATAATGTGAGGTGCTTCCCCAAAGGGGAGAGGGAACCTGCTGGGCAGCCACACTGACATTGCTCAGAAGGGGATGGTTTCCTCCTGAGGTGGGATTTCCCCTCTCCAGCTCGGCTGTGGCACAGCGTCTCTACAAACTCCTGGTAGTTCTCATGGGTGCTGTTCTCAGAGTATTTCTTGTTCTTCCAGGCACTCGGTAAAATTGCAACTTCCTACTCCCTTGAAATTAGGTACATGTGACCTGTCATGGACTGTAGCGTGTGGACAGAAGCCTCAAAAACTAGTGTTTGATGGGCCATTTTGCTTTCTGTAATCTCAGCCATTGCAGAGACAAGGATTAGAGCCTCCCTCAGCCTGGGTCCCTGAAGAAGGAGGCTCTGTCGGTTATGATGACGTGTAGCACAAGTGAGCAATAAACCTTTCTTGTCTGAAGTCTTGGGCATTTGGGATTGTTTCTCATTATATCAGCAAAACCCACCTTATTCTGACTGATAGACTTGAGAGCAGTTACCAAAAAATCAATGGCTTTATTTTGTCCACCTGGCCTACACAGTAGTGATTCACAGCTGACACTCAGATCGGCTTTACATTTCTTTTTTTTTGAGATGGAATTTTGCTCTTGCTGACCGGACTGGAGTACAATGGCACAATCTTGGCTCACTGCAACCTCCGTCTCCCAGGTTTGAGTGATTCTCCTGCCTTAGCCTCCTAAGTAGCTGGGATTACAGGCACCTGCCGCCACCAGACCTGGCTAATTTTTGTATTTTTAGTAGAGACTTGGGGTAGGGGGGGATTTCACCATGTTGGCCAGGTTGGTCTCAAACTCCTGACCTCAGGTGATCCTCCTGCCTCGACCTCCAAAATTGCTGGGATTACAGGCATAAGCCACTGTGCCCGGCCTCAGATCTGTTTTACTTTAGAGACTTATGAGCATGTCATGTGCCTGGCCAAGAAGATCCAGGTATGAGGGTGGCTGGGCTGTAACACTCCCTCCATACCTGCTCCAGGATACCAGGCTCCAGCCCTGATGCAGCTGATCAGGCTGAAGAGGAGAAAGAAAGGCAAGGACAAGCGTTGGCCCAGGACCTGCCATGTGGCAAGGGATCTGCTCCATGCTTTCTCTACATTACTTCTAATGATCACAGCAATCTATGAGGTGATTATTGTTCTCACTCCTCTTTTATAGATGGGAAAATGGTTTCTTGGAGAAGTTAAGTAACTTATTTGGAGCCACATACCTGGCAAGGGTATGTGAGTAGAGATGCAAACTTAGGCTGAGAAAATGATCTTTGAAGGAGGGAAACTGTTTCGTTCCCACCTGTAAGTTCTGTTTTTTGGCAGTGCTGAATCTCATCAAATTAGATCCAGAGAGGCCAGTTATGGTGGCTCATGACTGAATCCCAGCACTTTAGAGGCCAAGGTGGGAGGTCAGGAGTTTGAGACCAGCCTAGGTAACATAGCAAGACCCCCGTCTCTACAAAAAATAATTAGCTGGGTATGGTTGTGTGTACCTGTAGTTCTAGCTACTCAGGAGGCTGAGGAGGGAGGATCGCTTGAGCCCAGGAGGTCAAGGCTGCAGTGAGCTGTGATAGTGCCACTGCACTCCAGCCTGGATGACAGACCCTGTCACAAAAACAAACAAACAAAAAACCAAAAAACCCAGGAAGCATTTTCTGACCGCTGAGGCTGAAAGGAGCCTTGTCCTCCACTCTCCATCCTCATTTTTGCTTACTGTGTGTTTTCCTTCATAGCTCTTTGTCGTTTAGTGCTTGTTTCTTCCACTATTGTAGAAGGACCACATTGTCTTATTAACCCTTGGGTTCCCAGGACCTGTCCAAGGCTGGCATGCAGGAGACATTTAGTAAAGAATGATAAATAATGATTGCTTATATCAATAAAGCCTCCTTATGTTGATAGAGGAACCCCTGAAACAGTTTAGTGCAGAAGTCCAAAACACAAACTAGAGACAGACAGCCTGGGTTTGCATCTCAACTTTGCTACTTCCTAGCTCTGTGGCTTTCAGGAAGTTACTTAACCCCTCTGTGCCTCATTTTTCCCATCTGTCAAATGAAGATAACACTAGTAACTTTCCTCTTGATTGTTGTGAGAATTGAACAGGGTGTAAAGAACCTGGAAAGCACCTGGAACAGTGCCAGCCCATAGTAAGTACGCAGCGAGAATGAGCTATTTGTATTGTGTAAACATGGTGGACAGTGTCTGTTATGTATCCAAAATGATTGTTGTTGGAGACTAAGAGAAAATGGATGCAGCTACAGTACTGAGGAGGCTGCAGTGTCTGACCAAATACAAAATAGTTTGGTACAGGAGCTGATCAAAGAACACGCATTGAGACAGACCTGGAGTTTGACATCAGCTTTGACTTACTAACCTGGTGACCTTGGGCAAACCTCTCTCCTACGCTCAGCTGCATTAGCAAACACATGGACCAACACCACTAGAAGTGAGTGAAAATAAGGCAAATAACCATAAAAATGGGAGTAATATCCCTGCATGGCAGATTTGGTATGTGGATGAGATGAGATTTGGTCTGTGAAACCTCCTGCACAGAGCAAAAATGATTTCTGAACAAATGTACAAATGAAAGTGGATTTTGCTACATGAATGCAGAGAAGAGATAGGTGGTGCCCATTCAGCTTAGGACTTAAAAAGCCCATGCTGGGTAGGAGAGGTTATGTGAGGGATGAGGATTTCTTAGTGATTGGGTGAAATTCTGGCATTGAGAGTCACATGTTGATAATTTTTCCAGGGACACAGAGAGGGTTCGTTTTGCTGTCCCACACGGCATGCCTGTGCGTGAACAGCTCTCTGCTAATGCACTGTCACGTGGATCTATCGCAACACCAAGCCTTCCACTTACCACTGACAATGCAGGAACAAAGACATCAAAACCACTGCTCTTAAAAAACTTCCTAATGACTACAACATTTTGGCTTACTGAACATAACTGAATTAATTCATAGTTTTCCCAGAACAGGAACTGAATTCATCAATTTACGACTTTGTCAGCTTGTTTTGGAGATAGGTCAATCAGTTACATTCATTCTGGGAGAAAATAGCGGTGAGCCAATTTTTTATACCTCACCTGAGCAGCTAAACATTGGGTGGTCTTTGTCTGCAGTTGAACAGTTTAATCCGTTCCTTGTATACAAGAAACTGTGAGCTGAAACATTACATCAAACTGCTAGTCTGCACCCTGCACCATGAAATATCAGCTTTATTAGTTCCATTCTTGACGACATTGTGCAATAATGAAAAGCATATTGTGCAACCACGTATGGGAGATTTCAATGCACACATTTCCAAATGGTCTTCTTGGTTTTCTAAGTGTAAACTACTTAGCGGCCATGGAGTTAACTGAAATATTATTCAGTCAAAACAACATTGCTATTATTCACTTAATACAAAGCCCACAAGAGATGCCTCTGGTATATAAAATATACTATGAGTAATTATGTAACTGCTAACCTTCTTTGAATCATTTCCATTGCCATTCAGGAAATGGAAGCATCAGCTACCCTAGATTTTAATTAACTTTGACCATAGCTCTTGGTAAGTGGGAGGAGAAAACATTATTTGGTAAACTATAAGGCAAAAGCATAAAAGTTAACAAAGTTTGTAGTTAGTTCTTAGATGCTCTCTCATTTGTAATGTGTGACTCCATTTGAGAGAGACCGTGGGGAAATTATGAATCAAATTTCAGGAGCAAATGTGATGCTTCTTGAGGTGATAAAGAACGTGGTCTTCTGAAGTTGTTTGGATTAGAAAATATTTCCTTTCCTTGTCAAGGTCATTCTGTTGTCACAATAAACAGGACAGGTTTCTTAAAAAATCTCAAGTGACTACAAAATTCGGCCTAATCGGAAATTTAACTCTGGTGCCATACTTAGTAAGCATTTTCTATGATCTCTCAGGCAAGCTGAATGCAGATATTTAATATGGGAGGAGATTGAGATTGGAGGAAATCTCAATTGTTTAACAACAACAACAAACCTTTTTAATCTCCTTTT
Source organism: Homo sapiens (assembly GCF_000001405.40). Classification (NCBI taxonomy): domain Eukaryota; kingdom Metazoa; phylum Chordata; class Mammalia; order Primates; family Hominidae; genus Homo; species Homo sapiens. Next base: position 11,874,741 of record NC_000002.12, read on the forward strand.
TTATAAGATGTTGGGATATCAAGTTAGAAGCAACTTTATAAGTCATTTAAACCAATCTAACATTGGATTTCCTCTAGAGCATTCCTAACTCGGTCATCTTCTAACCTTGACTTGAAATTCAATGGTGGGGAGCCAGTACTCTTTATGCAACCTTATTCTTTCCTAGTTCAACTCTCTTTGACTGTTACTCTTTCTCTTTCCCTCCATCCCTGTCCCTCTGTCCCCGTCCCTACGACCCCATACCCCCCTCCCCCCACCGTCCGCTCCCCTCTCTCCCCCCACCGTCCGCTCCCCTCCTCCCCACTCCGGTGTCCTGCCCCGCCTCCAGCACCCTGCCCCCCTGTCCCCTCGCCCCCCCATCCCCTCACCTCCGCCCCCACCCTTCCCCTCCGCCCCCACCCTTCCCCTCCGCCCCCACCCTTCCCCTCCGCCCCCTCCGCCCCTGCCCTTCCCCTCCGCCCCCTGTGCCCCTACTCTTCCCCACCTCTTCCCTTCCTTCCCCTCCTCTTCCCTCCCCTCCACCCTGATTCTTTCCCTCCTCCTCTCCCACTCTCCCTGTGGGTCTCATGCCCATATCTGGTTCTCCCACATGATGGCTGTGTCTGATAACTTCTGTTTGCCTCTCCAGGGTTTCTTTTCATCCTTCTTCACTCCCCTCTGTCTTGGGAATCTGACGCATATGGAATTCTTTGTCCTTGGGGTCCTATATACTCTGAGTTTCAGCTAGACCTGGCCAAAGATGTGTCTTTGCAGGAGACTGAAAGGAGGGAGGAGAAGTATTCCAGTTGCATGTATTCCCTGGGGTCCCGTGGTGGGTTGCATTGTCTCTGATTGGCTTTGTCCCTGACTGTCACTGTTTCTTCAAGGACAGTTTCTCTCTCCATGACTTTCTTCTGGTTTTGATGACAACTTCCTGTGTGTCCTGCTGTGGCTGGCCATGGTACAGCTTCTCTGCTGCTGGCTCCAGGTTACTGCCTCGTCCTTAGGCTCTCTCACACCTGTAGCATTGTAAATAGTCCCTTTGCTGACAAGCCTTCTTCTAATTAACCCAGTTTGATAAAGCCATATGTTTCCAGCTGGGATGCTGGCTGATACAATAGCCCTTTAGATAATTCTGCAACAGCACTCAACTCTCCTTCTCAACGCAAATGATCCAAGACCCTGCACTTTTCCTTAAGGTACCTACCTGGCTTTAAATACTCTCTCCATCCTCTGAAATGTTTCAGGCAGACAGTTTTCCTCGTGAAGTATGGTATCCAGAACTGAAAGCAGTGGTCCTGAGGTGTGACAAAGTTAGACAAAGCCAGACTCTAGGTAAAGTGGTAGGGGCAGATTTTCATCAGTAATGGACCATTGCGACAGGGGGAAGAGTCCAGCATGAAGTGAACTCACCTATGATTTGTACAGAGGTGACGGGGCATGACGAAACGGGAGGGAGGTGACAGTGGTGTGGAGGTGGTGAGTAGGGCTCGGGAGAGTCAGAAGTGAAAATTACAAAAGGTAGGCAGGGTGGTGAGCCCATGTGAAACCCATCGGGGTCTAGGCTTCTGTTCTCGCCGGGGCTGGGAGGCAGGGACCTATCTTTAGGTGTTAACTAGAACACACTGAATTATTTTGGTAGCCTTGAGTTTCCTCAGCCTTGATCATTTTAACGGGGCTAGAGTCATCCTAGGGACATGGCCTTCAGTTGTGAGAAACTAAGTTTGTGTTTAAGTCTTTAGAGGTCAAGCGTAAGGCCTTGTTGAGAAAGGGCTCAGTGAAGCCTGGCTGGAGTTCAGTCAAGGAGAGAACCTTCCCCACTGGTTGTGGCAGAATACAACAGGCGTGTCCTTGATTGCCTCTGGATTGCTTGCCTTCGGAGACTGTTCAGCCAGGAACATGCTGAGGGCACCTGCACAGAGCTCCTCAGGACACCCCCTGGCACGGTGGCAGCATGCTGAGCTTGCGGTCACAGCTGTATGATGGGAGGCTCACTGCCATCAGACCACAATTCCCAACTCTGAGGCCAACTCTGAGTCTGTGAAGGTGGTGAACCTGCCGACCCCTGCTTCCCAGCATGGGGCTGAGTTAAATGAGCCTGTGTGGGCAGAACTTCTCTAAACCATTCAGGACTATGTAGGTATTATTATTACCATTATTATTAGGTGTTGCTTCTGCTCCTCCTCTTCCTCTTTTGATGTCTTCTTTTATTCTTCCTTTTCTCCTTTTATTCTCCCTTTCTGCCTCTTTCCCTCTCCCTGCCTCTCTGTTTTCCCTTCCCCTCCCCTTTGGCAGCAGCAGAAGTGGTGGGAATCTTTTCTTTGACGAGAAGGTATCCAGACATCCTCTCTGGACCCATGACCTGTTGGCATCCTCGCCGCTCCTTGAGGCCAGCTCCTGCTCGCTGATTTCCCAGCCCCTTCCCAGACCTGCTGGACGGGAACCCCTCTCCTTATCCTTGCAGGAACATTTGTTTTTCTCCTGGAGCATTTGCTACCCTTAACTTAATCTTAGAAAACTGGAGACAGAAGGCATCTTAGTTAAAATCTGGGTCTACTTAAAATTTTTTCTTAAAATAAATAAGTTGAATCTCAGGGGAAGTGACTTGTCCAAATTTGTAGAGGACTCAGGCCTCCCAGCCTCACATTGCTGGTGGGATGTCCTTGTGCCTCTGGGGACTGCCTGCCCTGCCCTGTCCTGGGGTGGACTGCCTGTCCTTTCCCGATTCAGTGCACACTCTTAAGAGGGCAGAGTCTGTCTCTCACTCTTCTCGGTTCTTCCCTATAGGGACACTTACCCACAACCTGGCGCAGGACAGCTCATGACATAAATGACTGTTGAGTTGAGCCTGGAGAGGAGAAACAAAACCTAGGATTGTCTGCAGTCGAATGCTAGCTAAAGGCTTATCTTCTGGCTTCTTTCTCCCCCCGAGATGATACACTGAGATCCTGTTCTTATCCAGGGCCAAGGTGGGATGCTCACTTTCCCCATTAATATTAACTGAACATTTTTGAGTATATAACTGGGGAGTTTTGCTGCATAGAGGTTTTGGAACACTGTCTTAAATTAAAAAGCTTGGGAGTACATGAAGGTGGAAATTTCAGTTGCTAGTAAGTGACTTCCTTGGCTTATTGCAGAGAGAAAAGTTAGCTGACAAGAGTGAATCTTCAAAGAATTAATTTACAAAACTACATGTTTAACATTGCAGCCTCAGCTGAAAGAGTCAGAGAGGAGAGAAAGTGCTGAGTGTGGGGAAAGTTACTGATGGCCTTGGTATCTTGCGAGCAAGGCAAGCCAAGTCAGCGTCCCCGGAGTGGGGCATATGGCCCTGAGGGAATGAATCTTTCAAATGAGCTACACTCTGCAAGGTAGCATCTTGCCTTTTCTCTGGGTAGGGCTTCTGGATCACAGGACCAGTGTCCTGGAGCCACCTTCCAGAGCCACAGCAAGTCAAGAAACCAGGCAGATTCTCATCATGCCATCAAGTTCTTCGTGTTCCTCAAGGAGGGAAGGCACTGCTGAAGTAGCATTTGTGATAGCTTCATGCAGAAGAGCACATTTGATTTTAAGCCATGGGAGCAGAAACTGATCCAAGACCTGGTCCTCTACTTCTTAATGTGGAATATTCTGTGCTCAGGTGCACCATCATCATGGCAGCATGCAGGGAGAATCAGGGAGAGAATGGGGTATTCTGAAGATGGCTGCAGCTTTGGAGTCAGACAGACTTGTTTTGGGCTGGAGCTTTGCCACTTACTTTCTAGATGACCTTCTATAAATACTTTGCATTGCCAAGGCTCAGTTTCCTCACCTGCGAAATGAGAGCCATTGCATTTAATGGCAGCCAGTATCTCTGCTCATAGGCGTGCTAGTGCCCAGCGTGGTGGTGATGGCGGTCGTCATGGTGGTGGAGGCTTGACCATCAGTGGGCCTTTTTCCATTCAGCATTTTGAGGTCAGGCTTCTTCATGGTGATTGGGAAGTGGCACCCAAGCACAACAGACAGAATCATGAGATTTCCTGGCTGGAAGGGATCACAAAGAGCCTCCTGTCCAGCCTTCTACATGGGAGGCTTAAATAAGTTTAAACTAGTATTTTATCCTCCACTTCAGTGTCTTCCTGATGGGGCATTCACTAACTCACTACTCCTGATGTTGATCAAGTGGTTTTTCTCTGGGCTACAGTTTTGTAACCTGGAAAATAGTGTTGATAAGAGCACGATTGTGGTGGGAGTTAGAGTTCACGGGTGTCTAGAGTCAGAGGTCCTGCCTGCCTCAAGACAGGAGCTCAAGACATGTGTTTTCTTATCTCTCTCTTCCCTTTCCCTCCCCTAGAAACTGAAACTGCTTGTTTCATCTTTGGATGGCTCAGGTTTTTTTGTTTTGTTTTGTTTGTTTGTTTGTTTGCTTTTGAGATGGAGTCTTGTTCTGTTGCCCAGGCTGGAGTGCAATGGTGTGATCTCAGTTCACTGCAATCTCCATCTCCCAGGTTCAAGTGATTTCCCTGCCTCAGCCTTCCAAGTAGCTGGGATTACAGGCATGCACTACCATGCCTGGCTAATTTTTTGTATTTTAGTAGAGACGGGGTTTCACCATGTTGGCCAGGATGGTCTCCATCTCCTGATCTCATGATTCACCCGCCTTGGCCTCCCAAGGTGCTGGGATTACAGGTGTGAGCCACTGTGCCTGGGCAGCTGAGTTTTTCAAGCAAGTTCTGATTACCTGAGGCTTTCACCCATTGGCCTTGGTTTCCCTCTCTGTGGCCACACAGGAATTTTGGAGGTGCACACCACTCACGTTCCCCAGTGTCCTCTCTTCTCCAGTTCCTGGTTCCTTTGGCCACCCGTTATCACAATGTGGGGTGCAGCCCCTCACCCTATTTGTTCTTTTCTGAGTGTGTGTCTGCTTCCTTCTTAAACTGTGGTGCCCATGAAGTTCAGAGCTAGACGCAAATTTTGGGAGTATATTACCAGACCCTTTAGTTTACAGTCCCACCAACAGTGTAAAAGTGTTCCTATTTCTCCACATCCTCTCCAGCACCTGTTGTTTCCTGACGTTTTAATGATCACCATTCTAACTGGTGTGTGATAATATCTCATTGTGGTTTGGATTTGCATTTCTCTGATGGCCAGTAATGATGAGCATTTTTTCATGTGTCTGTTGGCTGCATGAATGTCTTCTTTTGAGAAGTGTCTGTTCATATCCTTCACTCACCTGGAGAAACAGAGGACCGATAGGAAGAGAGTTAACACAGCAAGTTCTGCCATGGTCAGGGCACGCCCACCAGTAAGTGTATTCTGATTTATGCAGTGATGGCTATGATGTTCTTTTGGCAGCAATTTTTATACTTTTATTAAAAAGTTTTTCTACTCCCACCAGAAGAGGATCCAGATGCAGCAAAGGGCTTTTTGAGGGGTTAAAAGAGCATCTGGGTTCTTCTAGAAAATTCTTGTCTGACAGCATTTTACATCCAACACCAGTTGTTGTTCCTTAGCATAACCACACTTGAAACTTGGATGAGAATCCACTCTTTGAAGCCAGTGCAGCTATTATGTAGAGACATGAAGTGGTTTATTTTTATTCTACATGTAACAAGCATGATGAAGGCAGGACTCCCCTATGAGATGGGGCTCAAGTACCCCTCCAGTTATATAGTAGTGAGGCTGTAGACAAATTCTTCCACCTCTCCAAACTTCAGTTTCCTCTCTCTCTCTTTTTTTTTTTTTTTTTTTTAGACGGAGTCTTGCTCTGTCACCCAGGCTGGAGTGCAGTGGCACGGTCTTGGCTCACTGCAACCTCCACCTCCGCCTCCTGAGTTTGAGTAATTATCCTGCCTCAGCCTCCCGAGTAGCTGGGAATACAGACACGTGCCACCATGCTTGGCTAATTTTTTGTAATTTTAGTAGAGATGGGGTTTTACCATATTAGCCAGGATGGTCTTGATCTCCTGACCTTGTGATCCACCCTCCTCGGCCTCCCAAAGTGCTGCGATTACAGGCATGAGCCACTGCTCCCGGCTTCAGTTTTCTTTTTTTAAAGTGAGGGTAATGATCTCTTCATCGTCGAATACCAAAGGTTGTTTGAAGATTAGGTGAAAATAATGTTCCAAAGAACTTTTTTGAACTATAAAGCATGATACACAAGTATACTTTCCTGCAAACTAGACTGAATTAATTTCCTTCTGCTCAGTTACCTTCAAATTCCCAGCCATCTTGGTCACCTGAGGCAGGTTGAAAGACTGGAGTATATCCAAGTCTATTGTACTGGTGTTTCCTTTTCTCAAGGTCAAGTTCAAGGGCCCAGTTTTCCTGAATGTCTTCTTTTACTACATTTGGTCCTGTCCTTGGAGTCTAGTCCTGTTTTTTTTTTTTTTGCAGGTGATAATAAGACTAACATTTATTGAGTGACTCCTGAGTGCCAAGCCTTTTTTCATTTAATATTCACAACAACCCTGTGCATAAAAAGTAGACAGTGCTCATTTCCATTTTTGTAGAATGGGAAACTGTGCTTAGGAGAAGTTAAGTAACTTGACAATGGTTACATAGCCAGTAAGTATTGGAGGCAGGATTTAAACATGTTTAAGAACTATAAGCCCTATATTGTCTCCTTAAGCATTACATAGTTATTGCCTTTCCACCTGAGTTCTAAGAAGTTTCTTGAGATGTATCCACCTACACATCTCCCCAGTCTCCCTACCCCAATAAGATTAGTTCCCAACTTCGCTGGTAGCAATTTTATGAGATTTCTTTTTTTTAAATTATTATTATACTTTAAGTTTTAGGGTACATGTGCACAATGTGCAGGTTTGTTACATATGTATACATGAGCCATGTTGGTGTGCTGCACCCATTAACTTGTCATTTAGCATTAGGTATATCTCCCAATGCTATCCCTCCCCACCCCCCCCCACCCCACAATAGTCCCTGGTGTGTGATGTTCCCCTTCCTGTGTCCATGTGTTCTCATTGTTCAATTCCCACCTATAAGTGAGAATATGCGGTGTTTGGTTTTTTGTCCTTGTGATAGTTTGCTGAGAATGATGGTTTCCAGCTTCCTCCGTGTCCCTACAAAGGACATGAACTCATCCTTTTTTATGGCTGCATAGTATTCCATGGTGTCTATGTGCCACATTTTCTTAATCCAGTCTATCATTGTTGGACATTTGGGTTGGTTCCAATTCTTTGCTATTGTGAATAGTGCCGCAATAAACATACATGTACATGCGTCTTTACAGCAGCATGATTTATCATCCTTTGGGTATTTACCCAGTAATGGGATGGCTGGATCAAATGGTATTTCTAGTTCTAGATCCCTAAGGAATTGCCACACTGACTTCCACAATGGTTGAACTAGTTTACAGTCCCACCAACAGTGTAAAAGTGTTCCTATTTCTCCACATCCTCTCCAGCACCTGTTGTTTCCTGACTTTTTAATGATCACCATTCTAACTGGTGTGTGATAATATCTCATTGTGGTTTGGATTTGCATTTCTCTGATGGCCAGTAATGATGAGCATTTTTTCATGTGTCTGTTGGCTGCATGAATGTCTTCTTTTGAGAAGTGTCTGTTCATATCCTTCGCTCACTTGTTGATGGGGTTGTTTTTTTCTGGTAAATTTGTTTGAGTTCATTGTAGATTCTGGATATTAGCCCTTTGTCAGATGAGTAGGTTGCAAAAATTTTCTCCCATTCTGTAGGTTGCCTGTTCACTCTGATGGTAGTTTCTTTTGCTGTGCAGAAGCTCTTTAGTTTAATTAGATCCCATTTGTCAATTTTGGCTTTTGTTGCCATTGCTTTTGGTGTTTTAGACATGAAGTCCTTGCCCATGCGTATGTCCTGAATGGTATTGCCTAGGTTTTCTTCTAGGGTTTTTATTGTTTTAGGTCTAACATGTAAGTCTTTAATCCATCTTGAATTAATTTTTGTATAAGGTGTAAGGAAGGGATCCTGTTTCAGCTTTATGGTTAGCCAGTTTTCCCAGCACCATTTATTAAATAGGGAATCCTTTCCCCATTGCTTGTTTTTGTCAGGTTTGTCAAAGATCAGATAGTTGTAGATGTGTGGCATTATTTCTGAGGGCTCTGTTCTGTTCCATTGATCTATATCTCTGTTTTGGTACCAGTACCATGCTGTTTTGGTTACTGTAGCCTTGTAGTATAGTTTGAAGTCAGGTAGCGTGATGCCTCCAGCTTTGTTCTTTTGGCTTAGGATTGACTTGGCAATGCGGGCTCTTTTTTGGTTCCATATGAACTTTAAAGTAGTTTTTTCCAATTCTGTGAAGAAAGTCATTGGTAGCTTGATGGGGATGGCATTGAATCTATAGATTATCTTGGGCAGTATGGCCATTTTTATGATATTGATTCTTCCTACCCATGAGCATGGAATGTTCTTCCATTTGTTTGTATCCTCTTTTATTTCATTGAACAGTGGTTTGTAGTTATCCTTGAAGAGGTCCTTTACATGCCTTGTAAGTTGGATTCCTAGGTATTTTATTCTCTTTGAAGCAATTGTGAATGGGAGTTCACTCATGATTTGGCTCTCTGTCTGTTACTGGTGTATAAGAATGCTTGTGATTTTTGCACATTGACTTTGTATCCTGAGACTTTGCTGAAGTTGCTTATCAGCTTAAGGAGATTTTGGGCTGAGACGATGAGGTTTTCTAGATATACAATCATGTCATCTGCAAACAGGGACAATTTGACTTCCTCTTTTCCTACCTGAATACCCTTTATTTCCTTCTCCTGCCTGATTGCCCTGGCCAGAACCTCCAGCAGTATGTTGAATAGGAGTGGTGAGAGAGGGCATCCCTGTCTTGTGCCAGTTTTCAAAGGGAATGCTTCCAGTTTTTGCCCATTCAGTATGATATTGGCTGTGGGTTTGTCATAGATAGCTCTTATTATTTTGAGATACATCCCATCAATACCTAATTTATTGAGAGTTTTTAGCTTGAAGGGTTGTTGAATTTTGTCAAAGGCCTTTTCTGCATCTATTGAGATAATCATGTGGTTTTTGTCTTTGGTTCTGTTTATATGCTGGATTACGTTTATTGATTTTCGTATGTTGAACCAGCCTTGCATCCCAGGGATGAAGCCCACTTGATCATGGTGGATAAGCTTTTTGATGTGTTGCTGGATTTGGTTTGCCAGTATTTTATTGAAGATTTTTGCATCAATGTTCATCAAGGATATTGGTCTAAAATTCTCTTTTTTTGTTGTGTCTCGGCCCAGCTTTGGTATCAGGATGATGCTGGCCTCATAAAATGAGTTAGGGAGGATTCCCTCTTTTTCTTTTGATTGGAATAGTTTCAGAAGGAATGGTACCAGCTCCTCCTTGTACCTCTGATAGATTTCGGCTGTGAATCTATCTGGTCCTGGACTTTTTTTGGTTGGTAAGCTATTAATTATTGCCTCAATTTCAGAGCCTGTTATTGTTCTATTCAGAAATTCAACTTCTTCCTTGTTTAGTCTTGGGAGAGTGTATGTGTCAAGGAATTTATCCATTTTGTCTAGAGTTTCTAGTTTATTTGCATAGAGGTGTTTATAGTATTCTCTGGTGGTAGTTTGTATTTCTGTGGGATCGGTGGTGATATCCCCTTTGTCATTTTTTATTGTGTCTATTTGATTCTTCTCGCTTTTCTTCTTTATTAGTCTTGCTAGTGGTCTATCAATTTTGTTGATCCTTTCAAAAAACCAGCTCCTGGATTGATTGATTTTTTGAAGGGTTTTTGGTGTCTCTATTTCCTTCAGTTCTGCTCTGATCTTAGATATTTCTTGCCTTCTGCTAGCTTTTGAATGTGTTTGCTCTTGCTTTTCTAGTTCTTTTAATTGTGAAGTTAGGGTGTCAATTTTAGATCTTTCCTGCTTTCTCTTGTGGGCATTTAGTGCTATAAATGTCCTCTACACACTGCTTTCTGCTTTGAATGTGTCCCAGAGATTCTGGTATGTTGTGTCTTTGTTCTCATTGGTTTCAAAGAACATCTTTATTTCTGCCTTCATTTCGTTATTTACCCAGTAGTCATTCAGGAGCAGGTTGTTCAGTTTCCATGTAGTTGAGAGGTTTTGAGTGAGTTTCTTAATCCTGAGTTCTAGTTTGATTGCACTGTGGTCTGAGAGACAGTTTGTTATAATTTGTGTTCTTTTACATTTGATGAGGAGTGCTTTACTTCCAACTATGTGGTCAATTTTGGAATAGGTGTGGTGCTGAAAAGAATGTATATTCTGTTGATTTGGGGTGGAGAGTTCTGTAGATGTCTATTAGGTCCGCTTGGTGCAGAGCTGAGTTCAATTCCTGGATATCCTTATTAACTTTCTGTCTCATTGATCTGTCTAATGTTGACAGTGGGATGTTAAAGTCTCCCATTATTATTGTGTGGGAGTCTAAGTCTCTTTGTAAGTCACTAAGGACTTGCTTTATGAATCTGGGTGCTCCTGTATTGGGTGCATATATATTTAGGATAGTTAGTTCTTCTTGTTGAATTGATCCCTTTACCATTATGTAATGGCCTTCTTTGTCTCTTTTGATCTTTGTTGGTTTAATGTCTGTTTTATCAGAGACTAGGATTGCAACCCCTGCCTTTTTTTGTTTTCCATTTGCTTGGTAGATCTTCCTCCATCCCTTTATTTTGAGCCTGTGTGTGTCTCTGCACGTGAGATGAGTTTCCTGAATATAGCACACTGATGGGTCTTGGCTCTTTATCCAATTTGCCAGTCTGTGCCTTTTAATTGGAGCGTTTAGCCCATTTACATTTAAGGTTAGTATTGTTATATGTGAATTTGATCCTGTCATTATGATGTTAGCTGGTTATTTTGCTCGTTAGTTGATGCAGTTTCTTCCTAGCCTTGATGGTCTTTACAATTTGGCAAGTTTTTGCAGTGGCTGGTGCCGGTTGTTCCTTTCCATGTTTAGTGCTTCCTTCAGGAGCTCTTTTAGGGCAGCTCTGGTGGTGACAAAATCTCTCAGCATTTGCTTGTCTGTAAAGTATTTTATTTCTCCTTCACTTATGAAGCTTAGTTTGGCTGGATATGAAATTCTGGGTTGAAAACTGTTTTCTTTAAGAATGTTGAATATTGACCCCCACTCTCTTCTGGCTTGTAGAGTTTCTGCAGAGAGATCAGCTGTTAGTCTGATGGGCTTCCCTTTGTGGGTAACCCAACCTTTCTCTCTGGCTGTCCTTAACATTTTTTCCTTCATTTCAACTTTGATGAATCTGACAGTCATGTGGCTTGGAGTTGCTCTTCTCAAGGAGTATCTTTTTGGCGTTCTCTGTATTTCCTGAATTTGAATGTTGGCCTGCCTTGCTAGATTGGGGAAGTTCTCCTGGATAATATCCTGCAGAGTGTTTTCCAACTTGGTTCCATTCTCCCCATCACTTTCAGGTACACCATTTAGATGTAGATTTGGTCTTTTCACATAGTCCCATATTTCTTGGAGGCTTTGTTCATTTCTTTTTATTCTTTTTTCTCTAAACTTCTCTTCATGCTTCATTTCATTCATTTTGTCTTCCATCGCTGATACCCTTTCTTCCAGTTGATCGCATTGGTTACTGAGGCTTGTGCATTAGTCACGTAGTTCTCGTGCCATGGTTTTCAGCTCCATCAGGTCCTTTAAGGACTTCTCTGCATTGGTTATTCTAGTTATCCATTCATCTATTTTTTTTTCAAAGTTTTTAACTTCTTTGCCATTGGTTCGAACTTCCTCCTTTAGCTCAGAGTAGTTTGATCTTCTGAAGCCTTCCTGTCTCAACTCGTCAAAGTCATTCTCCGTCCAGCTTTGTTCCATTGCTGGGGAGGAGCTGCGTTCCTTTGGAGGTGGAGAGGTGCTCTGATTTTTAGAGTTTCTGGTTTTTCTGCTTTGTTTTTTTCCCCATCTTTGTGGTTTTATCTACCTTTAGTCTTTGATGATGGTGATGTACAGATGGGTTTTTGGTGTGTATGTCCTTTCTGTTTGTTAGTTTTCCTTCTAACAGTCAGGACCCTCAGCTGCAGGTCTGTTGGAGTTTACTGGAGGTCCACTCCAGACCCTGTTTGCCTGGGTATCAGCAGCAGTGGCTGCAGAACAGCGGATATTGGTGAACCGCAAATGCTGCTGCCTGATTGTTCCTCTGGAAGTTTTGTCTCAGAGGAGTACCCAACTGTGTGAGGTGTCAGTCCGCCCTTACTGGGGGGTGCCTCCCAGTTAGGCTACTTGGGGGTCAGGGACCCACTTGAGGAGGCAGTCTGCCCATTCTCAGATCTCAAGCTGTGTGCTGGGAGAACCACTACTCTCTTCAAAGCTGTCAGACAGGGACATTTAAGTCTGCAGAGGTTATTGCTGTCTTTTGTTTGTCTGCGCCCTTCCCCCAGAGGTGGAGCCTACAGAGGCAGGCAGGCCTCCTTGAGCTGTGGTGGGCTCCACCCAGTTCGAGCTTCCCGGCTTTGTTTACCTACTCAAGCCTGAGCAATGGCAGGCGCCCCTCCCTCAGCCTTGCTGCCGCCTTGCAGTTTGATCTCAGACTGCTGTGCTAGCAATGAGTGAGGCTCCGTGGGCATAGGACCCTCCGAGCCAGGTGTGGGGTATAATCTCCTGGTGTGTCGTTTGTTAAGCCTGTTGGAAAGACGCAGTATTAGGGTGGGAGTGACCCAATTTTCCAGGTGCCATCTGTCACCCCTTTCTTTGACTAGGAAAGAGAATTCCCTGACCCCTTGCGCTTCCCGGGTGAGGCAATGCCTTGCCCTGCTTCGGCTCATGCACAGTGTGCTGTACCCACTGTCCTGCGCCCACTGTCTGGCACTCCCCAGTGAGATGAACCCAGTACCTCAATTGGAAATGCAGAAATCACCCATCTTCTGCGTCACTGATGCTGGGAGCTGTAGACTGGAGCTGTTCCTATTTGGCCATCTTGGCTCCACCCCCTGTTTTTTTTTTTTTTTTTTTTTTTTTTTTTTTAAGACGGAGTCTCACTCTGTCTCTATGCTGGAGTGCATTGCATGATCTCAGCTCACTGCAACCTCCAACTCCCTGGTTCAAGTGATTCTCCTGTCTCAGCCTCCTGAGCAGCTGGAATTACAGGCACACACCACTACACCCAGCTAATTTTTGTATTTTTAGTAGAGATGGGGTTTCACCATGTTGGCTGGGATGGTCTCCATCTTCTGATCTTGTGATCCACCCACCTCGGCCTCCCAAAGTGCTGGGATTACAGGTGTGAGCCACCGCACCTGGCCATCTGTTGTATTTTTATTGTTAGGCACAGTTATGTTATTCTAGTTAATGTTATGTCCTCTCTTCACCCATCTCCCTCATGTTCTGCCAACATCTGGTCTTACAAGTCTCTCCGTTCAAGTCTCTCTTTTTCCATCTCACAAATGCATAAAAATAGTCTATGAAGCAAGTGATAAAAGCTGAGAACATATCAAGAGTTTTCTTTAATTTACAGTCATTTGATTATAGTGAGGTTAAAAGTTTTTTATAAGTTAATTGGGCATTTGTATTTGCTTTATTTTTTCTTGCCCCCCCCCCCCCACATCCCTCCCTGTGTGTGTGTGTGTGTGTGTGTGTGTGTGTGTTTGGTAAATTTTTTATTTGTATCTTTTCCCATTGCTGTGGGTACCTACTTTTCTGGGTGATTTACATAGAGTTAAATTTTTGAGATTTTGGCTTCATGCTTTTTGTCTTTGGTGAAATACTTTGAAAGTCCTCTTATTTATCAATATTATATAAATATTTATAACTCTTATTTAAATAATTTTACATATTAAAAAAATGATATCTTTAAAGATCATCTAGAGTTCAGGTTATAAAATGTAAGCCAGGGTTCTAGTGTGATATTTTTTTCCTAAATGGTTAGCTAGGAGTTTGATTGCCATTGGTGGAAACCTTTTCCCTCCCAAAATATCTTTTGAAGAATAAGCAAAATTATACTGCCCCCTTGATTTGGCTGCCTATCTTGGAAACAGGCAAACACTCTTTCTGTTCTTATTAACTTAGTTTTAAAATTCATTTTAATTTCTTTTATTGCATGGCTTCTCTCCTTTCATTTCTACTGTTTTCTGCTCCCTTCCCCATAATGGCTCATTTAGTCTTATATGTTTTTTCCTATAGGAAATTTTAGAAGATTTTTTTTAAGTCTCCCATGATATTCCATTATATTTTGATTGAAATTTCATTACCTTTATGGGGAAAAAACAGATTCCAAAAATAAGGTAAGAAAGAAAATAATACCAGAGTAGAAATTTGGAGTCATACAGAACCAAATGGTAGAGGACAAAATCTGAGTGAAAGTTGGATGGAGAAAAAAATGATAGAAGAATAAAAGATCAGAGAAAAGATGACTTAAACATGGACTCGAAAATAAAGAAAAAATTAGAAACAATATTCAAAATAGTACAGAATAAAATTTTACTGAAACCAAAATAAGTTTTGAACCTTACTGAAAAAAATCTAATTAAATCTGGAAAATATCTTGATGTATTCTCATAAAAGGATTAAGTTCCAAGGATAGCAAAGTAATCCTAAAATACTTAAAGAAAAAACAAGTACAGTGGAAAAAAAATCAAGAAGGCCTCATACTTCCTTCTACAACGTTGGATAAAGACAGTTAACAGAACAACATTTATAAAGTTTGGATGAAGGGTTGTTATATAAAAATTCTATACCCAGCCAAACTATCATTTATATTTTTAATAAAGTATATTTTCATATTACAAAAGAAAAACATGTTTATTCTAGGAAATAAAACAAATAAAACCATGCTATTAAAAATTTAAAACATCTAAACTCAAAATCCCTGGAATCCAGATTTTTAAAATTCTAATTTCTCCACTGTTGCCTTTTCCTTGCAGCTGCCTACAGTGAGGTTTAGGGATTTTATGTTCACTCTGCTCCTGCAACCTCAAAACAATTACTATAATCTGGCTCTGTGTTCATTCTACCCACCAGGAAGAAAAATTTGATTTTGGTTTTGGTTAAAGAGGAATTGAGAAACAAGTTAGGAATGAACACATAGCATGAAAATGAATAGAATTATGAGCCTGCAGATGTGAGATTCAAGTTCATCCCTAAGCTTCAAATAAAAAACAGGCAAAGCTAAATGTTTTACAAATGAAACAAATCCTTAGTCGTTTATATTCTAGTAAGTCACAATTGTCAAGGGCTTCATTTGAATTAAGAGTCATTGCTTTGGGCAGAATTGGGCAGGCACCAATTTGTATATTTGATTCTTCAGTTAATTTTTGTGACCTTGGCTTCTTAGATCACAGAGCTTACTTTTTTTTTTAAAGCAAATGTGGAGTGCTGATAATTATGTCTGTCTTAAGTAGTTGTTTCGAAGGTTAAATGAAATGATGTGTAGAAAATGCTTAGCACAGCAAAACACCAAATATTAACTCATGAATAAATGGTGGTTGTTTGTTAAAAGGATAATTTAGTAAACACACAATAATGCTAGCATTATTTCAATGCTGTATAAAATCAATGGATGCTTCAAACCAAGAGCTCAAGAAATTAAGCATTCCTTCAACATCTTGGCCAAGCAATTAATTCTCATATTCATAAGCTTTGGTGATACATTATCAAGTAATGTCGGCCTCTTGTGAATTCTAACTTTTTAATTAATTCACCTCACAGGTACTGATTAGTACTAATTTATAGCTTAGTTTGCATATACTTGAAAGAGATGGAACTGTGTGTCTTCTGTATGCATATACACACTCACTCCTCAGATTTTGCTCTAGGGCCAGCCCCTGATCCCCCTTCCAGGCTGTCTTGCTCCTCATGCATAAGATTTTCCTGCAGTTTTTAGTGATTGTGACCAAACAGGCAATTTGTATAGTCATCTGTCCCAGTGCGGGCCTTTGGAAATGTCTTGACTCTCTCCTCTTTCTCCTGTATTAGCTCCATTTTCTGCCTCTGGTTGTCTTCATGGGATTGTAGCCAAATGCTATCAATGTGACTTAGTGGAAGCATCTTTAGGCTCAACGCCAAAAAGCCTGGGTTGCAGTCTTGGCACTGCTGGCTATTTACCATTGATCTCATAGGGGCCTATGACTTATCCTCCCAGAACCTCAGTTTTCTCCCTGAGGAAAATGGGTTGCAAAATATTGATGTTGCCAGGTTGTTGTGAGGATTTGAAAAATGGAATATGTTGAAGTGAATAGCTCTGTTTCTGGGTGTTTCAGAGGAGTGGGTAACGCAATGTCAGAAGCAATGAAATCATTTCTTTGAATGGAATGAGAAGAGATCAGCCTCTTTCTTTCCTGACTTGTTTTAGTAAAGGGAGACAAGGATCACTGAGAGGAGTAGAAAGGGTGCCAGGCAGGGAGGTGGGCGTGTGGCTGTCACCCTGCCCTGCGAGTGACTCCTGGCGAGGCTGGTGAGAGCCTGGACGATGCTAGCTTTGTTTGTCCCTGAGAAGAGGTGGGTGGGGTTGAGGTCAAACCCTCACGGTGGAGTGTCAAGGGCTGAGTCTGAGTCCTGGCATTGCTACTCTTAGCTGTGTGAGCTTGGGGGATCCGCATAGCCTTTCTGGGCCTCATCTGCCTTAGCTACAGAATTGAAGGTGATGATAACAGTTCTCCTCTTCTTACAAAATAGCTGCAGGGATTAGATAAGAAAATGAATGTGAAAGTGATTTATCAAGTGTAAAGTGCTGTACAGATGGTGGTTTTTATTGTAGATGATCTCAATTATCCCTTTTAGTTCTAAAGATTTGTGATTCTAAATACAGTGGTGTGAGCAAGAGGCGCTTTTTTTTTTTTCCTCAAGCAGCAGAGAGATTTCCTCTGAGTTTCCAGCTCTTAATGTACAACCAAGGCACTGTGTCTTAGGAGGAAATGTCCCTCCTTGGGGGACTGTGCCTGCCACACAAGGATACTGGGGTGAGTCCTCATCTTGAACTGGAGGATTTAGAGTAGCAAGATATAATCAGACCTTTTGAGGTTTAAATTCAGTTTTCTTGAGTCAAATTAAGATTTTGCAAAACCCTTTTCTTTAAACCCAAAAGCTCCAAGAGAGCTTAGATGACTTCTTGGATACAAGATAGCCTCATGGGGAGGGAGCAGGGGGCCATTCTCATGAACAAAGTGCAAATGAATCTGGAGCAGATGGATTTGATTTGCCCATCATATGCACATTTAAGTATTGAGTAGAAAAAGTCTTGGAAATGTGGATTTGGTGTTTTCCTCCTCAACTCTAAACATTTATAAATAGATCAAGATGCACAGGGGAAGGCAGTTGCATTCTTACTGTGGTTGAGAGTGGCCCAGGGGAGCGGTCAGACCAGGGCTACTTTCAGGTCTCCTGCTGAGCTCTTTCTCCAGGTCCCTTTGTCTCTGGACAAGGGGTCTCATCTGCACAATTGGCTACCTAAGTTGGGACCTTTACTGCAAAGTGAAAATGCAGGTCTCCATATTCAAAAATTAAGAACTTCAAGACAGTGACAGCAGAGCCCTACAGCAAGTGAGGGGCCCCATGCAACTCACCGATGATGCAGTCATGAAGCTATCTCTGCTTATCTGCCTGGAACACGATTTCTCCTCTCCCTCCAGGTCACCTGCCATGCTTGGCTTTGCTGCTTCCTTCTCACAGAACCTTCCTTGACTCTCCAGGAGAACAAGGTGCCCCTCCACTGTGCTCCTATAGCATCCTTTTCTCACCTCCATTATTGTACCGATTGACTATAATTGACTGTGTGTATTCATTTATTCACCCAACAAACCATTAATGCCTACAGTCTCATTAATGTTTGTTGACAGTACATATTTGACAATATTCGACAATGCAAATCAGTACATATTTGACAATGCAAATCAAGTCAAATATTGTTGAAAATGTTCAATGAGTTTATCAAAATGGGGTGAATGGGCACTGGGCCAAGTGCTGGCAAACACATTCTGGGAGTCTAAAGGAGTGAACCTAACTCTGGCCCTGGACAGTCTAGAAAAGTTTTCTTTAGGAGGTAATGCTTGAGTTGAGGCTTGAAGGATGAGTGATTGCAAAAAGAAAGTTAGAAGGACATGAACCAACAAGAGCAAAAGATATGGAAGTAAGGATTAGCTTGGTATATGCAGGGTTGATGGTACACGGAGTTTGAGGCAGTGTCTGAAGTTAAGTGGGGCTGGAGCAGTAGGTAGGTATTAAGTTACTGAGGCCCATGTTAAGCCACACAGCTTGCTTTGCCTCATCTGGGAAGTCACTGAAAGTTATCAGCTGAGGAGTAGATAGACTTGCATCTTACGTTAACCACTCTGGTTGCCATGGGGATAACAGATCAATGCACATGGAAGCAATAAGACAAATTAAGAAGTAATTCCAAGAAATAATGGTGACTTCAAATAAAATAGGTAATGGAAAAAAATGGTCCAGGCGCGGTGGCTCATGCCTGTAATCCCAGCACTCTGGGAGGCTGAGACTGGTGGATTGCTTGAGTTCAGAAGTTTGAGACCAGCCTGGGCAACATGGCAAAATCCTATCTACACGAAAAAACAAAACAAAAACAAAGTTAGCCAGGTGTGGTGGTGCATGCCTGTAGTCCCAGCTACACATAGGAGGCTGAGGTAGGAGGATCGCTTGAGCCCAGGAGGTCAAGGCTGCAGTGAGCCATGATCATGTCACTGTACTCCAGCCTAGGTGACAGAATAAGACTCTCTCAAAAAACCCAAACCAAATAACAAGAACAAGTACAACAAAATCCCTCCAAAATGTATAGATTTAAGAGATGGTTAGGGTGTAGGCTAGCAAGATTGATGGGATGTGGTACCCAAAGGAGGGGAAGAATTTAAAGAGGAATTCTTGTTTCTTACATGAGTAACTTGGTTTATTGTTGTAATTCAAACTGAGAAAGACACTAGAAGGCTGTTTTTGAGGGGCAGATGAAGGAGATAGTGGAAATAAATTTTTGATTTGGACAATTTGAGTCTGAGGCTCCATTGGGTGCCTGTGTGAAAATTTGCACCAGGCAGTGCCCCCTATAGTGTGAAGCTATGGGGAGAGCCAGTCTGAAGCCACAGATTTCAAAGCATGAGTATGTAGGTGGCAGTCCAGCCGCCCCATTTGATAAACTTATTGAGCATTTTCAACAATATTTGACTTGATTTGCATTGTCTTTGGCCATACGTTATTTAAAATAATAAATTATAAAAGCCATGTTGATGGGGATGGGACAGGAAGCAATGAGTTGGGTAAATGGCAGGTGAGGAAGTATAAATAAGATCAGACAATTATTTCAGAAACTTGGATAGGAGGGAAAGTCATGGAATGGTGGGCTAAGGAGGGATTTGGATTCAAGGAGGTGATCTTCAGATGTTTGTTTCCTGTGGCTGCTGCAACAAATTGCAACAAATGTGGTGGCCTTAAACAACACAAATTTATTCTTACAGATATGGAGGGCTTAGGCCCTAAAATCAAGGCATCAGTATGGCTGCATTCTTTGTGACAGCTCTCAGGGAAGAATCCATTTTCTTTCCCTTTTCAGCTACCGGAGGCAGCCTGCATTTCTTAGCCCGTGGTTCCTTCCTTGTGTCCCTCCCACCTCTGCTTCTGTCATCACGTCTTTTCTGACTTGGACCATCCTGCCTCCCTCTTATCAGGATCCTTATGATTACACTGGAGCCTACCTGGTTAATCCAGATAAATCTCCCTGATATGGTTTGGCTGTGTCCCCACCCAAATCTCATCTTGAATTGTAGCTCCCATAATTCCCATGTGTTGTGGGAGGGACATGGTGGGATATAATTGAGTCATGGGGGTGGTTCCCCCATACTGTTCTTGTGGTAGTGAATAAGTCTCACGAGATCTGATGGTTTTATAAGGGGTTTCCCCTTTTGCTTGGTTCTCATTCTCTCTTGTCTGCCACCATGTAAGACGTGCCTTTCACCTTCTGCCATGATTGTGAGGCCTCCCCAGCCATGTGGAACTGTGAGTCCATTAAACCTCTTTTTCTTTATAAATTGCCCAGTCTCAGGTATGTCTTTATCAGCAGCATGAAAACAGACTAATACACTCCCCATCTCACCAATTTCCTAATTTAATCCCATCTGCAAAGTACCTTTTTCCATATAAAGTAACAGATGCACAGGCTCTGGGAATGAGGATGTGGGCATCTTTGGGTGGGGACTTTATAGCGTCTGTCATGGGATGGGAGAGGATTGAACATGTTATCTGAGGGTAAGGAGGTGGGAAGGAGACAGAGAAAGCGGTGATAGTGGATATCATAGGCAGGGGGATGAAGGGGGAGTAAATGAGGAATAAGGCAATGATGGGAGTGGATTGACAGTTTGGATGAGAGACTAGATTGACAGGGAGGCATGAGGTAGTAAGGCCATGAGAGGGGCTTAGTAGCGGGGTGGGGAAAATGGTAAATGTGTGTGGAATAATGGGAGTTTGGGGTGGAAGTAAAGGTAAGTGAAGGATGTGAGGGCTGGTGCTGAGGATCTAGCTGGCATTAGAGAGATACATTTGTAATTGTTTCAGTTCTGATGTCTCTTTCTTTGAGTGGTCTGTCACTTGGGTGTAGAAATGCAGATGTTGGGTCTTACTGGGCAGGGATGGCAGAAGCCATCCCCGTGGTCCATGTGGTCTGTGATGGTTACTTTTATGTGTCAACTTGACTAGGCCACAGGGTGCCCAGACATTTGGTCAGACAGTACTCTGGGTGTGTTTAGAAGAGAGGTCTAGAAGAGGTTAACATTTGAATCTGGACTGAGTAAAGCAGAGGGCCCTGCCTAATGTGAGTAGCATCATCGAATCCATTGAAGGCCTGAAAAAGGATGGGTAAGAGGGAACTCCACCTGTCTGACTGTGTGAGCTAGGACATTGGTTTTCTCCTGGTTTTGGACAGTACTGGAACTTACACCATTAGCTTTCCTGGTTCTCAGGACTTTGGGCTTGGACTGGAATCACCATTGGCTATCCTGTTTTTTTTTTTTTTTTTTTTTTTTTTTAAGATAGAGTTTTGCTCTTGTTGTCTCAGGTTGGAGTGCAATGGTGTGGTCTTGGCTCAATGCAACCTCCACTTCCCAGGTTCAAGTGATTCTCCTGCCTCAGCCTCCCTAGTAGCTGGGACTACAGGCACCAGCCACCATGCCTGGCTAATTTTTGTATTTTTAGTAGTGACAGGGTTTCACCATGTTGGCCAGGCTGGTCTCAAACTCCTGACCTCAGGTGATCCACTCACCTTGGCCTCCAAAGTGCTAGGATTACAGGCATGAGCCACCACACTGGGCCTCTCCTGGGTTTTAAGCTTACTGACTGCAGAATGTTGGGACTTCTCAGGCACTATAATCGTGATCATGTGAGCCAATTCCTTGTAATAAATCATATATGTATAAGGATATACACATATACAAACGCATATATATCTTATTGGTTCTCTTTCTCTGGAGAATCCTAAATGTATGGGAAAACTGGGCAGTTCCAGGCTTTAGAGGTCCCTTCAAAGTCAAAGACTGGTGTAGGAAGAAGGAGGATGGGAAAGATATGGAAGAATTGGAGATGGTAGTCAAAAGGCAGCATAATGGCATTTAATATTTGTGAAATGGCAGGATATAATCCCCAGAGATCCTAATTATGTAGGGCTAGGGTGTAACCAAGAATCTGATTTTAAAATAAAATGATCTTTCACGGATGATGGTGCAATGCACCCAGGGTTGGGAACCTTCCTGCCAGGGAATGACTGTTAGCCAATCTGACCTAATGTGGGAGGGCCAGCCCCTCTGCCCATCATCTGCAAATGCCACCCTTGCCATCTGGCATGGGGAAGTCTTTGTGTATAGGAATCCATATCTTTCTTGTCAATGTATGCACTTGTTCCATTTTCTTTCACTGCAGTCATTTTTCCTGTATTGCTGAACAAGACAGCTTCCTCCAACATTCCATCAGCAACACTGGCTGCCTGCTGTTTTTGTGAATCCCTGCATGGCTTCTCTTTGTGTTCTTAGCTTCCCGCCTCTTCTCTTTCAGCGTTGAGTCCTACTGCTCTGTGGAGAAAGCAGGGATGTTGTGAATTCCTTTTGGTAGGCTCACTTCTTTATTGGTATCTGAGCTGAAAACAGATTTCACTGTCAGATAGAAATGTAGATACCAAGACAATTTCGGTATCACACTATTAAAAGTAATCATGGCTGCAACAGCTGGGAGTTAGGAAGAATATTGCTTTTAAACCATTTCATGTCAAATATCTCCTAGGTTGCATAAACATCCTCCTTTATGTAGCACCTTGCAGAGTCCCTGAATGTACAATGGGCCCTCAATTAATGGCTTTGCTCCCTCAATCAAATGGACAATAAGAATGAGATGATGGAACGCTTAGTACGTGCCAAGCACTGAGACAGTCCCTATATAATCATCTAATTCTTTCAACAATCCTGCGATGCCATTATTACCCTCCTCTTAGAAATCATGAAACAGAAGCTGAGGAAATGATCTGAACTCTTCAAATTTTGGACAACACTCTCATGACTCTTACTATGTAAGAAGTATATTATTAGAGGTATTATTCAGGACTGTGACTTTTCAATAGGACTGATTTCTCCCTCTGTTAATTTGGACTCAGCCTTTCTGTTTATGATGCCTTGGTTTGTCCTTTAATTGTAATGTAAGTCTATCACCATCTGGCTGCCTCTCCTTCCATTCTTTATGGTTAGCTGTTTATGCTCTGGCTATGACAAATTCAAAGTTCAAGTCGTATTTCTGGCTAATTCTTTTTTTTTTTTTTTAAACATTTATTTAGGAGGACTTGAGAAGAAAGAGTGGGTACTTTTAAAGTCTAGAGTGGTCAGAACCAGAAGGTGGATCTTACAATATCCTTAACAGTTTGAGATATAGAATCTTCTCTTTTCAAGATGTCACACTATTGTGTTAGCATCATATTCAAAATTTAGAGCCTAAGCACCTCCCTCCTATCTCTCCTACTCAAATATATTAATTTATCCTTTGTTAAATACTGTAAATATTCCAAACCATTGAAAGGCGAACACTTAAATTATCCTGAATTAGGACGCGTTCAGCTTTTTCCTTGGCATCCATCTGAATAAACAGTATGATTCTGTGGCATCTGAATTTTGCATTTAGATCAGCATTCTTAAGAAAGCAAGATGACCTGATTTTTATTTTCCTTTGTAAGCATATTGTGATGATTCCACAAAATAATTGCACCTCTCCGCCCATGTCTGGTGCATAGCTTCACTGTGGCGTGATTTCCAACAGGGCAGTAGTTGATGGGGAAATATGAATTGTTCTGGCAGGGAATAGGCAGAATCAGAGAAATCAGGAGAAAAAAAATCAGTGAGGCTTGGAAGTAGCTGACTGAGTATGAACTCGAAGTCATGACTTCCCCCGTACTAGAGAATAAAAGAGGCAGAGGAGGAGGGATCAGAAGGATAGGGGGAACCGTCTTGGGTAATTTGTTGATGGTGTGAAGCCACTGGCAGGGGGAAAGGTCATTGGATTGGGCTATCAAGAGGACACTGAGACCTCCTGATAGAAAAACCATCACTTTAGGCCGAGCGCGGTGGCTCATGCCTCTAATCCCAGCACTTTGGGAGGCCGAGGCGGGCAGATCAATTGAGGCCAGGAGTTCAAGATGAGCCTGGCCAACATAGTGAGACCTTGTCTCTACTAAAAATACAAAAATTAGCCAGATCTTGTGGTGCATTCCTGTAATCCCAGCTACTCAGGAGGCTGAGGCAGGAGAATCCCTGAACCCGGGAGGTGGCAGAGCAGTGAGCTGAGATTGCACCACTACACTTCAGCCTGGATGAGACCCTGTATCCAACAAAAAAAAAAAAAAAGAAGAAAAAAACCATGCTTTAACTCAGTTGACAATGTCCCCTGTCTGCACCAGGCACTGCGGCCTCTCCTATGTGTCTCTCCATATAGGCCAAGTTTATGTTATGCTGATTACATTGAAAAACAAAATATTTTGTGCAGAAGCAGAAAGGCTGGGAGGACAAGTGTTAGGGAGAGTGTGTGTGGTGAGGGAGAGAGGCCACAGGGACAGGGGAAGGGGGAGAGGTGGTGAAATGGGGAAGATGGAAACAGTATCGGCCAGCAGGAGCTGGGATGGGGCTGGAGCCTGATGCCTGAAGGGCAGAAAGGGGTAGTTTGAGGAACCCAAGTACAGCTTGGTACTGTGATGCAATGTCAAAGTAGACGGGCATATTTGGAGATCAAGACACAAGCCTCAAGTCGTTGCACCTCTATGAGCCTCTGTTTCCAAATATATAAAATGGGCACAATTGTAGCCCCTCCCAGGGTTATGAGAGTTAAATAAGGTGGTGTGTACTGCATAAAGGGTTTAGTCCAGAACCATGGGCCAGGGCCAGGGCCGGAGGGACATTTGTCTGTCCTCTTCCCTTTTGTGGAGTGAGGGGTTAGTTTTGAAGCACAAGAAGAGAGAAGGGGAGGGTCGCAAAGAAGGGTAGCGAGAAGGGGAATCAAGGGAGCTCATGTCAGTGCCTCCCAAACTCAAGCCTATTTGATCGTTAATCCTGATATTTCCATTTCCAATTGAGCACTTTACAGCCTTCTAGTGTGGAAGATATCTAAAATTTATCCAACCAGTACTCTGTCTTCATCCAAGTGAAGTAGGTAAGCTGGATTTCATGAAGTAACTGAATCCCAGAGAGGCTGGGACCTGTCCTGTATCATGTAGCCTGTGAAAGGAGAAACTGGGGTGAGAATATCACAGTGAGGGCTGAATTCTTCCTATTGGTGTTTGGAGGAGAGGTCTGTCCCTGGAAGGCTGGGGTCTCCTGGCTGGCCTGACTCCACCTTGCCCAGCCTGGGGCCCATCACCTCCCAGTGAGAGAGCCCAGTGAACCCGCAGTGGGATTAGATGCCGCTCCTGTCCAACCACCTGATGACTTTTACAGCAAAATTTCTTCTTAAATCTGGTTAGAGTTTCTGACTAAGGGAGGAGTGAGTCACCCAACAGCCTTCATCTGAGCAGAACAATGAACGTGTTAAAGTCATCAGGCATGCGGGCTGGGAGTATATGATGCTGTTCCTCATCTGGTCTAGGACAGAATGTCCTTAGGAAGGTACGAACAATTTTGCTGGTGAGAACCCCTGATTGAAAAACCATCACTTTACTCAGGCGACAATGTCCCCCGTCTGCCCTGGGTGCTGCTGTCTCTCCTATGTGTCTTTCCATATAGACCAAGTTTATGCAATACTGATTACATGGAAAACAAAGTATTTGTATAGATACCAACAAAAGCAATGGGTAAATGAGGCTTACTTTTGTTTTAAATGAGCCTTGTTTAAAACAGAAACCTGCTTTCAATCATAGCTCATTTTACATCAGTCACGTCCTGGGCAGAAATCAGTGTGGTGTCTACAGAGCCGAATATCAGGACAGCTGGATTCTAGTTCTGTTGGGCTATAACCCCTGTGTGACCCTGGGTGGCTTATTTCCCCTCCCTTTCCCTTAATTTTCCTATTTGTAAGATGAGAGATTTGGACTGCATCTTCGAGAGCATTTCCAACTCCTAGCTCTTGCCATGGATGAGCCGACGCTGGCAGATCCTGCTTTCTCTCCAGTGGTTAGCAACTTTCAGAAGCTCCTCGTGGTTAATTGGGAACAATCTTCCTGCTTCAGCTTCTTTCCTCTGCCTAGAACAACTTCTATTCTCCTCCTTCTCTACCAGGAATTCTCTTTTCCATTCTTTAAGACTTGGCTCAGGCCACACTACTTGCAGAAGCCCTCTTTGACCCTGGGGCGAGAGGCTGGGTTCTGTATTAGTTTGTTAGGGCTGCTATAACAAAGTAGCATCCACTGAGGATGTTAAACAGCAGAAGGTTCTGGAGGCCAGAAATCAGAGCTCAAACTGTCAGAGGGATTTGAACAAGAGCGACTCCATCTTGAGTAGGGGCTGGGTAAAATAAGGCTGAGACCTACTGGGCTGCATTCCCAGATGGTTAGGCATTCTAAGTCACAGGATGAGATAGGAGGTCAGCACATGATACAGGTCATAAAGACCTTGCTGATAAAACAGGCTGCAGTAAAGGAGCCAGCTAAAACCCACCAAAACCAAGATGGCCACGAGAGTGACCTCTGGTCATCCTCACTGCTACACTCCCACCAGCGCCGTGGCAGTTTAGAAATGCCGTGGCAGCCTCAGGAAGTTACCCTTTATGGTCTAACAAAAAGGAGGCATGAATAATCCACTCCTTGTTTAGCATATAATCAAGAAATAACCATAAAAATGTGCAACCAGTAGCCCTCAGGGCTGCTTTGCCTATGGAGTAGCCATTCTTTATTCCTTTACTTTCCTAATAAACTTGCTTTCACTTTACGGACTCGCCCTGAATTCTTTCTTGTGTGAGATCCAAGAACCCTCTCTTGGGGTCTGGATTGGGACCCCTTTCCTGTAACAAAGCTGTGGGCGGGGTTGGGTTTTTTCTGGGGCTGTGAGGGAGACTGTTGCAGGCCTCTCTCCCAGCTTGTGGGGCTTTGTTCTTGGCCTACAGAAGCATCACCCAAATCTGTCTCCATCTTCACATGGCTCCTCCCTGTGTGCACATCTGTCTCCCAGCTTCCCCTTTCCACGAGGACACCAGTCATAGTAGGTTAGGACCCATCCTTCTTCAGCATGACCTTGTCTTAACCACTTACTGCCCTATTTCCAAATAATGGCACATGCTGAGCTACACAGGGAGGGGGATTAGGACTTCAACATAGGAGTTTTGGGGGGACACAATTCAGCTCACAACAGGTACCCTTGCTGCGCCCCCTGCACCCCTTCCATGCCAGCTCCATGGCGCTGTGGACCATCTTTCCCAGGGCAGCCTGAGTAGCAGAGGAGGCTGAGCCAGAGCGGAGCCTGGAGAGCGGTGAAGAGTTGTCCACAGGTCTGGACTGTGGGTCCAAGAAACAGCAGCCAAAGGGAGCAAACAGCAGCTCCATATAGACCATATAGATATGAGTTGCAGTTGCTCACATCTGCAACTCACGCACCAGGAGATGAGGGAGGCAGATCGCAGTGGCAGCCCCAAGGCTTGGAGCGGAGACAGGTATGTGTCTGGGGCTGCCTAGAAAGATGGGTGGAGCTACAGAGGAGGTGGGCGTGGTCAGGAGGAGAGGCCCACTCAGGAGACAGGGAAGGCCGCTCAGGCTACGGCTGTCTGGCAAGGATGGTGATTCCTTCTGTCCTGGAGCCCTTTACAGTTTAAACACTCACTCGGTTGGACAATTTCTGTTGGTGTTCAACCCCTGGATGGGCAGGAGTTGTCTTTTGCTTTGACAGCATATTCCAAATTTGTGTAAGTGGACCCTCAGCTGCAGTCCAGGGCTCACCCATTTGGCTTCCTGGATCCCCTTATCTAACGGGACGGAACTCCACAGCCCGGTCTTCCCCTGAGTCCTGGCCGCGTTGCTCTCCCTCGTGTCGCTATCTCCTTGTTTCCTCGAATTTCATTTTGGAAAATTCCCATTGCACAGCCCAGTGGCTGGAGTTTTGGTGAAATTTCTTTGGAGTCTTGTGTTGTGTTTTAAAAATCTATGCAGATTTTTGAATTCTATTCTATTTTTTCAAGTTTGCACTAGTGTAAATGTATTATTTGAAACGACTTGGCTTTGATCTTGGAGGGAGATGGAGCAAGTCGATCCTGGGGCTTGCTGTAGGCCTGCCCACTCCATACATGTGGGTTCCTGGATTTTTTGACTTGCGATTTCAGTTTTTTTACTTTTTTTTTTTTTTTTTTTGACAGAGTCTTGCTCTGTCCCTCAGGCTGGAGTGCAGTGCCATGATCTTGGCTCACTGCAATCTTCGCCTCCTGGGTTCAAGCAGTTCTGTCTCAGCCCCCCAAGTAGTTGGGGCTACAGATGCTCATCACCACACTTGGCTAATTTTTGTACTTTTAGTAGAGGTGGGGTTTCACCATGTTGGCCAGGCTGGTCTTGAACTCCTGACCTCAAGTGATCCACCTGCCTCGGCCTCCCAGAGTGCTAGTATTACAGGCGTGAGCCACCATGCCCAGCCTCTTCCCATATTTGGTCTGGCTGGATACCCTAAAGGGTAATGTCCTTCTCAGCTGCTAGACCCAGGCTCCTGGCCCTCCTTCTCCCCAGTGGCACTCTGAGACCAGCCTCATCCATCTCACCTGTCCTGGCTACCAGGGCAGGGCCAGACATGCCTTTCAGAAAGTGCCCTATCTGATGCCTCATTTTCATTCTTGGACAGAGCATACCCACAGTTCCAGTCCTTCACAACTGAGGTCTTTGGGGCTGGACCCCTGGGGTGCTCTGTCTTGGGGGAACTGTGAGCCACCCTTAAGCTCTTCCATTCCTCTGGCTCCATTTCTTCAAGCCACCAAGACCTTTCCAAAGGGGCCAAGAAGGTATCTCCAACCTAGGCCTCTTCTCCCAGCTGAGGAAAAGGCAGAGAAGTGGAGGATGCTTACCCTGCCCCTGCCTCTGCCATTTCTCCCCAGCTTATGGTCTGATTTTGAGGTAGGAGGCAGGACTCAACTCCGGAAGCAGGGCTTGGACACTGGACCAGATTGAGGATTAGCAAGAAACAGGGCAAGTGTAGAAACAGCTTTCAATCAGACACTCCCACCAATGTGCCATGTCGGTCTATCCTTGCCATGGCAACACCCAGGAGTTACTGCCGCTTTCCCTGGCAATGACCCAGTGACCAAAAAGTTACTTCCCCTTCCCTAGAAATTTCTACATAAACCACCCTTTAATCTGCATGCAATTAAAAGTGGATATACATATGACTGCAAAACTGCCCTGAGCTACTACTCTCCGCCTAACTCTGCTCTGCAGGGGCAGTCATGGGGCTGTAACACACCTCTTCAATAAAGCCATTTTCTTCTACCTTTGGCTTGCCCTTGAATTCTTTCCTGAGCAAAGCCAAGATCCCTCATGGGCTAAGTGCCACTTTCAGACTCACCTGCACTGTGTCAGTTTCACCTCCTCCGTAAGTCTCAAAGAGCCAGTGCTTAGGTGTCTAAGGACTTGGGTTCACATCTTTCTTCCACTTATTAGGTATGGGATCTTGTGGTAGCCTTATAACTGCTATGAACCTCCGTTTCCTTATTTGTAAAATAGGGATATTCAACTCCAGTTGAAAGAGTTAAGTGGGATAACAAATAATAATATGGTTTGGCTCTGTGTCCCCACCCAAATCTCATCTCTAATTGTAATTCCCACGTGTCAGAGGTGGGCCCTGGTGGGAGGTGATCAAATTATGGGAAAGCACTTCCCCCTTGCTGTTCTTGTGATAGTGAGTTCTCACGAGATCTGATGTTTAAAAATGTGGCGCTTTCCTCTTCTCTCTCTCTCTCTCTCCTGCTCCACTATGGTAAGACGTGCCTTGCTTCCCCTTCACCTTCTGCCACGATTGTAAGTTTCTTGAGGCCTCCCCAGCCATGTGGAACTGTGAGGCAGTCTCAGGCAGTTCTTTATGGCAGTGTGATAGCGGTCTAATACAGATGGTAAAGCACGCACCACAGTGCCTGACATACAGCTGGCACCTGGTCAATGGGCATTGTCCTTCTCGGCTCCCTTCCACCTCATTTTGTCTATTTTTCCACTGTTGCACCTGCTGTTCTTTCTGGGGGAGTTCCTTAGTTCCCTTTCTGCATCATCTGCCTGCCTGCCCTCTCTGAGCTCCTCCTAGTGGAGGCCCATGTGCAGGGTGGGGTAAGGGGCCAATGGTGGCCTGTGCTGCAAATGAGGAACCTGGGTCCACAGGGGTGGCTCTGCCGGGGCTGCCCTGGAGACTGGGCTGTCTCCAAATCTTAGCTCACCTGGATCACAGCCACATTTGCAGAGGTGCCTGGTGACAGGTATGTGACCAGGACCATATTTTAAATTAGATCTGGCTGACTTTGCCAGGTTGGTGTCTGAGATGTGAATCTTCTCAGCCTTGCTCATGTCTCATGGGGGACTTACCTTCCTTCCCACTATGTTTTCCTGTAGCCATATGCATGTGGCCACTCACACCAAAATCTTCTAGCTGTTTGTAACCTGTCTCATAAAAATATTAATTTACTTACTTGTTATCTTACACGATTCTCTTTGTTTCCACTTTGGAGCTAGGACCCATATCTGCTTTTCTTGTACATCTTTTCAGCTCCTTGCACATTGCTGAGTTTAGGAAGGATCCTCAAAATACTGTGTCTGCTTTTCAGTCTACAAAAGCAACAGCAGCTAACATCGTCATAGTTTGCCAAACAAGCTCTATGATTTTATTTAATCTTCTCACCGGCCATAAGAGATAGCTATTGTGGTAATGGGAGAACCAAAGTTCAGAGAGACTCAGCAACTTGCCCAGGGTTGCATAGACAGTAGGTTATATCAGGGTAAGTGGGACCACAGGACCCGGATTGAGCAAAGCTGAAGCTACATAGCACAGTCAAGCACATGCTTGGGTTCTGCAGAATTTACTCTTGCTGCTTGGATAGCTCATGGCTTAAGCCTTGTCCTAGTCAAGGGATGTAACCAAAGCGATAAATCTGATCTGTATCCTTAAGATGGCTTAGCTGGTCTTTCATCTCAGACAACAAGGCTCTTTAGGAAATCACCTCCTTATGTTAACTTTAAAAAATGCAGTTCTTGCACTAAATAGCTATTTTCCATTTTTTAAAAATTGCATGAGCACACAGTATTTATCTCATCGAAAATTATGATAAACCCCCTGAATGTTTTATGTTTTTCACGATTCATATGGAACAAATTAAAAATAACTTTCCATAGTATGAATTGCCCCAGAGCATGGTGCAAAGACCCTTCATCCTGCCTGCTCCTGCCAACTTCACCACATCTGCCTCAAATGTCAACACCTGCCATCAGAGAGAGGCTCTGGTGAAAGTGTCCAGTGAAACACCTGGGCTCACATCTGGAGCCTTTGTCTGACAGGCTGCCATGACTTCCAAGGGAGAAGGTGTCATTTATGATATTTTATTCATACGCACATGCAATTGGGAAGATCGGTAATTTTTATTACTGTGTTTAGATTTAAAGTCTGCCTTGTCAGTTGCTTCTATAAGTATTTTAAAAAGGAAAAATGCAAGCCACCAAAGTTTGAGCTTTCATGAGACACGTTGTGCCAGGACAAGTTTGAAAGGCTGTGGATGTCATTGTGTCTGCTGGTTTTGGTCACACTCATCTCTGCTTTAGCATGGCCTGGTCACAGGGCTAAGCAAGTGGTTGGATGTGGATTTCAACTCATGTTTGTTGGACTAGAAGAACTTTTTATTTCCATGCCTCGACTTTGCAAGATTGGCTCTGAGTGACAGCTCTACCATTCTGTAACAGTGACCTGAAGCAAATCACTTAACTTCTCAGTGAAGTGGGACAATGAAAACCAACTTCAGTGAATTACTGTGAAGAGTGAATATACAAGGAA
The DNA here is from genome assembly GCF_000001405.40 of Homo sapiens. NCBI lineage: Eukaryota > Metazoa > Chordata > Mammalia > Primates > Hominidae > Homo > Homo sapiens. The sequence continues at coordinate 11,906,047 of NC_000002.12, forward strand.
CATCTAGTTGTTCAGTAAAGGGAGGCAAGAAGTTAAAATATCAGGTTAATGGATCTGCCAGTGTAGCTCAGGGAAACCTGGGAGGAGTAGGATCTGGTGGCATCTTCCTCTCCTTCTTACATTCCTTTCACACCCCTAAACCAGGGCATACACAAAAGCATGAGGATCAGGTCTGGACTTCTCTGAAGGGACAGCGGGCAGCATTTGCTCTGTGGATACTTTTCCAACACTGAGCAGAGAGGTCAAAAGGAAGGCAATCCTTTTGCTAAGCTCAGAGAGCTGAGATGGCTCAGCCTTAGGGCTGGCCCTCCAGGTGTGGAGAGGAAACTGGGTCTTCTCTCTGGGATCTTTCCTGTATCCTATGGGCCAGAGAGAGTAAAGGTGGTGAGGTACTCTCTCTGGATATCTCTATTCAGAGAGAGTAAAGGTGGTGAGGAGGCCAGGGCAGGAAGTGCTAGGTAGGTCTCAGTGCCCATCTGGCTGGCTGTCTGTCCGTCCATCCATCCATCCATCCATCCATCCATCCATCCATCCTCCTTTCAATATTTTTTTCTTTTTTGAGATGGAGTCTCACTCTGTCGCCCAGGCTGGAGTGCAGTGGCGCGATCTCGGCTCACTGCAAGCTCCGCCTCCTGGGTTCACGCCATTCTCCTGCCTCAGCCTCCCGAGTAGCTAGGACTACAGGCGCCCACCACCACGCCCGGCTAATTTTTTGTATTTTTAGTAGAGATGAGGTTTCACCATGTTAGCCAGGATGGTTTCGATCTCCTAACCTCGTGATCCGCCCGCCTCAGCCTCCCAAAGTGCTGAGATTACAGGCGTGAGCCACCGCGCCCGGCCCTTCCTTTCAATATTTATTGAAGCCTGTTTGGTGTTAGGCACTGGATTTAGGGCTGAGAATATAGACATGATTCTCAAAGTTCAGTGTCCTCCAAGACTATCCCAACACTGCCTCTTTCAAATAATTCTGGTTAATCTCTTTCACATAATTTTTCATGATCTGAAATTATATTATGTATTTTATGTGCATGTCTTCTCCACTGGAATATCAGCTCCTTCAGAGCAGGGACCTTGTTTGTCTTGTTCACGGGTCTGTCCCCATTGGCCCCCATAGTTTCTGGCATATACTGACTGAACAAGCTGACTTCAGAAGGATGAAGGGTACGACAAAGCCCGAGGAGTTCAGAAACCTTAACATAAAAGTCATGAGGGGAAGGAGTTCTCCCAGAGGAGGGGTGTGTAGTGTTCTGATAATTGCACTGGCAGCAGCTCAGAGACAAGCTGCTGGTTTTGTAATTGTGAAAGATTTTGCCCTGTCCATACCTTCTTCCCTGTAACTGTGCAGGGTCTTCCTGTTCTGGTTTTTGGCTTGGCCGTGTAGCTGGCTTTGGCCAGCGGGAAGTTAGCAAACAGGATGCAAAGAGGAACTAGAAAAGTCCTTGCTTTGTTGGGCTTCCTGCTCCTGTGCTACATTATCACCATGAGAACAAACCTGGGCTAGTTCATTAAAGGACGAAGGATAAGCACAGCTGAGCTGCCTCGGATGCTCCAACCAGGCCATCCCAGATCAGCCAGCACCTAGCCAACCCAAACATAATATGAGTGAGCCCAGCCTGAATCTCCAATCCCTCAGACTTGTGAGCTAAACAAATGTTTTTTGTTGTATGCTACTGAAGTTTGGAGGTATTTGTTATGTAGCGTTATTGTGGCAACTGATGATCAATACAGGAACCTTCTATGGGGGCTGGCTATATGCATGCCTTCTATTGGCCTCAACTAAAGTGATAGTAATGCTAATCATTAATTACTATTTATTGAATACCTACAGACTGGCCCAGGCACTGTTTAAAGACAGTCTGTGTTTTATTTCTAATCCTCACAATAAACTTTTAAGGTTGGCAAAATGACAATGACCACCCTCATTTCTGCTACTTAATAAGCCACATATACAAGTGGTTATGGCCGCAGATACTGAATTCAGATTGCCCGGGTTCAAATCTGAGTACATTTTCTCCATTGTTTTGTGACCTTGGGCAGGAGAGACAGTATCCTTCACCTTTGTGCCCTTTGGTTTCCTCATATGTAAAATGGGATAATAACAACATCTATTTCATTGAGTTGCCTTGAGGATTGGCTCATTAATTACTGTTTGACACACAGGTGCTTAAGGCAGTGCCCTGGGCACAGTGCTCATAAATGCTGCCCTGATTATTGGTGTCCTCAGGCAATAGGCCCAGGGCTAAGCATTTCCTACATATGATTTCACTGCATTCTCACAGAAACCCAGGAGAAAGAACTTGTTATCTCCATTTTATTGAAGAGGAAACTGAGGGTAGAGGGGATTATACTCGAGACCACCAGCTAAAAAGTAGTGAGTAGGCTGGGTGCAGTGGCTCACACCTATAATCCCAGCACTTTGGGAGGCCAAGGCGGGTGGATCACCTGAGGTCAGGAGTTCAAGACCAGCTTGGCCAACATGGTGAGATCCTCTCTACTAAAAATACAAAATTAGCCAGGAATGGTGGCAGGCACCTGTAATCCCAGCTACTGGGAAGGCTGAGGCAGGGAAATCTGTTGAACCTGGGAGGCAGAGGTTGCAGTGAGCCGAGATTCCCACTACTGCACTCCACCCTGGGCGACAGAGTGAGACTTCATCTCGGGGAAAAAAGAACAATACAGTGAGTAAACCAGAATAAAATTTAGAGGCTGACCTTGCTTCCCTAGCCACTGCCTCTCCTTGGTCCCAGCCAGTTTTCCTTCCCTCTGCCTGGGAAGGATGGGCAGTGCAGACGGTGATGCTGTCAGGCTCTGCGCTGGAGGCTGCTTTCCCTTGGCTGGTCCCACCTGTCCCCTTCTAGAGGAGGCCTCTAAGGACATGTGTGGGAGGGGATGTGGACCTTGGTGCAAACTCTTGTCTATCCCCAGAGATAGGAGCCCTGCAACAGCTCCCAACCTGCAGCCCCTTTTCTGCGTCCATTCCCATGGCTCTGTAATGAGGATTGTCTCTTCACTGCCTTCCCTACACGGTTACAGGGGACTCAGGACACAGAGCGCTGGTCAGATCTTTCTGAGCTCCAAGCCCTGTCCTGTCCTTGGGTTTCAGCCCTGGCCCTAAGCCCACCTGCAGATGGAAACCGGGTACCTTCCAGGATAGGGGATGAGGGGGACAGAGGGCAGCCCCTGAATGGGCATCCCTGCTGGCCTGCCTGGGGTGTGTCTCTCCCTCCGCTGCACCCTCAGGACTCCCGCGGCACTGGTCACAGGGTAATGTGGTGGCCTCTGTGCACTGCATGCTGTGGGTGCTGTGGTGCAGTGTTTGAGTGTGGTTCTAGCGTCTTGGTTTTTGTCTTTTGGTATAGTCACAGAAACATTTCTGAGTGAATATGTGCCAATGTTTTAACATTTAGGGATGGGATTAGTATGGGGGGGAGCATCGACCTTTACTTCACACTCTTGTTTTGTAATAAGTTGTCTCCCCCTTGGGAACAAGAGTCCCTGGAGGTCAAGGACTAAATCCTGTCCCTCTTTGGGTCCTCAGACCAACCCTGGCATATAGCAAGCACCCAGGGAATGTTTGCCGGATGAGCTACTGCATGGACATTCATGGACAGAACTCTTCCTTTATTCTCTGTGACCGAGTCTTCCTCATGCTTCCTGTCCGGTGGCTGAGCCTCTGAACTTCCGCAGTAGCTGGTGTGTCTGCCTGTGAGTTGCCTGGAGCACCACTGTCTCCACTTGGACCACCACATGGCCCTATAGCTCACCAGAGCTGCCAGCTGCCACCCACCCATGCATGGGGTTCTCTGCAAGCCACGGTGTTCATCACTTGGTCTTGCTATGTGCTATCTCCGGGGGTCCTCCCTGGCAGGGCAAAAGGAGGCCTGGCAAACCTCTCCTGGGAAGAAGGACAAAGAGGCGGCGTTCACTGGTAGACCATGACCTTCCAGATCTGAAGAGCGTTGTTCCTAGACACCAGGCCTGCAACCATGTAGGCCATTAGATCCCAGAATCTCAGGTCTGGGACTCACTTACCCCATCTCCTTGTTGGCACCAGTGGTATGACTCTTCCAATGCAAACAACCTGGAATTTCCTCTTCAGAGGCGATGGGGAAGCAAGGTATCCGGGAAGAACTTGACTGCTTCACAGCTGAGCAGGGGGAGGGTGGGGATGGTCCTGGGGGAAGAGGTTCCTCAGGGAACACTGTGGGTGGTGCCAGTTTCTGTGAGGAAAGAGAATCAGTAGAGGCCTCCTGGGGCCTGGAGCTGAGAAGAAACCCATAGTGTGAGAACCAGCCAAGGCCCCAGAAAGGATCCTGGGGCACAGCAGAGAGAAAGTGGTCTCAAAACACATGTCCTGGAATGAGAACATCCTCTTCCCACCTGCCCATCTTTACCTTTGTGTCCCATGAACAAAATCCAGAGGCATGGGATGGATTCTGCTCTCCCACACACAGGTGGCTTCCCCATGATCTGGCCCTTTCCCTGGAAGATGAGCATTGCGGTGCAGCCCCTTTAGCTGGAGGCAGAGTGGCCCTTGGCAGCTCTTGAGCCCCTGGGAACTTTTGCTCCCTCATCCATCCATATACAGGCATGGTCTGGACTGTGAGGAATGATATGTGTGAGGCCCAAACAGTGGGGTTTATGTCTTGGTTTCCAGGCAGGCTATCATTTATGGAATAATGGGCAATAAAGAAGTGGAGAGAGAAAATGGAATCATAGTGTGATAGGATGTTCTCAGGGGAGACTGTGTGCCCTGCCTCTCACAGATATTGAAAATGGGGCCGTGATCAATGGCAGCAACATTGCCACACTGATATGTGGGTGACCCCTGGCTGGCTGGGGTCACTGGAGCTGTCAAGATGGACTTGAGCTCAAAAGACAGAGACATTGGGGGGACGGATGGTCTTGGTCCTTTCAAATGAGGCAGAGTTCAGAGATGAGGAGGAACCTGGTAGAACTCTGGAAGGGAAGGAAATGGAACATAATTTCCGTCTGATACTTTATGGACTTCTGATGTCCCTGGGAGTGCCTGGAAGAGCCATAATTGCTTGATGAAGTTAATGTACCTCTTAGACCTGGAAAATGACAGGCCACCCTTGATCAATGACAGTGTGCAGCAGGGACTTTCTCTAAAAGTTTCTTTACGAAACTGCACCAGTAAGTGTAAGTGCTTTCATAACCACTTTTAAACTACGCTGCATGACCTGTTTCTTCTCTAGCCTAGGGTTTTAAAAAACTTTAAAAAATCACATTCTTTATACTTTAAAAAAGAAAGAAGGACAGAAAGAAAGATCCAAATGATATTATGACAATAAACAAAATTGTACTAATTTGTAGACAGGTTGGAGGACATATTTGAAGTAGACATGTGGGGTTTCTGCTTTCTGAAACTAGGGAAATAACTAGGGCCAGAGTCAGGGAGCTGTTGAACCCACTGCGAGAGGGCCCTGAGTGGAACTCCACTGATCCTCTGCCCTCCATAGGCCCCTACTCTGACTGGTGGGCCAAGCCACTGAACCCACTGTGAAGGGGCCCTGAGTGAAACTCTGCTGATCTTCTGCCCTCCATAGGCCCCTGCTCTGACTGGTCGGCCAAGTGACTGAACCCACTGTGAAAGGGCCCTGAGTGAAACTCCGCTGATCCTCTGCCCTCCATAGGCCCCTACTCTGACTGGTGGTCACACTGAAGTTTTGGGTCTCTTGAATTAGTGCGAGTTCAGAGTCAGTGCCTAGTAGTGCCCAAAAGTCTGATTATTTCCTTTCCTCCAATGCATAGTCACTCTGGTAGAAGACTGTAGATCCTTTTGGGGAAGGCTGGGAAAAAGACAGACAGTGTTAATTTTTGGCGTTGTGGTGAGGGGCCCTCCTCAAGGGAGCTGGCTTCCCCTTCACTCAGGTCATTCCAGGTCTGTAAACTGGCTAAAGTCTGGGAATTGGCGAAAGGATTTCAACTCTGTTTTTGGTAATTCATGGTGGACTTCTCTTTATTCAACCTAGGACTCTTCTGCTTATACAGATCAAGTAAGAATTTAGTGGAATATCCACGTATTTCTCTTCTAAGGACACAATGATCAATTAACCAACACCATAGGTCTCTGAGAGTCACACTTTTCAGACTGCTGCTTTGACTCTGCTGTCCATTACAGTAACCACACCCACCTTGTCTTTGGTGATTAAATGCCATTACTTGGCCCCGTTGGCCCATCCTTGCATCCAATTTTCCCCATTGCTTTTAAAGATCACAGTTCAGTGGACACAGTACCTACTGTGATTTCTGGCTTACAGGGAAGAGCAACCCCAGAACTCTCCAAGGATGCTGGGGCTCCCCACACAAGTTTACTTCTCACAGTCATAGTCATAGGTATGTCCTTTTGACCCTTCCAGGTTGGATGAGCAGATCTTACAAGGTAAATCTGTTCTAACATCCAGTCTAAGTCTTTGGATATCTTCTTTTGTAGTATACCAAAGTAGTTATGGCATTTCAGCTTCATTTAGTATAGACCACATTTGGTTCATGTTTCAGCCAACAAACCAACCAAATAGAGCCCTTTCTGACCCCCTGAGGTACAGCATTAAATCCAGAATCTCTACTTAGTGGTTCCATATCAGTAAATACATCCTGATCCAATTTTGTGTTTCTTCCATTGTTAACCCACTCCCTTAGTATCCATTCCCATGCATAATCTGTCGGGATAAATGGGAAAAAGTTATAATTATTATCACGGTAGTAGATTGAGGATGGTAGGAATAAGAGTTTCAATTCTTTTTTCCATTTTATCCTTCTTTATCTTGGTCATAGGAGAGTGAATTTAATAGCCTTACTACTTACGGCTACAGTTTAGTCATGGCATGGCTAGTGTTTATTGTGATTGGAAACAAGTAGTGATCTAGAGTGGGAATTAACCAGATCGAAGATGAAACTGGAACTGAATGTAGAGATACCATCTTCATGCAAACTTGCTTAAAAATAGTAACTTCATAAAATGTGCCTAAAACCTAACTTGCTTTGCAAATATTCAGGGTGTCTTAATCTGTTTCCTGTTGCTATAACTGAATACTGGAGATTGGGAAATTTATAAAGGAAAGGAGTTTATTTGACTCATAGTTCTGGAGGCTGGGAAGTCCAAGAGCATGACACTGGCATCTGGTGAGGGCCTTCTTGCTGCATCATAACCTGGTGGGGGGCAGTATATGAGGAAGGGCTTGCGTATGCATGTGTGTCAGTTTAGATCTCCCTTTCTCTTATAAAGCCACTGGTCCCATCATGAGGGCCCTACCCTGATGATCTTATCTAATCCTAACACCTCCCAAAGGCCTCACCTCCAATCAACACATGAATTTGAGGATCAAGTTTCCAACACATAAAATTTGAATGACATGTTTGAATCATAGCACAAGGTAATGTTAAAAGCATGAGTTTTCAAGCAAGTCCATGTTCAAATTCAAGTGTAGCTGTGCAAACTCAAGCCATTTGTTCATCTGAAAAATTGGGAGTTTAAAAATATCGAACCCATGTATTAGTTTGCTAGGCTTGTCATAACAGAATACCGTAGACTGGGTGGTTGAAACAATAGAAATTTGTTCTCTCACAGTTCTGGAGGCCGAATGTCTAAGACCAAAATGCCAGAAGGATTGGTTTCCTCTGAGGCCCTTTCCTTGGTTTCAGATGATGCCCCCTTGCTGTCTCTTCACATGGCTGGTTCCCTTGGCATCTCCCCGTGTGTCCTAATCTTCTCTTCTCACAGGGACACCAGTCAGACTGGATTAAGACCTATTCTAAGGTCTGCTTAACTTAATTACCTCTTTGAAGGGCCTGTGTCCAAATGCAATCTCATTCTGATGTATTTGGGGTTTGGGTTTCAGCATATGAATTTGGCATGGGGAGTGTGGGCATGATTCAGTTCGTAACAACAATCTACCACACAGGATCATTACAAGGAGTAACCATGTGAAAAGGAGCCCATAGAAACCACTCCAGAAGAAGCAATGGGCATTTTTATTCTTTTAAATAAAAATCCCTCAGGACCTTATTAAGTTTATGTAAGGCATGAATGGTTTGCAAAAGTTCAGTTTAGATTGTTTAGACTCTAATTGTGAGAAGTTTCCAACATGTTCTTTAGCTCAGTTGCCCTCTTCAAAGCTTTCTAGCAAAGAACAGACTCCCCTCAGTTACTCTAGGGATAGTTTTATTGAATAAAGTATCCTCACAAAGCTATTCAATGAGGCCCACTCCCTGGGCTCTTCCCAAGCCTATAGAGTATTTAGATTCTACCAAGGACTGGGGACATCAAAGAAAAATGTGACATGAGAGTGGAAAGGACTTTGGCTCCATGTTAAATATGAACTCTTCCCACTAGACTTTTGGGATTGGCTACTCAGAAAGCCTGCTTTGGGGAAGGTAAAGGGAACTAACTCATTTAAGGCACTCAGTATGTACTAGTCATGCTCCTATAAACCTTATGAGATAAATAGCATTGCCTCATTCTAGAGGTGAGGAAATTAGGAGCTTAGAGTCTAGTGAGTCACTCAAAGGCCTGGCTCTGGTAAGTTGCTGAGCTGGACCCTAGAACATGGGCTGTGTGAGCCCACATCCTGGACTCTTTCCAGGGTTTTGTGCAAGGCCTCGGGAGGGCCGGGTCTGGCATCTTCGTGCCCAGCTCGTTCTTTGCCATGCTTGGCTCGCCTGCCATGGCCGGTATCTACTGTGACCCTGAGCATCCATCACACAACTGCTGTGCTGGCTGAGTGATTGCAGCAGGTGGCAACGGGCTTTCTTGGGTTGCTGCATGCTCAGCATTTTGGAGTGGTTTTGTGAGCTTTAAGGAGAGCCCATCCTAACAATTGCAGCAACACCTTCTCTCACAGCATATGCTGTTGGGATGCCAGAATGATTGCATGTCTCACACTTGCTAAATTTTCATAAAATAGTCTTTTTAAAAAATATTAACCCATTTTGAATAAACAGCTGTTGCGTTGCTTGCTTCCTCTCGAGCCTCACCTCCTCTGTCCTGGCTCAGCATGGTCGCTTCTCTTCTGCTTGTTGGCCTCAATGTCCTCCTTGGCCTCCTCATCTCTGATCTATCTCCATTCTCTCCATTTCTCCCTCAGCAGCCATTATGACCTATTTATTTGAGACAGGGTCTTGCCCTGTCACCCAGGTTGGAGTGCAGTGGCATAATCATGGCTCACTGCAGCCTGGACCTCCTGGACTCTATCTATCCTCCCACCTCAGCCTCCCTCGTAGCTGGGAGTACAAGTGTGTGCCACCATGCCCAGCTAAGTTTTGTATTTATTTTTGTAGAGATGGGGTCTCACTATGTTGCTCAGACTGGTCTCAAACTCCTGGATTCAAGAAATCCACTCACCTCCGAAAGTGTTGGGATTACAGGCATGAACCACTGTGCCTAGCCATTATGACATTTATATAACACAGATCCTATGTTCCATATCGTTGCTCAATTAAAACCCAATACAATTCCCTATCTTCCCAAGGGACTGTTGTAAGCTCCCTGATCTACGAGGTCTTCATGCCTCCTTGCTACACTATCATCTTTCCCTTCTGGCCTCTCTAATCCATGTGCTGCCAACCAGATGCCATGGCCCTTCACAGTGCCTTTCTGTCCTTTATACACAGGGGTTCCCTTGGCTTAAGGGCTCCCTAACCCCGCCCCATTTGTTGTCTAAATTTTTCTTTACTCTATGAATTGGTTCAAATATCACGTCTCTGCTAGAGCTTTCTTTGATCTACTAGCTCCCTCATGTAATTTTTCTGCCTTCCTGCATTAGGGATGATTCACTATTTTCGCTATTTACACATCTGCCTCCTTGAAGATAAGGACCACCCTTCATCTTTTATAGCTCAGTGTCAGAGTTTATATTTTGATAAACCACACACTTGTCATTGTTTGTTAATTTCATTGATACTTACTGAATTTTGGACATCTAGAGTATAAGCCAACACGATCTAGTATATCTTTCATTAGATGATGGAAATTTTCTATATCATTATCTAAGATGGTAGCCACTAGCTACTTTTCAATGTGGCTATTGAAATGAAATAAAATGGAAAATTTAATTCCTTTATAGTACTAGCCCCATTTCAAGTGATTCTTAGCCGTATATTACTAGTAGCTACCATATTCCGTAACGCAGGTAGAGTACACTCAGAGTGAGAAAGAAAATGGGAGATTACTTAGGGTTTTGAGTTCTTCCTGTAATAGCATTACTAGTATTCATTTGATTAGCAAATATTTTATCTATAAATAATGCAAAGGAGAGATTCTCCTTTAATCTCTATCTTTTAAAAGAAAGTTCTTCTAATTAATGTGCATGAAGTAATGTGGTTTTACAGTGCCTAGATTTGAAGCAAGAGTCTTTAAAATTAAGTAAAAAACTATATCTAGAGGCAGATGAATGGATTCCATCATGAATGGAAGTTTCATATCAGACTGTGACTCAATAAAACTACCCAGTTTTCATAGTTTAACTTTCAAGGCTTGTTTGCAGTTCACCATGAAGGATCTTCCTGAAAAAACATATTTATTTGGAGACACTCTTCAATCACTATAACAAATTGGCAAACTCTACACATATCTTCTGTAATTATTAGTCTGGTCTTTATGATGCCTTCATTTTGTGGGTGTGTGTAAGTGAAATCGAATAAATCCTGAAATTTTTCATTGGATGACACATTATTTATCCCAAATGTAAATCTCAGGTTTTGTTATCCTTTTCCATAGTTCCTATTGAACACTACAATTTACTTACCTCCCAACACTTGAGTTTTCATCATTATTCATATTTTACTCATTCACCATACATTTATTTAACATCTACTGGGTCCTCTATGTTGTGGTGTGTGCCAGGGAGACAGGGATGAATCAGGTACTGACTGAGCCCTCTGGGACCCACAGTTTAGCGGGAGAGAAGACAGATAAATACAGGCTGTACAACATTGCTTCAATGTGATTAGTGCTGAGGCCAGAACAAATTTCTATGGGAGCTTTGAGTAGGGAGCAATTCCTTTTCCTTGAAGCTGGGGAAAGTTTCATAAAACAAGTGCCACTTGAATAGAACGTAAGAATTAGCAGAAGCTCAATAGTAGAAGTAGTACATTGCAAAATGAAGGTTCAACTGAAGGAAATGTGGAGGCTTGAAAAATGTGCAATGTGTGGGAGAAGAGAGATCGTCAGGGTCCCTGGTCCATTCCATTCATCCTTCTGTTCCAATGCCATCTAAGTTTCTTATTATAGTTATGTGATGCATTTTCGTCCCATCTTGTTGATTTTCTTCAAAATGAACTTGGTGATGTGCTAGAAGAATGGACAGGACTCAGAGGCTGTTATATTCAGTTATACTTTATTGCAGGGAAAGGCTGCAGATCAAAGATGAAAGTCAGCAAAGGGAAAGGGGTGTGGAGTAAAGTCTAGGAAAAATAAGGCAGAAGCACTCAGGGAAATCCTCCCAGGGGAGTTTTATAGGGATGTCTAATTTCTTTCTTTTCTCTTTTTCTTTTTTTTCTTTCTCTTCTCCTTTTCTTTTCTTTCTTTTTTCTTTTTTTTTTGAGATGGAGTCATGCTTTTTTTTGCCCAGGCTGAAATGCAGTGGCACGGTCTCAGCTCACTGCAACCTCCACCTCCCGGGTTCAAGCGATTCTCCTGCCTCAGCTTCCTGAGTAGCTGGGATTACAGGCACATGCCACCATGCCTGGCTAATTTTTTTCTATTTTTAGTAGAAACAGGGTTTACCATGTTGGCCAGGCTGGCCTTGAACTCCTGACCTCAAGTGATCCACCCTCCTCAGCCTCCCAAAGTGCTGGGATTACAGGCGTGAGCCACTGCGCCCGGCTGGGACATCTAATTTCTGAGTATCAACATGTGACGACACGCATGGAGTGTGCCCAACCAGGGAGGCTCTGCTGAGTCTTGGTGTCCAAGGCTTTTCTTGTGGGTCAGTTTCATAGTCATGCAGCACCTAATGCGACTGACCTCAGCTTCTCAGATTCTAGACACCACCCCTCCCCACCACCTGCCTGTCCCCAAGGAAAAGCAGGCATTCAGGGCATTTACCATAAATCAGTGTCTGGATAAACTTATCTAGTCAAACTAATACAGCATGACACAAAGTCTCAGGCATATGAAACACTCTTATTGGGCAGAATATTTCTGGAGTTTAGAGCACATCTCCCCAAAGGTGGCCAAAGGCCAGTTCTGAAGGCAAACTTTCCTTTGGAATGTACAGGATTTGAGCAACCCAGGGCTGCTCAATTAACCTTTCCTGACCACTCTTCCTTTAGGATTTTAGGACTGGCTTGTCAATTTCCCCCAAAAAAACTTTGCTAGGATTCATGTACTGAATATAGATTAATTTAGGGAAAAATGCTTTTTCTATGATAATCTTCATAACTTTTTTTTTGAGACAGAGTCTCACTGTGTCACCCAGGCTGGAGTGCAGTGACGCAATCTCAACTAATTGCAACCCCCCGGGTTCAAGTAATTCTTGTGCCTCAGCCTCCCAAATAGCTGAGACTACAGGCCCAAGCCACCATGCCAGGCTAATTTTTGTATTTTCAGTAGAGACAGAGTTTTGCCAGATTGGCCAGGCTGGTCTCGAACTCCTCGCCTCAAGTCATCCACCTGCCTTGGCTTCCCAAAGTGCTGGAATTACAGGCATGAGCCACTGCGCCCAGCCAATCTTCACAACTTTTTATAAATGGCTAATTCCCCATTCATAAAGCCATTTATGTTTTTCAAAATATTTTACAATTTTTTTTTGAGATGAAGTCTTATTCTGTCACCCAGGCTAGAGTGCAGTGGCATGATCTTGACTCACTGCAACCTCTGCCTCCTAGGTTCAAGTGATTCTCCTGCCTCAGCTTCCCAAGTAGCTGGGATTACAGGCATGTCACCATGCCCGGCTAATTTTTGTATTTTTAGTAGAGACAGGGTTTCACCATGTTGGCCAGGCTGGTCTTGAACTCCTGACCTCAGGTGATCGACTTGCCTCGGCCTCCCAAAGTGCCAGGATTCCAGGTGTGAGCCACCGTGCCTGGCCCAATTTTGTTAAGAAAAGTCTTGCACATATTTTGTTGGGTTACTCTGAGCTCTTTTATAGATTTGTTACTTTTGCACCTGAGAGCTCTTTCGTTTTTGTCATCATGTTGCCTGGTTGATTATTGAAGGTATGTGTGGCTGTTGCTGTTGACTTTGTATGTTGAACTTGTATCCAACAAACTTGCTGATCCTCCTTTTTAGTTTTATTATCTATAAATTCTTTTAGGATCTTCTATTTAAACAGGATATTAGTTTCCAATGGTGGTTGTAACAAGTTACTACAAGCTTGGTGGTTTAAAACAACACAAATTTGTCCTCTTACAATTTTGGAGGCCATTTGAAGTTGGTTTCATTGGCTAAAGTCAAAGTGCCAGCAAGGTTGTATTTTTCTGGGGCTTAGGGGAGAATCAGTTTCTTCTGCATTCCTTGGCTCATGGCCCTTCCTCACATGACTCCAACCTCTTGCTTCTGTTGTCACACTTCCTTCTCCTCTTCTGATCTCCTATCAGCCTCTCATAAGGACCCCAATGGTTACATCGTATCCAATCAGATAATCCAGAGTAATGTTCTCAACTCAAAACCCTTTGATTAACCACATTGGCCAAGTCCCTTTAGCCATAAAAGGTAACATTCACAAGTTCTGGGGATTAGGACTTAGATACCTTGGGGAGTCATTTTTCAGTCCATAATAGACAATCACATTGTCTGTAAATAGGTATCGCTTTTTCTTTTTTTACTTCATTTTTAATTCTTATTCCTTTTATTCTTCTTGCCTATTGGATTGAGGATTTCTAATACAATGTTAAATGGAAGCGATGACAGCAGGCAGATGCTCCTACTGTAATAGTTATGCCTCTTATATTTCACCATTATATTTTTGTTTGCTGTGGTTATTTGTCAGAGACTCCATGAGATTAAAAGGATTCTTTATTTCCAGTTCTTGATGAGTTTCAAATATGCATGAATGTTGGATTTTATGAAGTGTTTCATTTTCTCTGAATTGTTGCAGGCACTTTAAATTAAAAGTGTGATGTCATAGTTATCTGTTGCTGCCTGACAAATCCTTCTGAATGAGCAGTTTTGGGTAACAACCATTTACTTGCTCATTTGCTGCCACTTGGCCTGGGACACTCAATGTTATTTAGCTGCTCTGCTGGTATGGGATGGTTCAAGGTGACTTCCTTCTCATTGCTGGCTGCTAGGTAGGGCGGCTGTTAGCCAAGAGGTCTAAGTGGGTCTCTCCGTGGCTTCTGCAGGAGGATCGTTTGGGTTTCTTGCATGGTGGCAGCAGTTTACAAGACAGCAAACCCTAATGAGCCTATGAAGTCTCTGTGTCCTGTTTGCTGATATCCTACTGGGTAAAGCAAGTCATATGATCAACCTCGAGCCAATGTTGGGGGGTACTACAAAAGACTTTGCCCAATTCATTGTGGGCATTAGCAGAGAAATCCACTACATGCAGTACAGTGTTTAGTTTTGGACTCTGTGTGTCTGTACATGTCTGGGACCAGTAGCTGCTTCTTCATGCACATTTCCCTAAAATCCCTGCCTCTCACCTGCCTCATGACTACAGAGACACAGCCACTTGGTTGCTAAGGAGAGGAAGAATGTTTATAACGCTTATTAACTCACAGAGTTTAGCTTAGCTATGGGGGGAATCTCTAGACCCTAATTTCCTTCCCAAAACATAACCCCCATTCCCTGTCCCAAGCACAATGTTGTTTGGCTTTAATTCTGTCCTTGATAAATACTTGCTACCAAGGGTGGAGTTCTGCAGCCTTCTCCAACCCAGCTCCCCAACCCATCCTGCACCTCTCACCTCCCTTCCTCCAAACAGACAGGCCTGCTCTGATTATCTTTTCTGAATTGAAACTGCATAAAACCCTTCTGCAATGAACCCTCCCCTTCTTTCCCTCTCTCCTCTTTCTTTCTAACCTCCAGCTCTGCCCTTTGTACTTTTTAGCATTCTTATTATAGATGAAGGTTAGAGAGTGCAATGCTTATCCATCCTTCATTCTCAAGTGTGGTTGGGTTTATGTGCTATTCAGGAAGCCGTGGGTACTTCAATGATGAACAGAGCAGAGGACACTTATGAGCAACTGTGGAGTAGTTAAAATGACTGATGGAGAAATATGAGGTGGTGTTCAGCCTCCGGTCAGGTCACTGAAGATAAAGGAAGGAGTAATTAACATGGTTGGGTAATGCTTCTTGCAGAGAAGAAGCCTCTGCTGGCTATAAGCAGTCAGCAGGAATGGGGGTCAGGAAAGGGAATGAGGTGATTTGGAGAAGCCTCATTAGCATGAAAATGAAGGAAGGGGTGAGACACCGATCATGAACAGAGGCGCGAGCTGGTCAAGTGTTGCCACTGAGAAGGTTACAGCATTGAGGGAGTAATTTGCAACCCTTATGCTCTAATATCAAGGTAGAATAAGAATCCGAGTTCCTCTATTCCAACTCTTCATATTGACTAATGACATTTTCTTTACGAGGACTCTGCTAATTGAGAAGGGAAAATGAATGTCAGCTCAATGCTAATTCCCTTTGAAATTAACCTTGACTGGAGGCCACAGTTGGAATTAGTTTTTCATCCCCCAAAGTTCTAAACCATGCTGACACTCCTGCAGGAATCACAAGGACCCCATCTCCCGTCTCTGTCCCAAGAGACTCCTCTTTCCATCCTGCTGAGTCGGAAAGAGATGGGAAAGCTGGCATGATCACAGAGGGACTCTCTGCCTTGCCTGCTTTTGGCCATCCTCTGCCTTCAGCCTCTATGTTTCTCCTGACTCTGAGTTGCAGTATGAAGTGAGATGAAGAGGGTCTCCCTCTCCACAGGCGTATTCACCAGCTATTGGCCTTGCCGACAAGATGGTCTCAGCTTGTGGCCACACGACATCTGTGTCAGAATCACCTGGGGAACATTGTTGAAAGTTGCTTTCTGGATCCATCCTACACATTCTGGATCAGCATTCTTGTGGGAGCTGTGGAATCTGCATTTTTTTTTTTTTTTTTGAGACAGGTCTCAATCTGTTGCCCAGGCTGCAATGCAGAGGTGTGAACATGGCTCACTGCAGCCTTGATCTCTGCAGGCTCAAGCAATCCTCCCACCTCAACCTTATGAGTAGCTGGGACTGCAGGCACACGCCACTATGCCCAGCTAATTTTTGTATTTTTGTAGAGATAAGGTTTTGCCGTGTTGCCCAGGCTGGTCTTGAACTCCTGGGCTAAAGTGATCCTCCTGCCTCGCCCTCCCAAAGTGCTGGGATTATAAGCGTGAGCCACTGTGCCTGGCTGCAACCTGCATTTTTTAGAAAGCTCCCTTAGTGATACTTTCGTGTACTTCAAGTCTGAGACTGCTCCTCTGGGACACACCCTCTCACTGAATTTTCTCTCTCCATCTGTTTCCTTCTCCTCACTCAGACCCAGTACAGCTTGGCAACACCGCAGGGAACTGCATGCAAAGTTGGTCTTCTCCTTGGGCAGTGTGGCATTCCCCATTTATTCTTCTACCAGGATGAATTCCTTGTTGCAATTCTCATCCTTGCTTGTGTGAATAAAGGCTCTAGCATTGTTTCCTAACTTGGGAAGAAGGGCAGGAGCCTGGAGGCACTTTAGTCTTGTAGGCCAGGCCTTTACCTGAGGCCGTGATGGAAACAGACCTCAAAGGAGAGACATGAACAGTCCACCATGCAGGGGCTGTGTCTGCACACCTTCCTCAGCAGCACAGATAGATACTCTGCAAACCTCCCCAGGTCTGCTGGCAAATTCTCTGCCCCCACTGGGCTGGTTGCTCTTTGAAGACAGTGGTGGTATTTGCTGGCATATTAGGCTTCTCCAGAGAAATGGAACCCATGCGCTATCTATATATCAAATCTATATCTGTATCTATAGTATCTTTCTACACATACACTTATCTAGCTATCTGGAGAGATGTTAAGGAATTGGGCATGCAACTGCGGGATCTGACAAGTCCAAAATCCACAGACCAAGCAGTAGGCTGGAGATTCAGGTAAAAGTGGATTTTGTGGTCTTGAGTCCAAAGGCTGGAAACTAGGCAGAATTTCTGTGTTGCAGTCTGGAGGCAGCATTCCATCTTCTTTGGGAAACCTCAGTCTTTGCTTTTACAGTATTCAACTGATTGTATGAGGTCCACCCACATTATAGAGGGTCATCTGCTTTACTCAAAGTCTACCAATTCAAGTGTTAATCACATCTAAAAATACCTTTACAGCAACATCTAGGCTGGTGTTGGACCAAACGTCTAGGCACCATAGTCCAGCCAAATTGACACATAAACCATCACAGCTGGTTTTTTTCTAATCACTTTTTAAAGACTCCCCCCTAGTGCCTGCTGCTGCTTTGATAGAAAAGAAAAATCATTAAATATATAGAAAGGGGTTGAGGCCGGGCGCGGTGGCTCACACCTGTAATCCCAGCACTTTGGGAGGCCGAGGTGGGCGGATCACAAGGTCAGGAGATCGAGACCATCCTGGCTAGCACAGTGAAACCCCGTCTCTACTAAAAAACAGAAAAAATTAGCCGGGCATGGTGGCGGGCGCCTGTGGTCCCAGCTACTCGGGAGGCTGAGGCAGGAGAATGGCGTGAACCCAGGAGGCGGAGCTTGCAGTGAGCCAAGATCGTGCCACTGCACTCCAGCCTGGGCGACAGAGCGAGACTCCGTCTCAAAAAAAAAAAAAAAAAAAAAAAAAAAAGGGGGTTGAAAAAAATAAAAAATGACATAATCACTCTGTTGCCTGAACTCTGGGCAGAGTAGTAGGAGACGAACCATGAGAGTTATGTTGTCCTGTCCCCAGGGGTAGCATTTATTGTTGATCGCTGGCATCTGCAGAGAGCCAGAGAGGATCTATATCCCATTCTCTCCCAGAGCAAGCAGAGTTTTCTTCTTTGGTGCCAGAAGTGCTGATGAGTTAAGCCCTCCTAGGCGAGGAAGAGAAAGCCAGGTTGGCTGGCCATCTGACGCTCTGCAGCTCTTGGCCCTGATATCTATTTGTACCTTGTGCTTTGAGAGATTAGCGCTTATGTTTTCTGAAAGTGGAGTGCCGTTTCTGTGAATTCAATCAAGGTATATATTCTCTGCATGTGCTGCATGAAACTGCACTTAGCAATTTGCCACCTCTTCCAATTAAACTCTTTATCTCTTGGTGGGAAGGTGATAGCTGGAAGTGGCTCTTATTACAGGCAGAAATCTTATGCTTTTTCTTTTCCGAAATCATGCCCTGTTGTCTGAGCTGCAGGTTTGGATGCAAAATAAATCTGACTTTCTAAAAGAGCCTTGATTTTTTCTTTCTTCCTATATGATAGCTATGTATTTAGGGAAAATCTTTTTGAGGCTTTTGCAAAGACATAAGTGTGTGGTTTCATGCCAATGCATATAGGAAACGTGTGCTACCGCTCTTCTGAAGCCTCTGGGGCTATTTGTGAGATCATGAGCTTCTTATTTATCATTCAGCCCTTTTCTGGTGGTTGACATTTCCTTGGACCTTTTCCTTTCTTCCTAAGGGAGTGGAGTAAGAAAAGGGGGACATAAGAACCAATGTCTGTTATTAAGGACTATCAAGCACTTCACGTTTGCTATCTCATTCAATGCTCACAACTATGAAATGGTTACCAATGTATATGAATGTCCCCCTTTTATAGATGAGAAAACTGAGGATTGGAGAGAATAACTTGCCTAAGGACTCAGCTCTTGGCATTGATATCTATTTGTACTTCTTGCTTTGAGAGATTAGCACTTGTGTTTTCTGAAAGTGGAATGTACTTTCTGTGAATTCAATCAAGGTATATTCTGTGCGTGGGCTGCATGAAACTGCACTTAGCAATTTATATGACATCATACTTCTTAGAGGACAATGCTGTTTTCTAGTTTCATTAAGAAAAAAATGGGCCAGGTTCAGTGGCTCATGCCTGTAATCCCAGCACTTTAGGAGGCTGAGGCAGGAGGATCGCTTGAGCCCAGGAGTTTGAGACCAACCTGGGCAACTTAAGGAAAACTTGACTCTACAAACAATTAAAAAGTTAGCTAAGCATGGTGACATGTACCTGTAGTCCCAGCTACTTAGGTGGCTGAGGTGGGAGGATTGCTTGAGCCCTCGAGGTGGAGGTTGCAGTGAGCCAGGATTGCACACTATACTCCAGCCTGGGTGACAGAGTGAGACCCTGTCTCCAAAAAATAAAAAAAAAATAAAAAATAAAAAACAACACGAGAAAAGGATTTTGTCTCAATTGTGCATGCCTGGTTATTGGTCAGGGTCCTAGTTGGCTGTGGCGTGATCACAGGAGGAACTCTTTCCTCCTGCTTGGATATCAGAGTATTCCTTGCCTACATCATTCCGAGGTTGCTGTGTGGGCTGGATCAGGACAAAGAATGGACTTTGATCTCTAGCTCACTCTAGCTCTCAACATTATTTGACAAAATGTGAAACTGAACAACAAGAACGATTTAGTCCAGTGTACAAAAGAAGGCCTGAACCATATTGTTCAGGTAGGTCACATTTGCTAAGAGGCTGTTTTCCTGAAAAAATAAGCTTTACAAACATGACACCTTCCCCCACTCCCCCAACACCCACTATATTGCAAAAAATTTGGAAAATATAGTTGAAAAATAACCTTTCCCATAATTACATCATTCACATTACTGTCAACATTTTGACATTATTGCCAGTGGCGTACTGAAGTCGGCTTGAGCCAGCTTGGGAAAGCCGATTGTGTACAACTATCCCCCGTTCTATGTTCAGAGACATAGTGACAACATGTTGGCAGCTAGAAATGCCATGGTGGGAGGACTCAGAGCGCAGCAAGTGGCACATGCCAACAAACCAGTTACAAACCAAAGGCTTAAAATAATTAAACACACCCGGTCTTCTAGTCTTTTTCTCTGTTTTAAGCCTAGCGTGTCTAAGTTTTAATTTAACATAAAAGCACAAGTATTTCCTTTTGGTATTAAAAAACCTTATAAACACAATTTTTTAAAATTTATTTCAATAGGTTTTTGGGGAATAGGTGGTGTTCAGTTACATGAATAAGTTCTTTAGTGGTGATTTCTGAGATTTGGAGCACCCATCACCCAGTGTATACTGTCCCCAGTTGTGTAGTCTTTTATCCCTCACCTCCATCCCACCCTTTTCCCCAAGTCCCCAAAGACCATTTGTATCATTCTTATGGCTTTGTGTCCTCATAGCTTAGCTCTCAATTATGAGCAAGAACATACAATGTTTGGTTTTCCATTCCTGAGTTACTTCACTTAGAATAAGTCTCTGGCCGGGCATGGTGGCTTATGCTTATAATCCCAGCACTTTGGGAGACTGAGGTGGGTGGATCACCTGAGGTCAGGAGTTCGAGACCAGCCAGGCCAACATGGTGAAACCCCGTCTCTACTGAAAAATAATAAAAAAAAAATTAGCTGAGCGTGGTGTTGCACGCCTGTAATCCCAGCTACTCGGGAGGCTGAGGCAAGAGAATCACTTGAACCCGGGAGGAGGAGGTTGCAGTGAGCTGAGATGGCGCCACTGCAATCCAGCCTGGGCGAGAGAGTGAGACTCTGTCTCAAAAGATAATAATAATAGAATAATAGTCTCCAGTTCCATTCAGGTTGCTTTGAATGCCATTATTTCGTTCCTTTTTATGGCTGAGTAGTAGTCCACGGTACATATATACAACATTTTCTTTATCCACTCATTGATTGATGGACATTTGGGCTGGTTCCATATTTTTGCAATTGCAAATTGACAAGAACCAATTTTTAATAGAAATAAAATTCTTCACAGAATAGATGTACCATAAATTATTTAGTGTTTTAAATTATGGCACTTACTGGCTGGGCGCAGTGGCTCACACCTGTAATCCCAGCACTCTGGGAGGCTGAGGCAGGAGGATCATGAGGTGAGGAGATCGAGACCATCCAGGCTAACATGGTGAAACCCTGTCTCTAGTAAAAATACAAAAAAAAATTAGCTGGGTGTGGTGGCGGGTGCCTGTAGTCCCAGTTACTCGGGAGGCTGAGGTAGGAGAATGGCATGAACCCAGGAGGCGGAGCCTGCAGTGAGCCGAGATTTCACCACTGCACTCCAGCCTGGGCGACAGAGCAAGACCCTGTATCAAAAAAAAAAAAAAAATTATGGCATTTACCTTCCAATTATTAAAAGTTGTGCATCAGCAAGCATATTTATGTACATAGATTCCAGAAATAGACTTACCCAGTAAGTCAATCCATGAAACTATTTTACAGACCATAAAACTGGGATGCAGGGAGTTCTGTGGCTTCTTATGAGTGTGCCTTGTGTTTTTCCTAAGCAGAAAGCCCAGCACTCTGAGTGCCACTTGTCTCTCTACTCCTTTCTTTCCTGTCAGCTCTGGAGTTCCCTAAAGCCAGTGACTTGTACTTTGTATCCTTGCTAACCAAGGCAATGTTTGGCTTATAGAAAGTGCTTAATAAATGGTAGTTAATTGAACAGTGCCTCATTTATGTCTAAAAGAGGTGTACCAATTTTTAATATTCCCTGCATTCCCACCAAATCCTAGAAGATATTGAGAAGATGAATAAAGTCAACACAAAAGGCAACCTGTTTTAGGAGGTGAGAAATATGTCATCTTGTTAGTTTGCAAGAGAAACGTATAAACTAGTCACAGGTGCCCTCTTGAATGCTTGGAGAAGATTGGAGGTCTTAACATTGGACAATTGTGAGCTGTGACCCACCCAGCTTCTGCAGGGAGCTTTCCCTGACTGCTTCAGTATTCCTGGTCCTTTTTTCTTCTGAAGTTCAAGTGTCTGCCCCAATCAGATACCATAACATTAAAACAGCCTGCCCCACTCTACTGACATGTGGCCAATGGCTGGGAAAGGTGAACCTTGGTTTGCTGCTGTAGTTTGACAGCCACACTCTCAGCTTCTTCTCTGTCCTGGATCACAGTCCATTAGATTTCCTCCCAAATCTTGACCCTGGATTTTGTCTGCTAGTTTTCTCTTTTCTCCTGATATTTGAACTCGAGATTTTCTGGATTTCAGCCTACTTGATCTGTATCACAGTGGAGAGAATCCAACAGGTCTGAATCTGAATCCTGGCTTTGCCATTTACTAATTGCTTGGTCTTTGTGAAGTGATTTAACTCTCTGGGTCTCAGTTTCATGATCTGTAAAACAGTTTCATGATTATGAGAAAATCAAATGAGCTCTTGCATGTACTATGCATTCAATGAATAGAAGATTTTGCTGTTATGATTTTATAAGGAATTTGGGTCATATTCGCCTTCTGATTTTTTTTAAATGTTGGCTACCTTGAGTAGAAACCTTCAACCTAGCCTCCACCTTTGCTTCATCTTCAAATTCAAACCCTACCTTCTTACCAGTTGCATCTACCCTGCTTCCCAGGTATGTATTAAGCCTGCTTTTGTACCACGTGGGTTTTACATTTGGTTTCTATTGTTTCACCAATGTGAGTTTAGCCTCCCTAGTAAAGACTCATACAACCGAGAGTAGGGACTGTCTTCTGCTTCTGCTCCTGCAGGAGGTGGATATTGGTCAATGAGATCCCAGGTCATAATCGTTGATTGACTGGGTTAAGAGTTCTTCTTAAAGGGAGATTAAACAATCTCCCCTCTTAATTTCATATTAATGATCTGGTTTAAATTTCTTTTCTTTTTTATTTTTTAAATCAAAATGAAGTTCAGTAACTAAGACTTCTTTCAAGGATTAAGCTCAGTCAGCCTAGAATGGGGTGTTCCTTTTCCCTTCACCAAGTCTGCATTGCTGCCCTGCTTCTTAATACTTCCTTTGTCTCTTATTACTCGACAGGGATTTGTATTTTTCATGCTGTCCCATTCAGTTTTCTTAATGACCTGTTGGGTTATTCCTGTTTTACAGACAATCTGAGGTTCAAGGTGAGTAAATAACTTGGCCAAGGTTATTCAGTAAGTAGGAGGGCAGGCATTATAAGTCCTATCTTTGTGATTCCAAAGCTTATACTTTGTCTATCAGAGGTCTTCTTTGAATCCCAACTTCATTATTTATAAAATGAAAATAAAAATGCCCTACTTATCACATCAGATAGTTGTGAAGGCCCAACAGGAGTCAGTCTGGGTGGGAGTAGTGAAGGCAACGTGTCTGAGGTCCTAGGCCTGGACAATGGTGGAGGAGAGCAGCTGAGATTAGAAGTAGCCAGACCTACACACATGCTGTTTGCAACTTGCAGTTCGCCTCTGTGTCTCGAGTAATGAGAGTGTCTACATTGGTCTTGGTAAAATGCAGGGCCACTAGGATGGAGATGGAGACTGAGTGGGAAGTGACCCCAGAACTAGAAGTAGGGATGATGCAAGAGTAAAATGATGAAAGCTGGTTGAAGATGGGCCACAGTCTGCCTAAGAGATACCCCATTCTCTAATGAGGGGTGGCTGGAGATAATAAAAGAAACCTTCTCTGTATCGAATGATAAATGCATTGTCTGTAGTTATGCTAAAAATTAGCTGCGTAGTCAATTTAACCAAGTGAAGTAGATGAACCTATGATGGCCAATTAGTGGCTGCATTAACTTGGGGCAAGTTCTTCATCCTCTTAGGACCTCAGTTTCTACAGCTGTAGAAAGGGCTTCTTGTGAGGACTAAATCGAATAATATATGTGAAATATCTCACCACGTGAGACTTATAGCACATTTTCAAAAGTAGCGCTTAATGGGGATTCTCAATGCATTGACATCCAAGTCAATAATGGAAGCCTCCCGAGGTTGTTAGGAGCAGAAGCCATTGGGATGGAGACCAATGTCTTGTTGAGATGTTGGTATTCCCAGTGTTTGGAGTCGTCTAGCTGCTCTGTTTCCAGAATGGAGCCTGAACCCAGCTTATTCTTATTTGGGGCCACAGGCAAGGGTGGGGGTGACCCACCACAGATATGCTCTGTAACTGGCAAACCACTGTTCTGGGTGAAATTCAAGGACATTTCAAGGGAAGTCTTCACTTCCAGTTTAACTGATAATCATCAAGCCTGACCAACTGTATGTTGCAGAAGGAAAGTCTATTAGCTTTTGGGCCCCTGTTTAAAATCTCTTTGTGGGTTGGCTGGCTCCTTTTTTGTTTTTGAAAATAAGCAGAAACATTTGGAGATCAAGCCACTGCTTTCTTGAAATGTGCATAGTAAAACATTTGGCGCTTCCCGGAAGGGCAGGGGTGAGCACGTTGCTGGGGCCCCCGGCTGGACTGATGTGTTTGTTCTGTCAAGGGCTGTGGCATCAGCATCCTGGTTGGGATTTTTGCCAAAATAACCCATAAAATAATTGAATCTCCTTTCCTCCCCCAGAAGGGTAAGTTGCACAGTTCCTCTCAACATGCTGTTAAGCACATTCAGGTCACATGTACGAAGGGATTTGGAAGTGGAAAGTATAAATCAACTGGGAAGGAAACAGTTCTCCTGAGTGTATGAAGTAGACGAAGCACTTCCTGGGCCTTTTGCAAAGCAAAGGAGAACAAATACAGAGGCCTCTGGGTCACGGTGGGAGATGCAGGGGAAATGAGAATACACGAAACCCTGCGTGGGCGTGCAGACTGGAGTGCACACACTGTGCAGGAAGCCATGGGACGCAGATGGAATCAGAAGTGGCCTCTCCCCAGGCTTCATGTGACCATGCTGGGGAACAAAACTGTGCCACAAGTGAGCATCAAGCATTGGCCTTGCTGGAAAACCAGCAGAGGCCTCACGACTGGGACTGCAAGGTTTCCTCTCCTGCTTCCTGCTTGGAGGTGGGTTGGGGTGGAGGGAGTGCAGAATACCTAAGGGTCAGGCAGGGACCCCAGGGCCACCTCTGTCCCCTTCCCTGGTGGGAGGGATGTTCCATGCCAAGGCCTCCTCAAGGGTGGACAGCACAGTGATTAATCCGTTTCCCAGTGCCTGGCACATGGCTGGCCTTCTGGGAGGCACATCTGCCTGGGTGGACACTGGCAGCATGCCCTCCTGGGCACTGGGGAAGGAACAAGAATCTGCTCCTTGGGATCAACAGGCCTAGCCTCTGGGACTCTAGGCTGACCGTGGCTCTCCCTCTGAAACGAGGTCTCCTCTGTGTGGAAGGGGGCAGTTCCATCTACAGCCTTTTAGGGTTGCACTGCAGACTGAATGCCTTCATGTGTCAAGCGCCTCATACAGTGCCTGGCAGATAGCACTCAAAAATTAGTTCTGTTTTTCCTTGTTCCATTTCTAGGTTTTCCAAACCCTCTGAAAATTATTCGATCATGGGAAAAATGGACATAGCGTGGGCATCCAGACTGAGTGTCTGAATTTTCATCCAGGAGTTTTTATTTCCCAGCCTTATGACTTTGAGCAAATTACCTGCCTTCCCTGAACTATCTGGGGCTTTCCCGAGAAGCATCACAGAGTGCTGGCCCTGGTCTGGACCCTGGCACCACTCTGCCTGTATTTTTTTTTTTTTTTTTTTGAAACAGTTTCGATCTTGTTGCCCAGACAGAAGTGCAATGGTGTAGTCTTGGCTCACTGCAACCTCTGCCTCCTGGATTCAAGCGATTCTCCTGGCTCAGCCTCCCAAGTAGCTGGGATTACAGGTGCCCACCACCACACCCAGCTAATTTTTGTATTTTTAGTAGAGATGAGGTTTCAGCATGTTGGCCAGGCTGGTCTCGAACTCCTGACCTCACGTGATCCACCTGCCTCAGCCTCCCAAAGTGCTGGGATTACACACACTGCCTGTATTTTAAATCTGGCTCTTCACAGATGACTTGGGCAAATAACTTAACCTCTTTCGGTCTCTTTCCTTAGCTGTAACGTGAAGATAATAATGGTTCCTGCCTTCATCGGTTGTTATGGGGAATTAGAAGAGATTAATACTTGTAAAGTGCTTGAGAGTGCTATAAAAGTCTTAACTTATTATTTCTTCATCTGTAATATAAAATGAGAATAACGCTTCCAGCCTTGGTCATTTGATAGATGTAAGTGACGGAATAAAAAGTCGGAAACACCTCTGAAGTCTATAGAGCACTCTACACACATGAGTCACTGTTTTATCATCCTCAGAGGCTTCCTAGAGCCACTTCTGTCGTCACCTGCTTCTCCAGTCACAACGGTAACTCCCTGTTTTGTGTCCCTCTGAATTTCTATTACAGCATCTGCAAATCTTATTGGCCTTTATGTTTACATGTCTGAGTTGGTGTTGTGGGACTTTTCCTTAGTTCAGCTAAAGACGGGGTCCTTGTCACATGGCCATGAAAGATTAGGCTCGCAGACAATTCAAAGGGTGAGTAAGGCAGGGTTTTATTGGATGAAAAGGAAGAAAAGGGGTTTTAGCAAAGCGAGAGAGTGTACTTCCTGCCTGTGTGCTTCCCGCCTTGCAGATTTAATCACATGTACCACCCAGGAAGAGGAGGAGCCAGGATCCTCCCTGCTGCAAATGGTGCAAACTTCTGTGGCTCCATCCCAGTGCACAGGCCGGGTGGAGTTTCCTTGGAGACCCCTTCTCACCTGGCTGTCTCCCTGGGGAAACACTCCTTGTGCTGAAAGAATGCATCTAATTTGGCCCTGTATTCCCAGTGCCTAGCCAGGACTGTGCAATAAATATTTGTGGAATGAGTGCAGAACTTCAGAGGAACCCAAGGTAGACCAGGAAGCCCTTGCCCACAGCTCTGGACCTTTCTGACTTATTGCTGCTTCTCTCTCTTCTAGTAAGCAAAGAAAAGCCTGACTACATTTCTAGCACCTTCATCTGGATATGTAATATTAACACAATAATAAATTTGAAAATACCTAGTCAGTGTTGGCATATAGTAGGTGCTCAGTTTAAAAAACGATGGGCCCAGGGAAGCCTTAAGCATACAAATCTCCTCATTAATTCACCCTGAGTTGTAACAGCCTTATTACTATTGCTGAGAAAATAACAATCTCTTTTAATTATGCTATCCTAGTATATATGCCGATTATAAGCTGTTGTCTGTTGTTCCAGTATTTTTGCACATATGTATATACTTATTTGCAAAAAGGGATCACGTGATATGTATTTGTCCTCATCCATTTGGTTGCTATCACAAAACACCACAAACTGAGCAACAGAAATTTTCTTGCAATTCTGGAGGCTAGGAAGTCCAAGATTCTGTGCCTGCTGAAGGCCTGCTTTCTGGCTCATAGACAGCAATCTTTTCCTGTGTCCTTATATGGTGAAAGGGACAAAGGGTCTCTCTCAGGCCTCTTCTTACGAAGGCATTAATTCCATTCATGAGGGTTCTATAGTCATGACCTAATCACTTCCCCAAGACCCCACCTCCTAATACTATCCCCTGGGGATAGATTTCAACATAAGGAACATTCAGATCATAGAAGTACGAGGAGTATTTTTCCAAGTCATTTTTTTTTCCTAGGGTGATTTTTCACTGGTTAATGTTATTTCATCAAGTATGTGTACAATAAATTATTTAAACAACATCCTGTTGTTGGACAAAGTGCCCAGATGGCATTTCAGTCTATTTGAAGGAGAGAGATTCAGCAAACAGCCACATATATAAATGGAAAATTTCAGCAGTGGTGAGTGCTATGAGGGAGAGGCACATGGTGTCATCAGAGGGTATGGCAGGGAGATTTTATTTGCTTAGAAAGTCACAAATGAGCAGTGAACTGAGGGCAAGATGGGAATTAAACAGATCCAAAGAATGTCCAGGATTGTGCACGGGGACATGAAGAGAGTCCTGGAGAAACCTCCAGGAGTGTCGATAGCTCAAGGTTGTGTTAAAAGAGGAGTCCACAGTAGAGAGAGAGAAAGATGGATGGACAAAGGAGAGACTCGGGAGAAAGATAACTCAAATGCTAAAGAAAAAGGGCATGGTGCAGTGTGAAATGTTTCAGGGAAATCAAGCAGATCGGTGCAATGAAAAATGCCCATTGGTGTAGGCAATCACGTGACCTCAAAGAAAGCTGTGTCTTTGAGAGTCTGGCTCAGATCCACATTGATTGGAAGGGAACTGAGAGGTTCCCTTCCAATCACTTCCTCTCACTTGAGGAAGTGAGAATGTTCATGGTGGACTACATTTCTAGAAACATAGCTATGCAAGCAAGCAGGGAGGAGGTAATAGCTACAGCAGAACCTGTGGGTCAAGGCATAGTTCCATCTTCTCTGGGAGCCTCTTTTGTCTCATGCCTGCTAGGAAATCAAGACTTCCTGTGCCCACGGACTAATCAGAGTGTAGCATTTGTTTGCTTGTCTGTCTGTTTTCCTTCAGTAAGAGATCTCAGGTAAGAATTGAGTGCTCTCACCTTCTAGTATAGTGCCTTTTTTTTTTTTTTTGAGACAGAATCTCACAGTCTCAAAAGGTGCTGAAGTGCATTGGTGTGATCTCAGCTCACTGCAACCTCTGCCTCATGGGTTCAAGCAATTCTCCTACCTTGGCCTCCCAAGTAGCTGGGGCTACAGGCATGCACCACCACACACGGCTATTTTTTGTATTTTTAGTAGAGATGGGGTTTCACCAGGTTGGCCAGGCTGGTCTCCAACTCCTGGCCTCAAGTGATCTGTCCTTATCAGTCTCCCAAAGTGCTGGGTTTATAGGTGTGACCCATTGCACCTGGCCCTAGTATAGGGTCTTTTAATAAGTACTGAATATTTGTGGAGTATCTTTTTCAATCCAATCTGGGGCTAACTTGGGCATTAAATGACCAGCAAAGAAGAGAATGACTATTCAGAAGAGAGCAGCATCAACACAATATTATGGTTTAGGATAAAGGGGCTGACTTTGGAGTAGAGGCATGGGTCTCTTTCCTCTGAATTGGGAGGAAAGATGGTGCGGTTGGGGACAAATACAGATTAAAGACTGGGGACAGGAAGTTGAGGGAGTTAATTTCTTGCAGTCTCAATTTTCTCAGTGAAATATTTGAAAAGATTCTATCTGATGAGATAGGGTAGCAGCAGTGTGGTAGGGGCTGGAAGAGGATAGAGAAGAGTATTGCTTTGCAATGCTTAATAAGAACAATGACACTGGAGGGCATGGGGCACCCACAGCAGGATCTCTGAGCCACCATGAGGGCTCGACTAAGATTGGAGACCTCAGTCCTAAATGACATTAGGATGAATGTTTGCATTATTAAACAAGAATCACACATCAGAGGCGCTGTGTCTGATTGGGATGCATACTCTGGGGTGTCTGGGAGGCCTGAGTTGATCTCTCCCACCACATTTGAGTAGCTGGTTACGAAGTCACCAGCTTCTCCCTCAACTTGTCCTAATAAACCCACTGCAGGGCCTGGGCAAAACTAGAAGTGTATTGGGACAGATGCATAGAAAGGTTAGCTTTGATTCCTGCCCTCAGGAAACACATGATGCAGGCATGTTTGCATAGAATTACTTTTCTGTGAGATTAGTGTTGGGACAGGAGCAATTGCAATCTACCTATCCAGTACAGAAGATAAAACCAGTGATTGTTTATTTGTTATTTGCAGTAGTTTTTACTGGGTTAAGTTCCCTGTCTACTAAAACTGTATGCAGTCCAGTCCATGAAGTGGGATTAGTTATTCTGATTAATTCAAATTAGATGACCATCTTTAGAAGGCCCTGTTTTAAAATACAGATTTATTTTTATTTAGGTATAGCAAGGCCAACACACCAGGAGATGACTTTTCTTGGAAAGGCAATTTGTTATACTCACCTACCCAAGAGGAGGGGTCACTTCATGCCATGAGGGCCCCAGTGGGGAAACACTGGGATCAATCAGGAGTCAGAGGGTGAGGGGAAATTGTGGGCGAGAGCCTTGATTATGGTTTCTGTGGGAAGATACTGATGGAAAAATCCACCAGTAAGCTTGGGATTAGTTTGAATAATAGCAGCAGGCTTTGGGGCATAGGGGCTGTCACCCAATTTTTGGTTCCTGGCTCTGGGATGTTAGGGCAGGTGGCAAGTGGCCCAGGATATAAGAACCCGAGCAAGGAGGTTGTTGGGTCTGGGCTCTGGATTGGTTTGTTTGCATTTATGTGATCCCAGGTGAGTTGTTGACCGTCTCTAGAAATTGATCCTGGAGGGGCAGTTCCTCCAGGGTCAGCAAGGCCCCAAGATCAAAGTGTCAGAATATGGAAATAAAATATGTTGCTAATACAAACTTGGGAAATACCTGAAGAGTGATGCCTCAAAACCAGGCATTGGCACTCAAATGGCATTTGCTGTCTTGCTTTAGGAGCCTCATTTGGCCAGACCAGGACAGTCCCTATTGTAAAATGACACGGACATTTGAGCGTTTTTAAGATCAGATGTGATACCTCAGGACCCCTCGCTTGGCATATGGGGATGTAGGGGTTAAGTGTGCGGCTGTACCTGTCCAATCCATAGGTCTTGGTTGTGGGTTATCAGGGAAGAGAAAAAGAAGGACTCCTTCCATGTGCACAGAGGTCTCAGGACATGGCCCTTCTCTGCTTCACAAAAGCCCAAGTTCTTCCGCAAAGAAGAGAGAGAGTGGCATAAAGAACTGCCAGGTCAATGGTCTCATCCAAGTCATGGCGTTTCCTTTATTTCCTCATTCATTCCTTCAGGTGTGTGATATGTTAGCAAGTCCCTGGGTGCAAAGATGTGAATAAGATATGCCTCTTGCATCAAAGGGCCCCCCATCTAGTCGGCAAAAGAAGTAAGTAAATAGACCAGGTAGTGTGAAGTGTCAGCTAAGAGGTTGCATGTGGCATTTGACTCCATCATCCCCAAATCCCGTTGACCCCAAGCCCAATGCTAAGTGGGCTGAGTCACTGCAGAGGTGAGGTTCTGCGGAGGTGAGGCTCACCCAGGGACTGGACTCCATTGGTTTAGCTTTGAGAACCCCTTCACAACCAGAGCTGGGATCAAATCTGTGCAAGAGACCTTGTCCCCCTCATGGCTCCCTTCTACAGATGTGTGTCAAGGTCTGTGGACTCTGCTGAGCTTAAACACACGTGTCTGTTTTGGCTCTTGGGCTCCTTCAGACAGAGGCTGAAAGAACCATTCGAGAGACAGGATGCTGACCCGGAGGCACCGGCTTGACTATGGCTGCCTCCTGGTGGGTCCTTCCAGGGACAGAGGACTCTTGCCCCAGGGTCTGTAGAATAGTCGATTCACCGGCGTCTGTATCACCCTCTCAAACCTATTCACATTTACTCACTTACCAGCTGTTATTGAGGCAAAAATGACAAGCATAAAAATAATAACTGGAAAGGGCCAGATAAATAATAACTATGCTGATGTGAATACTTCTTGAGTAACCCCTTTACCAACTATGAACCATGTTCAAAGTCATTACACCATTCAAGTCTCACAACCACCACCTATCACATAGGCATTACCATTTCCCATTTTGCAAAATGGAAGATCAGAATATTTAGTGCCTTGCTCAAGATCACAGAGCTAGTAATAAAAAAATCACATTTTTCATTCTCCACTTCCGACTCAGTGATCTGGACAGTGCCCCACTCAGTCATTCTAAATTAAGGGCTTAAGTCTGGGTTTTCCAAAAGAAGCACTGTCAAGCAGTAGTTTGGGGGATGTTTACAGATGGAAAAACAAAACAGGGTTTCACTATCAGATCTTTTTTTTGGGATACACTGAGTTAAACATAGTGAAATGATTTGATTTGCTATGAGTGGGATCTATAGATCCTGTAACATGCGAATTTGCATCATGACCCCGCAGGAAAGACATGTGACCACTTCTCCATTTTTCTTTCTATAACCATGATACTGCCTTCTAAAGAACATTTTGCAGGACGTTCTTAGGAACGCACTTTGGGAAATGCTGTCTCAACGTGTTAGGATATTTGTGCTTTAACAGTGGAATCTGGAAACCAACAATTTTCAAGGGTTTCTAAGGGTCTAGTCTGGATGGCAGGGGAGATATTTAAGGCAAGAAAACACCCAAAACACACTGTGGTAGCCACATACTGGGGAGAGTGGGCCTGAGAACCTGCTTCGCTGTTTTTTTTTTTGTCAGCCCCAGTGGGACAGAGGCCATGGGAGAGAGGGAAAAAAGTGGCCATTTAGTCCTCATGTATTCCTTACAGAGGGGATGGTCATAGCTAAGGAGGTGCTGGGTTGGTGTCAAGGAAGTCACTCCCCAACTAGGAGCTCAAGATCCTGGTGGTCGGGTGGGAAATTCCTCTGCGAGGCTCTCAGGTTTGTGTTTTAAAGCTGTTCCTATAACCCTGGGGGTTCCAGCCAGGCAAGAGATTTTCAAAGGTTGCATGGAAGCTGAGAAGAATTGCACAAAACACGCCGAGCCCCAAAGGGAAAAATCACATTGTTGTTAAGGCATGGAGGCCAAATCCTGCCAGCTTGTACGCATCTAGGGCTGCGGCTGACGTCAGAGGCTGCAGGGTGTGTGCGAGCGCAGGGAGGGTTCGCCGTGCTGAGGCATGCCTCTAGCCAGCTGCTCCCAAGCTGCTGACCGCTCAGAAGTCGCTCTTAGCTAGATGCTCTCTCTTACTAAATGATGTACATATTTCATTTGGCCACCAGCTCTTTGCACAACATTTTTATCTGGACCAGCTTTCTGAGAATCACAGGGACAACCTCTGGAGTCTTGTGTTAGAAGAGGAGGCCTGGGGGAGTTTTTGGTGGCTGAGAATAACAGAAAAGAAATCCCTTTCTGTGAATTTGTGGAGAAGCGATTCTTAAACTACTTCTGTTTTGTAAGGATCTTTTCAGAAAGGTACGAGGGAACCATGACCAAATAGAAAGAGAAAAAATGGTCTATCTTTGATGGATATTTGAAAATTGTCACCAGTAATTTTTTTGGGAGGCCCATGATAAATACCTTTCATCCTGATAAATCTCAGAACTAAGAGTGTTGGCAGGAGTCTGTTTTTTGTTGTTGTTGTTGTTTGTTTTTGTGTTTTTTTGAGATGGAGTCTTGCTCTGTTGCCCAGGCTAGAATGCAGTGTCATGATTTCTGCTCACTGCAACCTCTGCCTCCTGGAAACAAGCAATTCTTGTGCCTCAGCCTCCCAAGTACTTGAGATTACAGATGTGCACCACCACACCCAGCTAATTTTTGTATTTGTAGTAGAGATGGGGTTTCGCCATGTTGGCCAGGCTGGTCTTGAACTCCGTGGCCTCTGTGATCCACATGCCTCGACCTCCCAAAGTGCTAGGATTACAGGTGTGAGCCACTGCACCCAGCCAGGAATCTGGTTTATTGGAGCTTCTAAGTCCTTTCCTTGTGTGCTCATCTCCAGGTTAATGGAAGTTGCCACATGTTTACACTTTTTAGTAGTCAACCTCTTTTTACCTAATTAATGATTCTTTGTATTAAATATTTTCTGCTCAATTTCCTTGTGTGACTTCTGGCTTCTTCATGAACCGTGACTGACACAGGTGATTGGCGACTTGGATTTTTATATTTTCCTGGTGGATGAACTCTTTCATCATGATGACATTACTGTCTTTATTTCCAGGAACACTTTTTGCCTTAAAGCCAAAGTTACTTTGTTTTATAGTAGTACAAAAAATCCATCTTTTTTTTGGTTCGTGTTTGCATGAAATATTTTTTTCTTTTTACTGTTGACCTTTCTATATGTTTACTTTTAAGACATAGTTCTTTGCAATTAGTATGTAGTTGGGTTTGCATTAAGTATAGTTTTTTTGTAATTAGCATATAGCTGGTTTTCATTTAAGATGTTTTTTGTAATTAGCAGCATGTGGTTGGGTTTTGTTTAAGGTTAGCTTTTTGTAATTAGCGTGTAGTTGGGTTGTGTATAAGGTGTTGTTTTTTGTAATTAGCATGTAGTTGGGTTTTGTTTAAGGGGTGTTTTTTTGTAATTAGCAAGTAGTTGGGTTTTGTTTGCCCTTGTTCCAGGGATCTTGCCTTTCTGGGGTTCCAACAGGAAGCTCAGATGTTACCAGGCCCCATCTCCTTGAGACCAGCAAAATCTCTGTTCAGCTTCCCAGCTTCGCATCTCCAACTTTCTGTTCAGTAGCCACTAGTCTCACCCAGAGGTGAGACTAACCCTAGAGGTTAGTCCCTCAAATTCTGGTCCCTCAAATTCTTGCTTTCTTGGTTGCCTTCCAATACCTTCAAACAGGTTTTTAAAAAGTCTAGTTTTTCTAGGATTGTTCTGAAGCAAGTTGTTCTTCTGTTGCTAGAAATGGAAACCTGGAAATATTCAACCGGCAAAAAATGTATTATCCTTAAGAAACTAGTAGCTCTAAGCATTTACCTTAAACAAAATAAGAGTAAGAAAGAAAAAGCAAATACAACACGAGCTCTTAAAACCCAAACTAGTGGCCCATAGCTTGGAAATGAAGACATGCAATGCCTGTTAAGAACTGATAAGGAATGATAGAATTGGATTCACAGGATGGTGAATACTGTGACATTATCTTGATTGAGATAAGGAAGGACATGAGGGGAAGTGGTGGTGTTTGATGGGGAGGACACTCAGCTCCCTTTCTTGCCACTACTGTGTTATGGCCTGGAAAAACTCATGGAACAAGATGGTAGCCAGAGCCCTCTGATACTAAGGAAGATGTAGGGGAATCCCTGCTAAGGTAAAACCAGATTAAATCTAGTTAATATTTAATTAAAATTTTTAACTAGATGGATAGTTGCGTCTTGGTGGTTGTATTTCTTTACATGCTGGTTTATATCATATTTTAATTTAAATTGCAAACAATTTTCAGTTATTTCACTACAGTATCTGGCATATAGATACCTTAATAGGCACTGGTGGGAGGAACGCAGTCAGCATAATTGGCAGTTAGCGCGTTATCCCTGCAATTCAGTAACTTAAGCAGGAGTTTGCTTCTAACGCTTTGGGGCTCTCACCCTTTAGTAAGCCTCATCTTTCAGTGGGAAGTAATGAAAATGTAGACATGCCATTTTAGGATAAGTTAATCAGGCTCCCTGGGTCTGGCCTGGCCCTTAATGACTAATCATGTAATGGTGGCTGTTAGGAGTGATGGAAAGCAAGAGACTAGCTTTGGGGTCAGATGACCTGGGATAGAGCCCCTCTCGGACACTCACCAGCTTCATGACTTGGAAAAGTTACTTAATCTCCCTGAGCCTCAGTTTCCTTACCGTACTGCTTTACAGGCCTACTGTGAGGAATGAATGAGACAAGGTATAAAGTACCCTTTGCAGTGTAAATTCTTAGACGTTAATTCTCCTCTTTGGCCCCTTTCCCACGGAGGCCATGCATTCATTGAGTCCTCGTGGGAGCTTATGGGTGTATTGTTTTCCAGCTGATGGAGGCAGGACTGACAGATTCACATCTGAAAGGTAATGCCATTTAGGTGGCTGTATAGAGCACCCTTGACATAACTAACTCATCTTAGAGAAAGTCTCCATGTTATATTTCATAGGGCACTTTGCCAACAAGGATAAGATGTTTTGCTTAATAAACAAATAAAATAATAAAGACTACATCCAACCAGATACGGACACAAACAAGCACACTCTTCCACTATCAGTTCTCACCAGAGGACTCTGACCATAAAAGAGTGGGCCTTCAGCATCTCGAAACGGCCGTCAACTGACAGCTGTCTTGCAGTCACTCCTGATAAGAACTCGGCATCTACCGCCAAGGACTCTTTCTGCCAAGACTGATCGCCCGGCCCAGACCCGGGATTCCTTTTGACGTCTTTGCTTCCCCGGGACTGGCTCGTTAGCCTTTTGTCCTATCTCTTTTTCTCTTGACGCTAAATGTTACCTTGTTTGTTATGTGGAAAGTTTAATCTGTATCATTTATATATTAACTTTACTATTATATGTGTTTTGCAATATTTGTAGCTGTGACTCCTGAGTGAACAGGAAGTACTAAGGAGAATTGCCTTCTTGGGAAGACCATGTAGCTCGTGGTTTTTGTGATTGAAATAGCATTAATAAAAGCCTGACATTGTGGAAAAACACAAGCATATGTGGACCTGTCTCTAACTTTGCATTATTCATGACAGTCCCTTAAAGGAGTCTGTTCCAAATTCAAGTCGAAGACAATTACTCAACAGAATATGCAAAGAACAAAGAATGAAGTTAGAGGCCATCTGCAACTTTGGTCTCACTGGGATGGGGGCAGAACTTAGGAACAAATGGGAAGGAACCCATGTCAGGTGGGTTCTTTTCTCATTCCTTTTGGCATCTCTGTTATTCCTTATGTGGTCTCAAATTGGTTCCTAAAATATGGTAAAGCCAGGATGGATATAAGGGAGAAAGCAGTGAGCTGGGGGATGCTTTCTGCCTGTGCCTACTGTTCTGACATCTGGTTATGAAATCATTCTAATAGCTAATGCTTCCCGAGCTTTTTCTATGTGTCAGGCAGTGTTTTACATATATTAACTGACTTACCCTCCGTCACATAGCTTTTAAGTGTCAGAATGAAGATTCATAGCTGGGCAGTCTGGCTCCAGAGCGCTGCTCTTAAACTCTGTTGCCTCTTTGTGTACGCATCTACTTTGTCTTCCCTGGCTGTTCCATGCAAACCTTGGTGAACATGCCCTAACTGAACTCTTCATCCTGCCTCCCAGACCTGCTCCTGCCGCACTTAGGATTTCAGGTGATCTCTCTTTCACCCGCATGGTTACCCAAGTTGAAGCCCCAAGAGCCCTCCTGGATCCCATGCTGGTCACTTCAGGCCTCACATTTAAACAATCACCTATTTGTATTGATCTGATCTCTCAAATTTGTCTAAAATCGGAACCTCTCCCCTCCATCCCCAGTGTCAATGCCTGCTCTGATCTTCTACCTGGACTATTGCATTAGAGAGCAGCCTCTGGAGGGGGCTCCCTGACTCTAGTTTTCCTGACTCTAGTTTTCCTGGCTTTGGTCTACTCTGCAGAGTGCACAGAAAGAACAGAGAAAATGCTGGCCTTTGCATGCAGTCTTCTGTTTAAAAAGCCTCTGGTAGTTGCAGTGAGCCAGCATCACGCCACTGCACTCCAGCCTGGGTAATGGAGCAAGACTCCATCTCAAAAATAAAAAAATAAGAAGCTTGGCCGGGTGCAGTGGCTCATGCCTGTAATCCCAGCACTTTGGGAGGCTGAGGTGGGTGGATCACGAGGTCAGGAGATCGAGACCATCCTGGCTAACACAGTGAAACCTCGTCTCTACTAAAAATACAAAAAATTAGCCAGGCGTGGTGGCGGGCGCCTGTAGTCCCAGCTACATGGGAGGGTGAGGCAGGAGAATGGCATGAATCCAGGAGGCAGAGTTTGCGATGAGCCGAGATCACACCACTGCACTCCAGCCTGGGTGACAGAGCAAGACTCCGTCTCAAAAAATAAAATAAATAAATAAAAAAGCTTCCGGTGGCCCCCTCTGACCCATGGAAGACACTAGAACCTGAAGAGTATCGACCCCAGAGTCAGATAGCCAGGAGTTGTGAATCCTAGCTTCACCATTTAATAAGAGCTTCTTGAAAAATCTCATGCAAAAATTGAGGATTACCAGAAAACCTACCCCATAGATGTTGTGAGTGTCAATTGAGTTCATATGTGTAAGGCACCGGGCATCATGTGTGGTGAGGAAGGACTCAGCAATTGTTGCCTGTGTTTTTTATTACACTATAAAGCTCAGAACCCTTAGCTTGCTTTATGTTTCTCTATATGGTATTTTCAGTGGAATATCTTGCATATCCCTATATATATTTTTTCATGTTTGAGCCACCCTAAACCTCATTATTCCAGGATTCATCAGTATTTAAACTTAGCATTTTTTTTCTTCTCTAGAATCTCCTTTTCCCCATTCTATGCCTAAGTAAACCATACGGAAGACGACAAGTGTGACAGAAACAAAGGATCCAGGAGTCATGAAGAATTCCAAGATGGCCCAGAATCTCCCTAGTTATGTTAGCATTTTTATTTGAAAGTGGCATAGGCCAGGTGCGGTGGCTCAGGCCTATAATCCCAGCACTTTGGGAGGCTGAGGCGGGAGGATCACTTGAGGTCAGGAGTTCGAGACCAGCCTGGCCAACATGGTGAAACCCCGTCTCTACTAAAAATATGAAAGTTGGCCAGGTGTGGTGGTGCACACCTATAATCCTAGCTACTGTAGTGGCTGAGGCATAAGAATCGCTTGAACCCAGGAGGCAGAGGTTGCAGTGAGCCAGGGTTGCACCACTGCACTGTAGCCTGGGCGACAGAGTAAGACACCGTCTCAAAAAAAAAAAAAAAAAGTAGCATAAGATGGAGGTACAGGGATGTGTGACCCTTTGTTACTGAAACACGAGGGGTTCAGTGTAGGTCCTGTTGCTCACTACACAGAAAGTCAATCACTGAGGCAATGAGTATTACCAGGGAAGAAAGTTTTAATCGGGTGTTTCAGCCAAGGAGATGGGAAATCGGTCTCAAATGTGTCTCCCCAACAACTAAAATTAGGGGTTTATATAGTGGAGAAAGAAATGTAACCGTGTGTGAGAGGTAAGGAAGAGGAGCTGGTCAACAGGCAGTGGGTGGTTGATTAGGCAGTTATGACAGGTGAGGGGTCTGGCATCTCATTGTCCAGATACTGTGATCTAGTGAGTTTCAGTTCCTTGATACTATTTGGCAGGACTGATGGTTGATTTCCTGAAAAAGGAACTCCGATAAAACAAAAGTAAACTTCTGAAGTTTTAAGACTGGAAGGTTCAATTTCTGTGTTTATTCAAAAGAAACCATACATCAATTCTATGGGACAATTGGGCCAGTTTCACCTCCTTTTTATTTCTTCACCTCGACTGACATGGAGTCTGAAGCTAAGCAGGGGATCAGTATGCACATGGACTGCTGAGAGGCTGCTCTTTCTCATGTTTAGTGTTGGTCACTGAATTCTGCCTCTGGTCCTTGGCTGTCTGGAGGAGCAACTGAACATGGACAAAAGGTAAAAAACTCATTAAAGAGGTGACAGATGTCACTCAGAGGAAATGAATACACCTTGAAGGGGGTATGTTTTAATCAGAGACAAAGAAGCTCTCCAGCAGTTCTAGAAAATGATAGCCAAGATTTGTTGATTATCATATGCCAGGCACTGTGCTAAACACCTCACATACATTATCTTTTTTTAATGTCAAAACAAACTTGTGAGGTGTTACTATTATTTTCATTTTACAAATGTGACACCAAGATTTAGGTAGATTGAGTTACTTGTTGAGAGTTGAACCCAGCTGTCTGATGACAAAGTCTATTATTATTTTCAGAAGTCTCTAAAATATCAGTCCTTCAAAACTCCATCTGGTCAATGGATCAATTGGGTTAGTGGTTTTTAAACTTTTGACCTTAGTCCACAGTAACAAATACATTTTCTTTCATGACCATGACTCATGACTCAGGACACACACACACTCTTATAACCTCTTTTTTTTTTTTTTTAAGAGAAGGTCTTGGTCTGTCACCCAGGCTGGAGTGCAATGGCATGATCTCAGCTCACTTCAACCTCTGCTTCCCAGGCTCAAGCAATCCTCCCACCTGAGCCTCCTGAGTAGCTGGGACTACAAGTATATGCCACTATGCCCAGCTCATTTTTGTACTTTTTGTAGAGATGGGGTTTCATCATGTTGCCCAGGCTGGTCTTGAACTACTGGGCTCAAGTGATCCACCTGCGTTGGCCTCCTCAAATGCTGGGATTACAGGTTTGAGCCATCGTACCCAGCCTGTACACTCATATTTACATGCCCGCATATGAAAAGTAAAACTGAAACAAAAGTTTCACAACTCAATAGTTGCACTTCCTATACGTTTTCTATTAAATTTTCATTTTATTGCAAAGAAAAGGCTTATTATAACCACCAAATTTGTACGTGGTAATTTGCACTTTGAAAGTCTTAGAATATTTTTAATCCTTTTTCAAATTATTGGATCCTTATGTTTCTGTATTTCTTGGAAATCCTTTTAGGCTTATCCCACCCACTAGTCATTCCAGGAAATACCTTCTCATCATATATATAGACATTTAGTATGACATGGTCATAAGATCTTAGAGTATTGTTTTGTAGAAATTGCTAAAAAGGTATTTTGTAAAGTGGATTTTTTTGTGTGTTTTGTAACAGGAGAATTTGCTTTTATTTATCTTATTACCAAAAGAAATTGTATTATACTGATCATTTCCATATGTATTTTTAAAGTTGCTTGGCTGGGTTGAATCTTTATTCTTTAAGTTACAAGGACATTGTATTCAAATAAAAGGAACAATCATAATATTATTAATTAGAGCAGTAAGGCTTTGGTTTCCATGCAAATAAGCATAATTGAAATAGAACTGAGTTTTTTTTAAAGTGGATTTTGAAACTGGTGGAAAAACTTGGAAAACAAATATCTCAAAGCTAAAGCAAATGCAATCTGTATATGTAAATGAGATTGATTAATTTTAGCAGGCAAATGAGAAAATCAATGATTTTCAAAATCGAGTAATTTGGTAACCATTAGTTTCATTAGTCTTTCTGTTTCAAACTTAATTATTTAAATATAGAACTAGATTGAAGTATAATTTATGGAGAAATCATCCTTAAATTAATTACATGCAAGCTTTCCCCTATAAATGGAAGAATTGAAGGTGAAATTATAAATGCTTATTGCAGAGCATGGAATCCTTTGGTCGTGGCTTGTTCGGGTTTGACTTGGGAGATGATGTGGAAATGGGAGTACACTAACTTTGACTCAAAGCAAGATCTGAATCTCAGCTTTGACTCTAACTGTGAGCTTTTAGGCAACTTTCTTAACTTCTAAAGGGCTTCACATTTCTTAACTATTATATTAGAGAATTATATCTATGTTGCAGAGCAATTGTACAGACTAAATAAGGAAATGTATGTGAAAATCTTAGCCTAGCGTCAGGCACACAGATAAGGCTTTTATTAGGAATGGTGTCCCCAAACCCCTCACCTTCCTGGGTGGATGGAGGAAGGCTTGGGTTCAGGAAATTCTGTGTTTCTGGGACTGCTTAGGGGAGAGTGCATGGTCTGCTGGCATTTCCCCATTAGTTAGCAGTATTCTTATCTATGACATTCTGTGGATCTCTCACAGCATCACTTCCATCAGGAAACCAAGATGGGCTTTAGCAGGTAGGTCCTTCGAATTGTTGAAAAGGCCAGAACAGCAGATGAGGTAGGGAGAAACTCATACATTTGGTTTTGTTTTTATTTCCCCATTGCAATGATTGGTTTTCCTAATATTTTTCATTTCCTCATCTCGCCAAATTGTCTCATTATGACAATCATGATAACCAATA
Organism: Homo sapiens; assembly: GCF_000001405.40. Classification (NCBI taxonomy): domain Eukaryota; kingdom Metazoa; phylum Chordata; class Mammalia; order Primates; family Hominidae; genus Homo; species Homo sapiens. Next base: position 11,947,219 of record NC_000002.12, read on the forward strand.
CTCATATGACACCTACTCAATGATTTTGTGGGATAACTAGGGTAGGTATTAGTCTGTTCTCATGCTGCTGTAAGGATATACCCGAGACTGGGTAATTTATAAAGGAAAGAGGATTAATTGACTCAGGTCCACAGGGCCCGGGAGGCCTCAGGAAACTTACAATTTTGGTGGAAAAGGAAGCAAATATGTCCTTCTTCACAAGATGGCAGGAGAGAAGAATGAGAGCTGAGAGAAGGAGGAAGCCCCTTCTAAAACCATCAGATCTCATGAGAGCTTACTATCATGAGAATCACATGGGAGAAACCACCCCCATGATTCGATGACCTCCCACTAGGTCCCTCCCACCACACATGGGGATTATGGGAACTACAATTCAAGATGAAATTTGAGTGGGGACACAGTCAAACCATATCAGGTATTATTATGGACATTATATAGATGAGGAAATAGAAGCTCGGAGAGGTTACATGGACTGCCCAAGACCATGCAGCTAGAAAGAGATTGAGATTCATACCCATCTGGAGTTTCCAAGTTTGTTTTATATATATACTATATATACTTAAATTACATTTAATTTTTAAAATTAACACATAATAATTGTACATATTCATGGGGTACATAGTGATATTGTGATACATATATAGTGTATAGTGATCAGATCTGGGTCATTAGTATATTCATCATTTAAAGAATTTGTCATTTCTTTGTTCATTCCATATCCTCCTTCAATACTCAATATCCTCCTGGCTATTTAAACTATTTAATATATTATTAACTATGCTCATCCTGCTGTGGTACAGAACACTAGAACTTATTCCTCCTATCTAGCTGTAATTTTGTGTCTTTTAACAAATCTTGTCCTATCCTCTCCCTCCTCCACCCTTTTCAGCCTTTCATATCCTGTTTTACTATTTGCCTCTATGACATAAACTTTTTTTTCTTTCTTCTTCTTCTTCTTTTTTTTTTTCCCGAAGTTTCGCTCTTGTCGCCCTGGCTGGAGGGCAATGGAGTAATCTTGGCTCACTGCAACCTCCGCCTTCTGGGTTCAAGTGATTCTCCTTCCTTAGACTCCCAAGTAGCTGGGATTGCAGGCATCTGCCACCATGCCTGGCTAATTTTTGTATTTTTAGTACAGAGCGGTTTTCACCATGTTGGCCAGGCTCATCTCAAACTCCTGACCTCAGGTGATCCACCCGCCTCAGCCTCCGAAAGTGCTGGGATTATAGGCGTGAGCCACCATGCTTGGCCAACATCAACTTAAAGTTTCCACATATGAGTCAGAACACGCGGTGTTTGACTTTGTGTTCCTGGCTTATTTTCTTCTAATATAATGTCCCCCCAGTTTCATCCATGAGCTTTATTCTTCTGAATCAAGCTTTGCCCTGCATGGATGCTGCTGGTGGGCCACAGGCAAGGCTTGGTGAAATGGTACATGTCATTGCAGGCCCTGCTGCACTGGGGGAGAGTGGCAGATGAGAATTGGTCTGATGTTAGTTGAAATTTCTTCTTCAGAGCTTAGCAGGCTGGTCAGCAGATGGAAGATCATTAAACTGAAGAGAACCATCTGACCCAAAAAGGGAAAGATCACCAGGGCGAACACAGTCAGGAGTCATTCACTTTCCCCAGCACAGTGAACCTAGAATAGCACAGAACAATTTTTAAAAAGTAGAAGACAATTGGAAGACTTATATGAGTTGATTTTAAGTCTTAACATAAAGCTACAATAATCCAGAGAGTGTGGTATTGGCATAAAGGTAAACATATAGATCAATAGAATAGAAAAAGAGTCTAGTAACAAACCCACACATAAATGGTGAATTGATTTTTGACGAAGATGCGAAGACAATTCAATAAGAAATGTTCTAATTGTCAATTAGAACAATTTACAATACATATGCACAACAATGAACTTCATTTCAACCTTTACTGTACACAAAAGTTAATCTAAAATGGGCCATAGACCTAAATGCAAAGCCTAAAACCATAAAACTTCTAGAGAAAAACATAGGAGAAATTCTTGGTGATCTTGGGATAGGCAAAGCTTTCTTAGATAAGACCCAAAAAGCATTAATCATAAAAGAAAAAATAAATAAATTGGGCACAGTAACTTCTATTTTTCAAAATATACTTTGAGAAAATGAAATAAAAAGACACACGGGAGAAACTATTCAAAAAATGTATATCTAATACAAATATTTGGAATATAAAACTCTTACAACTCAATAAGAATAAAAATTGACAAAAGACTTGAATATACACTTCAAAAAAGAAGAGATACAAGTGGTCAATAAACACCTGAAAAGATGCCCAACATTATTAGTTATCTTGGAAACGCAAATTAAAACCTCAATGAGACACCACTTCACACTGACCAAAATGATTAAAAAGGCTGACATTATCAAGTTTTTCTGAAGAGGTAGAGTAATCCAAACTTTCATAAATTACTGGTGGGATCATAAAACAGTTCAACCCTATTTGAAAAGAGCTGGACAGTCTCTCATAAAGATAAACATGCCCTGACCATATGACCCAGAAATTCCACTCCTAGATATTTACCTAACAGAAATAAAACCATATGCCCAAAGATTTATACACGAATGTTTCTAGATGCTTTATTCATGTTCATCAACAAACTGGAAACAAGTAAAATGTCCATCAGCAATTGAATGGATAAACAAACCGTGGTAAATTTGTAAAATAAAGCACTGCTCAGCAATAAAAAATAAAATACTGATAGAACAACATTGATGTACCTCCAGAACCTTCTCAGTGAAAGAATTCAGACACAAAAGATGCTATTTATGAGACATTCTTGAACTGCCAGATTAATCATTGGTGATAGAAATGAAACCAACCCAATAGTTCCATAGATTTTTTTTGGGAGGGGGGTAAACATAGAAATTAAACCTTATGTTAGTAAAAGGTTCTATTTGAGTTCCTTCCTCAGGAAATGACCTTCAGGCCTCTCAACCTACCAAATTTTGAGTTTCTAGTGAAACTCATCAGATCACCACATCCGGACAATGAGATGCCAGACCCCTCATTCATCATGATTGCTTCATTGCCCCTCCTTAGTTCCTGTTTTCTTACACATTGTTGCATTTCTTCCTTGCTATCAACACCCCTAATTTTAGCTGGTCAGGGAGATGGATTTGAGACTGAGCTCCCGTCTCCTTGGCTGCAGCATCCAATTAAAGCCTTCTGCCTTGGCAATACTCATCATCTTAGTCACTGGCTTTCTGTGTGAGGAGCAGCAGGGCCTAGATGGAATGCCTGGTGTTTCAGTAACACACAACCTATCAATGATAGGTGGGGTGCCAATGATTGGCTGAAAAGCAGAACAAAGGGAAATCCTGGGGTGGAGCACTCTACATCTTTTTGCCCACTTGTGTAGATACTGTCAAAACTCTTCAAACCATATGTGTAAAACATGAAATATATTGCATGTAAATTGTATCTTCACAAAAGGCAAAAAAATGGAAACTTTATGTATCAAAGAACAATATTAAGAGTATAAAGACAAACTACAAATGTATATTTTCAACATATATAATCAATGATGGTTTAATATCTAAAGACTTACAACAGATCAAAAAGAAAAAGACAATCTAAAAAAAGTGGGCAAAAAATAGAAGCATTTCAGAGGAAAGGAAATTTGAAATGGCCATAAACATATGCAAAGATGTACTATCTCATTAGAAATCAGGGAAATGCATATTACAAATTACAAGTAGATGCCATTTCACCCCTAGCAGACTGATAAAACTTAGTAATGAAGAATAGTAGAGAAAACAGAACTTTACGGTATGTTGTTGGGAATGTAAAATGTGTATAAACATGTTGGGAAAAAATTGGCATTATCTTTTCAGGCGGAGATGTGTAATATCTCTGACTCAGCAATTCCTCTTCCAGGTATACACAAAAGATACATTCTTGTTTGTGTGTACCAGGAGAACTGCAGAAATATATTCTTAGTAGCAATGTTGATAATAGCAAAAGCTGGAAACCACTCAAATATTCATTAAGAGGAGAATGCATAAATAAATAGAGGTTTTTTCATGTGATGGAATACTATGGCAAAATGAATTAACCACAGCTGCATGCATCAGTTACTGTGAATCTTAAGAAAACATGCTGAATGATAAAAGTAAGTTTCTGAAGAATATTAAGAGTATGATACTATTTGTATAACCTTCAGGCAAACAAAACTTTACAATTGTTTAGGGATAGATATTATTCAGTTACACTTTATATGAAAGCAAGGTACCAATACAATAAAATCAAAATTCAAAATCATGTTTCCCTTTGAAATGAGGGAGAGGTATACAGGGAGATTGAAGGGAATTGAAATAATCTATTTTAAACTTGGGTCTCCAGAACAATGGTGTTTTGTAATTCTAGATACATCATCTATGATGCATTTTCTTTTCTTTTCTTTTTTCTTTTTTTTTTTTTTTTTGAGATGAGTCTCATGCTGTCACCCAGGCAGGAGTGCAATGGCGCCATCTCGTGCAACCTCCGCCTCCCAGGTTCAAGCTCATGCCTCAGCCTCCCGTGTAGCTGGGACTACAGGCATGCACCACCGTGCCTGGCTAATTTTTTGTATTTTTAGTAGAGATGGGGTTTCACCATGCTGGCCAGGCTGGTCTCGAATTCCTGACCTCAGGTGATCTGCCCACCTTGGCCTCCCAAAGTGCTGGGATTACAGATGTGAGCCACCATGCCCGGCCTGCATTTTCATATTTTTTTGTGTGTATACAAATATTTTCATAATAAAACATTTAAATGGGTTTTTAAAAAGTTGAAACAATATTTATAGCATGTGAACTAGCATCCTACATAAGGCAGTACAGATACAAGTTAAATTATGAATGAGCTTGTGCTGGAAGAACATAAATGGGATGAATCCTTCAGTGACAGGCTAGAGGCCCTTGGTCTGCAAGGCTTGAAATGCCAGGCAGATGCCTGGGAATTGGAGCGGTGAGTGCTGGGTAGGCCTGAGGAGCCTGCAGCTCAAGACCCTGGAGTAAACCCGCACAGGGGCAGGCACTGTTGGGGGAGGCTTGGGGACCTTGAAAGCTCCCCCAGATTTACATGGAGAGATAGCATGGTGAGCAGCCCTGACCAGGGCTTGCCCTCATTTCCCTGGAGAGGCCACATGAAACGACCGAAAGTGGCTTGCTTGCCAGCCTTCGCAGATGAGGGGTTTCAATGATATTTTACTTGATTTCAAAAAAATAAGATATTTCTCGTACCTTGAGAGAACTGGCTTGGTTTCTACTCTACGCTAAAGAAAGGAATAATCAGCAATATGACTTTATAGCAGGATATTCATAACAGCATTTATTTTAATATCAAAAGTGGGGCTTTTATATCTAAGATATATATATTTGTATATACTTATATATAATTTTGTATGTAAGTACTATATATATTTATACATTATACAAGCACTATTACATATGTAATATATAAATACAAAATATAAAATACACAAGTATATATACATATGCAATATAAATTAATATAATTCAATAAAAATTGTATAAACATATAACTATATTGTAAAATATTTCAATTTATACATATTTAAATGTAAATGTAAACCCACTTTTTGATATAAATATTGTTATGAATGTCCTATTGTACCTTGTAAAATGCTCACTGATGTTGCTAGTGGCGAGACTATGGAATTTTAAAAAATCTTTCATGCTCTGACTTTCCCACAGAGCCTATGAAGACATGTTATTGCTCCTTAAACACTAAATTAAATATCTGGTCATTGATTCTAAGAAAAGCGCATGATCGCATAGACGCAGTGCTTGCGCCTCTTCATGCCCCTAGAGCTTCCAGTCTCATCAGGCAATTCGCAGCCACTGCTGATGCAGGTGAGGACGCCATAGCCATGGCATGAGGCTTCCACAGAGGGCGGCTTCCCACATGTGTGTGTCACTTCTGGTCCCAGTTTGGCTCCTGGGTGTTCAGGGCCCTTTTCACAAGCTTCAGTGACTCACCTTATACATGGCTCCATCATAGCACTTGCAATTTTTATAAAACAACGTAACTCAAAAGCTAAGGGTAAGCAAGCAACATTTCAGACCAAATTTTGATGTAGCTTATTTGAAGGATAAATTAATCATGCAGGCTCACCCGTTCTGAATAGCAATGATAGCAACAGACTTAAAACACGATGGTGCCACAGGTTTCCATGGGAGGCTGCCAGTGTGTGGGATGGGGGTGCCTTTGATGTCAGGCTGATAGGTTTTCTCTTCTTTTGATCTGATGGCTGGGGTCACTTTGAAGTGCTGAAGATGAAGAACTTCTATCTTAGGGACATTGTCTTCTGAAATTTCATGAGGTTAGATCTTTATTGCCAAAAGAGAGAGTCTTACTCCATGAAAAATACATGGCATGACTGTTGTGTGAGTGCCATGGAAAGAAATAAGAAGGAAGGAGAGGAGGGAGAGTGCAGTCCCATAGGTGAGATTTGCAGGCAGCAGGTGGGGCCAAAATAGAGGAGTGATTGAAGGAAAGAAGGCTGAAGGAAAGATCTGATGGAAGAATAAAGATGGAACAGACTGTGGGGTGCTCTATAAAGAAAACAATATAAAGAGTACCAGCTAATGAGTTAGACAATCAGTTTCAAATTCTATGACCTTGATTTAGTGTATTCCCATGTCTGCTAATAAAGACAGACCCAAGACTGGGTAATTTATAAAGAGATTTAATTGACTCACAGTTCAGCATGGCTGGGGAGCCCTCGGTAAACTTATAATCATGGCAGAAGGCAAAGCAAACACGTCCTTCTTCACATGGTGGCAGCAAGGAGGAGAATGACAGCAAAAGGTGGAAAAGCCCCTCATAAAACCGTTAGATCTCGCGAGAACTCACAATCACCAGAACAGCATGAGGTAACTGCCCCCATGATTAAATTACCTCCCACTGGGTCCCTCCCACCACACGTGGGGATTATGGGGACTACAATGCAAGATGAGATTTGGGTAGGGACACAGCCAAACCATATCAGTTACTTCACCTTTCTGAACATCCGTTTTCCCATCTGTTCGATGTTCATTCTGCCAACATTAAGCACTGACCATGTGTCAGCCCTGGAGATACAGCAATGAACAACACAGCAAGATCCCACACTTCATGGGATTTGCTGTTACTGAAATGCCAGGGGTTTGGTCTAGGTCCTGCTGCTTACCACACAGAAAGCCAATCACTGAGACAAGTTTTGCCAGGGAAGAAGACTTTTTGGGTGCTTCAGGTGAGCAGATGGGAGACAGGTCTCAAATCATCTTTTCAACTGACTAAAATTAAAGGTTTATGTAGCAGAACCAAATGTGGAAAAACAAGAATTAGGGAGAGGTAAGGAAGAGGCATTGGTCAATAGGAAGAAAGTGGTCAGTTAGGCAATCATGATGGATGAGGGTCTGGCATCTCATTGTCCAGATATGGTGAGCCTCAGTTTTTTGATACTATCTGGAAGGACTGACGGTTGGTTTCCTGAGAAAAGAACTGTGATAACACCAATATAAATTTCAAGCTTTAAGACTGAGAGGGTCAATTTCTATGTTTATTAAAAACAAAAACAAAAACAAAAAGCAACCCATAAAGCAGTTCTATGGGGACATCAGGCTAATTTCTTCAATGTCAAATTGGGAGGATGCACCAGTAAAGAGTGTGATGCTATGATGATTAGGGGAGTGTAAGGAGCCCTGAGGACGTGCAGCAGGGGAGTGGAGCTTGATGTTTTAAGTAAGACCCAAGAGAGGGGTAGGTGATAATCTATAACCCTTCCTCAGAGGGGCTATCATGATGGTTACATGAGATGGTATATGTGCAAAAGTCCAGTGTCAGCTGGTATCTAGTAAGTGACCCATGGGTATTATTATGATCAGATGAACAACTTGACAAATTATGGAACTAGAATAGCTACTAACAGATCATCTAGTCCTTTCTAGCTTTCTATAAAGGACTGGTGACTGGTACAGAGCTGATTGCCTTAGGAGCTGGGCGATGGAGAAGGGGGATTGTTAAAAATACAGACGGTTGGGTTTCACCCTGTGAAGATTCCAATTCAGTAGGTCTAGCTTGGGCACCTAGAAGTCTACATTTTAAAGGAATTTTCCAGGTGATCCTGATGTAGCCTACCAGTTCCTCCTAACTCCAAATTAGAGATGGAGAGATTGTGATTCAGAAAGGGCGAACTTGAGTAACTTGGGCAAATGCCCAGAGAAATTGAATATTACGTAAATGTGACCATCTGCAATTGAGGTTTGAGCAGTGCCTGATGCTACACACCCTTGGGACAACAGGCAGGAGGGAGGAAAAGAGGAAAGTTAATTACAACATGTTTAAGCCACTCTCAGAGCTCTGGGGGAGGGAGACCTACTGGGTGACAGCTAGCAGAGGGTTTTGTTAGGGGGTTAAGAGAGTAAGAATAGGTAAGAGGAAGACCCAAGGAGTTCTGATAGCACAGGTCTGAGGAGTGTTTGAGATAAGCATTCCCTTATTTTCACCTTCTAAGCGTCTTCTGAGTGTCTTGAGGTTGCCAGCCGAGGAGCTGATGTGAAACCATCATGATTTTATCAGTGTTTGAGGCAAGAGCAGGGCTAGGGTGGGGTAAGGGGTAGCTGGGCTGCTGGAATGACTTTTGGGCTTATTCTCCCTTGGCTGCCAGAGAAATTGGAAAGCCAGGCTGGGAAATTGCCTTGCAATCTCTTTCTCTAATTCAATTCCGCGTTGATATCCAGTATGTCAAATCGCTGTGCAGATGAGATGACAACACGGCAATTGTGTCCTTGTCACAGTCTGTTATTTTCAAATGTGTGTGAAGATTCGTAATTGTGTTGACACCCATTAAGTCTCCCTCCCCGGGCAGCTCCGTGAGCGGCTTAAACATGCTGTAATTAAGTTTCCTCTGTTCCCCTCCTGCCTGTTGTCCCAAAGATGTGTAGCATCAGGCACTGCTCAGACCTCGATTGCAACAGTCACATTTATGCAACATTCAGTCAGCTGGACATGTACTCCTTTTTCTGCCTGTGCCCACCCTTGGCCCTGGTCATGTGAGGGGAGTATAGGCTGATTAATTTAAAATGACAAAATCTTTTGGATAAGTGCCATGCTCTGATTGGCTGAGAAGACTACCAGCACTGTCTCCATGATTTCTGGCATATATTGTGCTAATAACAGTCCGTTCTACCGCTGACTGATAATTTAAACAGCCAATTCGGTCTTGCTTGCTGAATTAATCGAAATGGAATAGGGCAAGCTTGTGAAGAGTTTCACCTGCTCCTTGCTGAACAAGATTGGCAATAAAAGACTTAAGGGTGAAAGTCTACCGGACTTCCATTAAATATAATATGCAACACAATTATATCCTTCCTTCTGATTCAAAGCAGTATTAAATACAGACCCAACCCCATCATAATCATCTCTAACAGACCATCTAAACATCTTTTGTTTTTGTAAAAGCAAATTTGAAATTTCTATAATTGAAAAGGGAATGCTTGGTTAGGTTATAGACTTTTTTTTTAAAATTGGAATTTAAAAATGCATCTTTAGGTTGTAAGTAGAGTTTTGTTGATGCTTCATTCAACTGCATTTCATTTCTACAGTTGCCACAATAGTATCAACTGAGGAAAAGAACAATGTGATATTTAGGAAATGCTAAATTTATGGTAGGAAATAATATTTAATATCATTAATGATAATATTAATTCCCATTACTATATATTTTCTTTCTTAGACCTTCCCTTTGCACATGTGGTAGATGCTTATCTTAACTTATATAACTTTATTCTTTGAGTAGCACTGTGAGATAGGTATTATTTTATATGTGGTTTAGTGAGTTGAATAACTTTTCCAAGGTCAAAGAGCTAGAAAGTGTTAGAATTGGGAGACAACCCAGGCCTGTCTTCAAGTTCATGCACTTTAAAAAAAAAGATAATAAAACCATGGTGTGGATATTTCAATTTTCAAAATATCCCTCCTATTCCCTTATAGATGGAGCAAAATTTTTCCTACTTTTTTTCTTCATACTTCGTCTCCTTAGTTCTAAAATACATCATAAATCCAATTTTTTAACAGAAAAATAAGCTTTTCTACTGCATTATCTGTACATATTAAGACTGCCCAACTTCATAAATACAAAACTGTTAATATTATGATTTTACAGCATGTCCTCAAATCAAAGAAATACAGTAAAGCCTGCATGTGTCAACACTGCTGGGCGAGGAGCTTTGAATTCTCATCTTCGGTTACTCTAAGGTTGTGAGAAACAGTAAAGAGTTTCCATTGTGAGAGTGACTTGATCTGATTTGTGTCTTAGAGGATTACCTTGCAGTACAGAGGGAGGCTGGAGACAGGTAGGCTGACTAGGTGGTAGCCACAGCCCAGGTGGAAGGTGAGCCCTGACCTGTGCTGCAAAGGAGCAGATGGATGTGGCTGTGTGAAGGAAGTAGAGTGGGCAGGATGGGGTGATCCATGACTCTGGCTGGAAGCCCATGGGTGGGGTCCCTGGGGAGGACTGACATGGGAGAGGAGGAGGAAGGGTGGAGGCTTTTCCAAGATGGAGTGAGACCTCTGGGTTCACACTTCTAGCACACTGCTCTTTCTACTGCCCACCACGGAGGAATGAGGTCTTGGAGGCTTTTAGGATGCTGAGCAGATCCCTTTAGATTTGACAAGGTATGCAATAGGAAGCAAACTTCCAGGGAGCAATTATTTACAGGCGAATCTTGATTTGATAAGGAGCAGAAGACTATCAGTTGCATTTTCTCTGCTATCCCTTTAACTCTCAAGCCCATTCTGATTTTATGGTCCCCTAATTAACTAGACAATTAAACAAATGTAAATAGCCATTTCATTCATGCAGCACCATGCTTTGGTGCTGCCTTTATGTTCAGAGTTCTCATTAGTAGCCCAAGTTATTTCTCATTTACATGCAAGGACTCAATGCTCGGAGAACTGCAAAAAGTAGCTCAATTTCTCACAAAGTTAAATTGATGATGCTGTACCTGAAAATGGTATATATGTATGATTTTATTGTTCCCTCAAACATTATGCTAACAATACCTTCCTGTGATTATGACTGATGATTTGTTAAATGATTTGCATTCATTTAATGCATTTTTGTTAAAGAGTATATCTACTACTTTATTAATACTATCATTTTACTACTATTATCATTTTCCTTTTCACCATTTGTTTTTCTATCTGCTGGGGCCAGGAAAAGAGAGTCAAGGTGATGGCTCCAGAAATTTCATAAGATTCCCCACCTTCCCATTTTGGAAGCCGAAATGACACCTTAGTCAATGGTAGACACCTTAGAAAATGGTAGTGGAAGTACATTTTGAATGCAAGGTTCCAAGTAGAGATCTGAGACTTGTCGACTCTTGGTGGCAGCATGGGCTTCTGTAAAATACACAAACTTTAGAGTTGCAAGAAATGGGTTTAAGTACCAGCTCTGACTTTCATTAGCTGGGTGACCTTGGCCTGTTTCCTACTTTTCTATTGACTTATATGAAAAATGAGGAGGGATTCTACCTTCCTTATTTGTTGGTGTGAGTATAAATGAGACATTCCATGTACAAGTATTTCGTAAAATCCAAAGTGGTCTAAAACATATCACTTCATTTCACATTTATTAATTTTTTTTACTGAATTGATTTTTCTTTCAATCATGTCCTACCTTAGACTGTACTCATTTCTGCGCTATACTCATGTACCACTGGAGGTGTACTTCTATCATTCGTTCATGCCTTCAACAGATATGCATTGGGTATTTGTTATCAGACACTGTGTTAAACACTTAGCCCTCTGTACTGAAATTATTCAAGCATTTTTTGAAGAGACTACTTGCTTTTTGAAGGCAGGGATGCATTTTTCCTATTTTTGAAGGAAAGGAGTATCTGTTTGTTTCTTGAAGTCAAGGAACTCTGTATCCTAGCTCTTTGCAAAGTGTCTGATGTACCATAAATATTTATCGAATTGAACTGAGACCTACATCCCTCTCATGAGCCCATGTCCAGTCTGATTATGTTATATAACAGTAAAGGGAGAGGAAGAGGATTTGAGAAGCCTAGGGACTTAACATGCTTTAACATATTCTTAACATGCTTACATAATCAACGATAGCAACAATATTAGAATATATCTGTTTTTAACAAATGAATTCTCATTCTTTGCAGCATTAGCACTGTGTCCTGTTTGGACCTCTTGCTTCCCTAATCCTTGCCCATTCTCTAGTTTTGTGCTTGTCCCAGCTTCACACCTAGTGAGTGATTTTTCTTTCTATGAAAACTTGTCTCTCCGTTCTGGGGTGGTACCTCCATAGATGCACCACTTGGAATAACCCTGCTTGACTACAGACCTTCCAAGCCCTGTGCCCTGGGCTGGTAAGCAACTTCAGCAAAGTCTCAGCATACAAAATCAATGTGCGAAAATCGCTAGCATTTCTATACACAAACAACAGGCAAACCAAGAACCAAATCATGAATGAACTCTCATTCACAATTGCTACAAAAAGAATAAAATACCTAGGAATACAATTAACAAGGGAAGTGAAGGACCTCTTCAAGGAGAACTATAAACCACTGCTCAAAGAAATCAGAGACACAAACAAATGGAAAAACATTCTATGCTCATGGATAGGAAGCATCAATATTGTGAAAATGGCCATATTGCCCAGAGCAATTTATAGATTTAATGCTATTCCCATTAAACTACCATTGACATTCTTCACAGAATTAGAAAAAACTATTTTAAAATTCATTTGGAACCAAAAAGCCCCAATAGCCAATACAATCCTAAGGAAAAAGAACAAAGCAAGAGGCATCATGCTACCCAACCTCAAACTATACTACAAGGCTATAGTAACCAAAACAGCATGGTACTGGTACAAGAACAGACACATAGACCAATGGGGCAGAATAGAGAACCCAGAAATAAGGCCACATACCTACAACCACCTGATCTTCAACAAACCTGATGAAAGCAATGGGGAATGGATTCCCTGTTTAATAAATGGTGCTGGGAGTACTTGCCAGCCATAAGCAGAAAATTGAAACTGGACCACCTTCCTTATGCCATATACAAAAATCAACTCAAGATGGATTAAATACTTAAATGTAAAACCCAAAACTATAAAAACCCTAGAAGGAAATCTAGGCAATACCATTCAGAACATAGGCACAGTTAAAGTTTTCATGGTGAAGATGCCAAAAGCAATTGCAACAAAAGCAAATATAGACAAATGGGATTTAATTAAACTAAATAGCTTCTGCACAGTAAAAGAAATTATCATCAGAGTGAACAGAAAATTTACAGAATGGGAGAAAATATTGGCAAACTATGTGTCTGACAAAGGTCTAATATCCAGCATCTACAAGGAATTTAAATGAACTTGTAAGAAAAAAACAACCCCAATAAAAAGTGGTTGCAAATGACATGAACAGACACTTCTCAAAAGAAGACATACATGCGGCCAACAAACATGGGATAAAGCTCAATATCGCCGATCATTAGAGAAATGCAAAATCAAAACCACAGTGAGATACCATCTCACACCAGTCAGAATGGCTGTTATTAAAAAGTCAACAGATGCTGGTGAGGTTGTAGAGAAAAAGGAATGCTTTTACGCTATTGGTGGGAGCGTACATTAGTTTAACCATTGTGGGAGACAGTGTGGTGATTCCTCAAGGACCTAGGGGCAGAAATACCATTTGACCCAGCAATCCCATTACTGGGTATATACACAAAAAGGAATAGAAATCATTCTATTATAAGATACATGCATGTATATGTTCATTGCAGCAGTATTCACAATAGCAAAGACATGGAATCAACCCAAATGCCCATCAATGATAGACTGCATAAAGAAAATGTGGTACATATACACCATGCAGCCATAAAAAGGAATGAGATCATGTACTTCGCAGGGACATAGATGGAGCTGGAAGGCATTATCCTCAGCAAACTAATGCAGGAACAGAAAACCAAATACCGCATGTTCTCACTTATAAGTGGGAGCTGAATGATGAGAACACATGGACACATGGTGGAGAATAGCATACACTGGGGCCTGTAGGAGGGTGGGGGTGTGAGGAGGGAGAGCATCAGAAAGAATAGCTATGAATGCTGGGCTTAATACATAGGTGATGGGATGATCTGTGCAACAAACTACTATGGCACATATTTACCTATGTAACCACATCCTGCACATGTACCCCTGAATTTAAAAGTTGGAAATAAAAAAAGAATACTATAGCCTTAGAAAAGAATGAGATCATGTCCTTTGCAGCAACATAGATGGAGCTAGAGGCCATTATCATAAGCAAACTAACATCAGGAACAGAAAACCAAATACCTGTTCTCACTTATAAGTGGGAGCCGAATATTAAGTACACATGAATATAAAGAAGGGAACAACAGACCATGGAGCCTACTTGAGGCTGGAGGGTGAGTAGAGGGAGAGGGTTGGAGAACTGCCTGTTGGGTGCTACGCCTATTACCTAGGTGACGAAGCAATCTGTACACCAAGCCCCTCAGACATGCAGTTTACCTGTGTAACAAACCTGCACATGTACCCCTGAATGTAAAATAAGTGAAACAAGTATGAGATTTGACATTTGTTTATGATCAAGCTTATGATCTTGACACTTGACCTTAGCCAAAAGGCCGAGAGGTGATGGGGATGATGATGTTATTGGAGAGATGAAACATGAATTCAGGAAGATTTGTTAGGCCTCCATAAGGAAGTGGTATGATGTGGTGGAAATAATTAAGGTTGGGGGTTTGGCGGGGAGAGAAAGAGTGAGAGAGATCTGTCATCTGAGCTCTTGTCTGTTTCTTTCACCAACTCTCTTTCTTATTTAGGAAACTCAAATGTCCCCTAAGGTCATAGTTATACTTTTATCTGTTTCTGTGCAGTGGGTTTCTTGATGATTTCATTTGAACCAAAGTTTGCTGCTGCCTCTGAAAAATAGGGTTTAAAAAACACTCAACAATTATTTTGTTAAATAAGCTTTCTGTGCCCCTCTCGGTCTCTCTCCCTTTGAAATACTCACAGTGTGAAGATTTGTTTACTTAATGATGTCCCATAAGTCCTGTAGGCTTACTATTTTACTTTCTATATACCTTCCATAGCATTATGTTGTAAACATGTATTTTATACAAACAAACGAACCCACTCAATTGCTAATATCCTTTTAGTTTGAATGGTCCACTCTTTTATGAGATGTCTCAAGAGAGCAAGTTTCATTTAGTCTTTCTTGACCATAGCATGAGATGTCATACGTCCTTAGCACAAGCCACATATTTGCTAAGTGCTAAATAAGCAGCTAGCTTCTTTCTTTCCTCCCTTTTTCCTCCTGCCAACTTTTGCCTTTTCCTTTTCTCTCTCACTTCTTCAGGCCTCCCTTTGATAGTATGGCAGAGCTCATCAGGATCTTTTGGTTTCAACTTAAAATCCAAGAAATTCCACCTCTGACCTGCAGATAGTGGCTCTAGGCAAAGCCAAAGCAAAATTAACCATGAAGCCTTGAGTTTGGCCAAATTGAATTATTTGGCTCTGCCAGTATCCAGGAAGCTTCAATCTCCACTTACCACTGAAGGTCCTCATGAGCACATGAGTGAAGTGTGTCTTGGAATAAGTCCTATCTCCTGGACATTTTGGCTTCTGTGGCTGGTGTCCTGAGTTGGCCTCCCTGGGACCGGCACTTTTACTCTTTCTCTTTCGGCCTCTGGTCTGAACTAGTCTGGGCTGCTTGGATTGAAGTGACTCCTCCAATTTCCCCCATAAATGTGGCCTGTTGTTATGAGCTGGTTATTCAGCCCTTTGAATACGGCACAAATGTTTTTCATCAGTTATAACAGTGAAACCCTGGCCATTGGAAAGGTAATAAAATCTCTGACCCAAGGAAAGAATGTTTCGCACATACCTAGCAACCAGAGCGAACTCATAAAACGTTCATTCCAAGGCAACACCATTCATCTTTGCGTATCTCCCTGTGACTGCTGCCATAAAACTTCACTCTAGAGTAGACGTCCCTACAGCTTTATAGGGATGAAACTTCCAGAACTCTTCACTTAAAATGCACGTCGTTTAAAGATTCTCTTCTTTTGGAAACCATCATTTGTCCCCCCATTTTTCCATCTCTCACTTGCCAGGCTACCAGATCTTTCCTCCTTGTCCTTTATCTCCTATTCATTCTCATCAGGCTGTAAGGAGGAATCCTGAAAAGAGGCCAGTTGGAACCGCGTCCAGCAGATCTCAGGGCAGAGGCAACTGATCTCGTGATAGCTAAGAAGCTGTGGACTGTGTAAATTGAATATTTAATAAATATATTAGGGCTTTGAAATGTAATGTGCTTGATTTAGTAAAAAATGTGCTGAGCTTAGAAACCAGGGAAGAAAGAATCACCTACGAGGCACATATCACCTTTTCAAGTCTCCTCCTGCCACCTTGATGAGGATACACCAATGCATACATATTTTCTCCAGTTTACTATAAAACTGAAGAGTTTTCTGCCTCCTAGTAGGAAAGATATCAAGACTACTTATTACGTAGAACACTCATCTCGAATGAGAGAAAGCCTGATGGCCAAGGTTTTGAAAAGTCTCTTCAAAGAAAATGCACTGAAGAAGAAAGGCACCAGTAATATTTTAAATTAACTTCAAACATGAGACGTTTCAGAGAGGAATATTTTTAGGAGGAAATAATACTTTGATATTTCATTGTAAAAAAATAATTGCTAGTTGATTGTTTTCCTGAGCAAGTGTTTCTCCTCTGCATGGCTTTCTAATTTTTGCCTTTTTTGAGAAGGTGACTGGGCCTGTACAGACATGCAAGGCAAAGGGCAGTTTCTGACAATGACCCTAAAGTAGGTGTATGGTTACGGCCATTATCCAACCCAAAGAAAACATGTGGCTCCTGCCCTATCAGGGATGATGGAACAGAGTATGTAACCATGCCCAGAGGCACCTTGGCATCCCTTCCTTTAAATCTCTATAAACATCCCTTTATTTTAGTGAAGTGATGCCAAAGAAAACTCATTAGAGAAAAAGTTTTAATTTTGATAAAGTCCAGTATATTATTTTTTTTTTCTTTTATAGATTGTGCTTTTGATATGTATCTTTCCCTAGCTCCAGGGCACAAAGATTTTCTTTTATGTTACTTCTAAAAGTTTTACAGTTTTTGATTTTATGTTTAAGTTAATATATTTGAGTTAATTTTTTACAAGGTGTGAGGTTTAGGTCAATATTCATATTTGCATATAGATTATCCAGTTGTTCTAGCACCATCTACCAAAAAGACTACCCTTTCTTGATTGAATTGTTTTTTCACCTTTGTCTAAAATTAGATGACTATATTTGTGCATCAATTTGTGGTCTCTTTATTTTATCCCATCGATCTAAGTGTCTCCTCTTTCACTCATACCACACTATCATAATTACCATACTTTTGTAATGAGCCTTAAAATTGGGTAGTGTAATCATTTCAACTTTATACTTTTAAAAAAAAACAGTTTTAGCTTTGCTCGTTCCTTCGCCTTTTCATATAAATTTTAGAATCAACTTGTCTGTATCTACAAACAAGTTCTGGGATTTTGATTGATACTTTGTTAAATCTGTAGATCAATTCTGAGACAACTGTTGTCTTTACTACACCGAGTCTTCCAAACCATGAACACAGGATGTCTCCCCATTTATTTGTGTCTTTTTTGATTTTTTTCATTAGAATTTTGTAGTTTTTAGCATACAGATCCTATAGGTCAGGAGTTTGCAAATTATGACCTAGCAGTTAAATCTGGTCTGTGGCCTATTTTGTGGGACTAGTGAGTTAAGAAGTTTCTAAAAATCCTCAAAATAAAACAAAACAGAACAAAAACAAAGAACATTCAATAGAGATCATAGCAGCCTGCAAAGTCTAAAAAGTTTACTATGTGCTCCTTGCAGAAAGTTTGCAGACTCCTATTGCAGATGACTTGTTAGGTTTATATCTAAGTATTTAACTTGTTAGGTTTATATCTAAGTATTTAATTGGGGGGGCAGCTATTATAAACTTAAAAAAACTTTAGTTTCCAATTGTTGATGAGTAGTATACAGGAATCTGATTGATTTTTGTGTGTTGGCTTTGTGTCCTGTGGCCTTGCTAAATGCACTTACTAGGTCTAGAAGTTTTTTAGTGTAGAAAATTATTTCTTATGAAAATAAGTGCAGTTTTATTTCTTTCTTTCCCATATGTAGGCCTTTTGCTTCTTTTTCCTGCCTCAGTTCACTGGCAAGCACTTACAGTGTGATGTTGAACACTAGTGAGGATGGACACCTTTGCCTTGTTCCTGATCTTTGGGAGAAATTACTCAGTTTTCACTGTTAACTGTGATGTGAACTGCAGGTTTCTTGTAGATATCCTTTCTCCGGTTAAGAAAGTTTCCTTTTATTTCTAGTTGCTGAGAATTTCTATTATGAATAGATACTAAGTTTTGTCATATGCCTTTTCTGCACCAACTATATAATCATTTGGTTTTTCTTCTTTAGACTGTTAGATGATTACTTATTGAACAAGCTTTGCATTCATAAAATAAACCCCACTTGGTCATGGTGTTTTTTTTGTGGTAGATTTATTTAATTAATTAATTTATTTTTAAGACAGAGTCTTGCTCTGTCACCTAGGCTGGAGTGCAATGGCGTGGTGCAATCTCGGCCCACCCACAGTCTCCGCCTCCTGGGTTCAAGCGATTCTCCTGCCTCAGCCTCCCGAGTAGCTGGGATTACAAGCATGCACCACCATGCCCAGCTAATTTTTGTATTTTTAGTAGAGCTGGGGTTTCACGATGTTGACTAGGCTGGTCTCAAACTCCTGACCTCACGTGATCCACCCACCTTGGCTTCCCAAAGTGCTGGGACTACCGCATGAGCCACCACACCCAGCCGATTTGTTAATATTTTGATGAGGATTTCTGTGTCTATGTTCAAGAGGATTATTGGTCAGCAGTTTTCTTTTCTAATCCTGCCTTCATCTGATTTGACTATCAGGGTAACGCTGACCTCAGAAAGCGAGGTATGAGGCATTCTGTCTTCTGTTTTCTGGAAGACAGTGTGTAGAACTGTTGTTTCTTCTCTAAACGTTTTTTTAAAATTTATAAGGGACATCTTTTGGGGCAGGATTTTCCTTTTATGGAATGTCTTAAACTGTGAATTTGATTAATGTAAGAGGAAAAGAATCATCGCTTACACTTACCCAGATCTCTTACCCCTAAGACTCTTTTACAAAGAACTAAGATACCTTCCTGAAAGCTAAATTATAAAACCAACATAAGGAGATCAGAAGAGGGTGATGCATAATCACTTCTAACAGAAAAATGTTTCTTGGGTCTAAAAGACTTGAAGTAACTCAATTGAACGTGTTAGCCTTCCCTTTTTTTTTTTTTTTTTGAGGCAGAGTCTTGCTCTGTGGCACGAACTGGGCTCACTGCAACCTCTGCCTCCCAGGTTCAAGTGATTCTCCTGCCTCAGCCTCCTGAGCAGCTGGGATTACAGGCATGCACCACCTGCCTCGGCCTCCCAAAGTGCTGGGATTACAGGTATAAGCCATGTGTTAGCCTTTCTAAGAGAAGGCAAGAGGCCATAGAAAGGACCCAAAGAAGCAGATGAGCTGTGGAGACAAACTTCACCAGTGCTGTGGGAGGACAAACTTGTCTTGGATGCTTTGAAAGAGGTGTTCCATTGAATTCTCTTGTTCTGATTCCATGTTCACCAGTAGACCTTCGGATCATAATTTGGCTTCCCGTGTGCTTTCAAGTGAACAGTGGAAATGCTGTCGACCTTGAGGTTGTATCACAATCTAGTCCTTATTTAAAAAGTTTATATTCTGGCTTTTCCCCAGTTTAGTGAGCTTGGGGAATGTGATTTCACCCTAAGAAACTGATGTTTGGTGGGCCAAAAACAATGCCATTATTGTAAAAAACCACCACTACCACCACCACCACCAACAACAACAAAACTCTCATACCTAAGCCTTAGATTATACTATTTTTTTTTTTTGAGACGATGTCTCGCTCTGTCGCCCAGGCTGGAGTGCAGTGGTGTGATCTCGGCTCACTGCAACCTCCACCTCCCGGGTTCAAGCAATTTTCCTGCCTCAGCTTCCTGAGTAGCTGAGATCACAGGCGCCCACCACCACGCCTGGCTAATTTTTATATTTTTGGTAGAGATAGGGTTTCACCATGTTGGCCAGGCTGGTCTCAAACTCCTGATCTCAGGTGGTCCACCCACCTTGACCTCCCAAAGTGCTGGAATTACAGGCATGAGCCACCGCAACTAGCCAGATTATAGTACATTTTTGAAGTGAATATTACTCTATGTTTACTCTTCTCACCCTTGGACACAATCATATACTGCTCAGCTTTGTCTGGGACCAACCTTTTTCCTTACTCTATTAAACTTCTCTAGGTAGCATTAACATCACTTTTCAGATGGAGAAAAAATGCTTAGGGAAGTTAAATGATTCCTTAAAAATCACTGTGCTATAGTGAAGAAGATTTAGAATCCAAGTCTGCCTGAATTCACACCTCATGCAGTTTCTCTGTTAATTTAATTTCTTTCCTGTTCGGGCCCAGTATTTCTCTTACTATAGCCTTATATTACTTACATTAAATATTCAGTAGTTAGTGTGCTGCCTCCAGATGTATTTCCTTACAAATAAATACTTCTGTAGAGGAAAGAGCAATTGCCATATTTGTGACCACGAGCAAGACTGTGTCACCAGGTATAAGAAGGTAATGCCCAGGGCATGAGAATGAAAGGCATTTTCAGATGAGTGTGCAAAGTGCAGTGTTTGGAGCATAGTAGACACTCAGTCACTCCTAGTTCTTTTCTTTACGGGGACAGTGGTGTAGGGAGATAAAGGACATAAGCCAAGGGTTCTCTGGGGGTGAAAACCACAGGGACGACTTGCTGCCTAAAAGCTGCTTGGAAATCATCCATCTCCCATGAGCTGTTTCTCCCTTCGAGTGAGAGGGCCAGCCCAGACAGATAAGAAGCAGCAATCTGTAAAAACCATCTGCAAGTGCCGACAGGACTTTGGCAAGGAGGCAGGCTGGGATCTGTTCTTACTAATCTGTAAATCCAGCTTTCAAAACGGATCCCCAGGAGGCCTGGGGGTGGCTTAGAATATTCTGTGGGTCAATTTCAGGAATAAATGAAAGAGTATGTTGACGGGCAGGAGGATATGTCAGCTGGAACCACTTCAAGGGACATTGTTTGGGTCTCAGCTCAAATGTTACCTCTTCAAGAAAGCTTTACT
This sequence comes from Homo sapiens, assembly GCF_000001405.40. Classification (NCBI taxonomy): domain Eukaryota; kingdom Metazoa; phylum Chordata; class Mammalia; order Primates; family Hominidae; genus Homo; species Homo sapiens. The sequence continues at coordinate 11,968,532 of NC_000002.12, forward strand.
TGACAGGTGACCATCCCTGAATGACGTTTCCCTATTTATATATTTTATAGATCAGCCATCTGAATGCTATTTAGATGGTCAAATCCCTTCCTAGCTGGGATATAAGCTTCATTTGGGTACGGTCCTTGCTTGTCTTTTGTTGCTCCACTGCAGTTGCCTAGAAGAGAGTCTGGCACGTGGAAGGTTCTCCATGAATATTTATTTGTTGCCGGATTTAATGAATAAATGAATAAGTAACTGAATTAATGAATGGGCAGAGAAGGTGGTGAGGATTAATGAGAAACCATGGTGAGTAGAAGGAGCCAGTGTTTGGAAGTATACAGATGGGATCCCAATCTTGATGCTAAACTAACTGGATGTATGACCTTAACCGTTCTGACTTTCAGTTTCTGGTCTATAAACCTGTGTTTCATAGAATTATAAGGATTAAATGGCAAAACAATCCAGGTTCCCTACCATCTGCAAAGTGATTGGCATACAGGCTGACATGTAGGAGCAGTAATCAATATTCATGTCACTGACTTCTCTCCAAATACGTAAGCTCCCAGAGCTACACGTATACCTTGTGATAGGTAAGATTGAATTCAATATTCAGTTTTAGTGTCAAATGCTAAGCACAGATGATCTGGAGATAAAGTTCAGAATCTGCCCTCAAAATGCTCATAGTACCAGCTGCTTAGAAACATACAAGTCAAGTTTGTTCTGAGCAAGGAATATGGGGTGGCATCTCCCTCATTTCTTTTATGATGTTTAAAATGGATATATAATATTTGTGCATATTTATGGGGTACATGTGATATTTTGTGACATGCACAGAATGTGTAATAATCATGTCAGGGTATTTAGGGCACCCAACACCTCAAGTATTTATGGTTTTTATGTTTTGGGAACATTTGATTTGAAGTTCTCTCTTCTAGCTATATACAGTACATCGTTGCTATCCATAGTCACCCTACTCTGCTATCTAACATTAGAACTTATTCCTTTTATTGAACTGTATGTTTGTGTCCGTTCATCAACCTCTCTTCATCACCACACCCCACATATATTAGCTACTGTGAACAGCGCTGTGATAAACATGGGCGTGCAGGTATCCTTTTGATATACTGATTTCTTTTCCTTTGGATAAATACCCAGTAATGGGATGGTTGGATTGTATAGTTTTTTGTTTGTTTGTTTTTTGTTTTTTTAGCTTTTTGAGAAATCTCCACACTGTTTTCCATTGTGGCTGTACTAATTTACATCCCCATAAACAGTGTATGAGAGTCATTTTCCTCCCACATCCTTGCCAACATCTGTTTTTTTGTTTTGTTTTGTTGTTTTTTTTAATCTCTTCCATAATAGCCACTTTAGCTGGGGTGAGATAATATCTCATTGTGGTTCTGATTTGCATTTCCCTGACTATTAATGATGGTTAGCATTTTTTCATATACCTGTTGGCCATTTGTATGTCATCTTTTGAGACATGTCTATTCATGTCCTTTGCCCACATTTCAACGGGATTATTATTATTATTGCACTGAGTTATTTGAGTTCCTTGAGTATTTTCTAGATATTAGCCCCTTGTGAGATTAATAGTTTGCAAGTATTTTCTTCCATTCATCAGGTTATCTCTTCATTCTGTTGGTTGTTTTCTTTGCTATGCAAAAGCTTTTTAGGTTAAGTCTCTTTTGTCTATTTTTGTGCTGTTGAGGTCTTATCCTCAACATCTCTGCCTAGACAAATGTTCTGAAGTGTTTCCCTGATGTAGTAGTTTTATATTTTCAGGTCTTATGTTTAAGTCTTTGATCCATCTTGAGCTGGTTTTTGTATTAATATATGGTATGAGATCTACAGTGAACCTAGGGGTCCAGGTTCATGCTTCTGCATTAGAGCTTCATGGAGCTCTAATTTTCCCAGCACCATTTATAGAAGAGGATGTCCTTTCCCAGTGTATATTCTTGGCACCATGAAAGGAAAACAAGTCTTGGGACCCCAAAATCACTAAGCTAAAGAGAAAAGGCAAGCTGGGAACTGCTTAGGGCAAACCTGCCTTTCCTTCTATTCAAAGTCATCCCTCTTCTTACTGAGATGAATGCATATCCAATTGCCTCCTTTAGAAAGGAGGCAACCATTTGTCTCTTATCTACCTATGACCTGGAAGCCCCCTCCCCAGTTTGAGTTGTCCTGCCTTTGCTTAGAGTTGTCCTGCCTTTTCTGACTGAACCAGTGGTCATCTTACATATATTGATTGATGTCTCTTATTTCCCTAAAATGTGTAAAACTGAGTTGTCCCCCAGCCACCTTGGGCACATATCATCAGGACCTCCTGAGGCTGGGTCACAGGCATGCATCCTTAACCTTACCTTGGCAAAATAACTTTCTAAACTGACTGGGACCTGTCTCAGATGTTTGGGGCTCATAGAGCCTTTGTAAAAACTCTATGGCTGTAAATATGTGGATTTATTTCTGTGTGCTCTATTGTATTCCACTTGTCTATGCTCCCCTTTTTATACCAATACCATGCTGCTTTGATTATTATAACCTTGTAATATATTTTGAAATCAGGTAGTATGATGCCTCCAGCTTTGTTCTTTTTGCTCAGGATTGCTTTGACTATTCAGCTTCTTTTTTGGTTCTATACACATTTTAGTATGGTTTTTTTTGTATTTCTGTGAAAATTGACACTGGTATTTCAATAGGGATTGCATTGAATATGTAAATTGCCTTGAGTAGTATGGTCATTTTAATGATGTCAAGTCTCCCAATCCATGAGCATGTGACGTCTTTCCATTTCTTTGTGTCGTCTTCAATTTCTTTCATCAGAGTTTTATAGTTTTCCTCTTAGAGGTCTTCCACCTCCTTAGTTAAAAATATTCCTGTATATTTTATTTATTTTTTTAGTTAGTATAGACGGGATTGCCTTCTTGATTTCTTTCTCAGCTAGTTCATTATTGGTATATAAAAACACTACTAATTTTTGTATGTTGACTCTGTATCCTGTAACTTTACTGAATTTATCAGACATAAGAGCTTTAGGTTTTTCTAAATATAAAATCATGTCATCTGCAAAGTGAGACAATTTTACTTCCTCTTTTCCAATTTGGATGCCTTTTATTTTTTTTCTCTTGCTTGATTGCTCTGGTTAGGACTTCCAGTACTATGTTGAATAGGAGTGGTGAAAGTGGGCATCCTTGTCTTATTCCAGTTCTTAGAGGAAAGGCTTTCAGCTTTTACCTATTTGGTATAATGTTAGTGGTAGGTTTGTCATATATGGCTTTTATTATGTTGAGGTATGTCCCTTCTACATCTAGATTCTTGAGAGTTTTGTATCTATTGAGATAATCATATGGGTTTTTTCCTTGATACTGTTGATGTGATGTATCACAGTTATTGATTAGTATATGTATTCTTGCATCCCTGAGATAAATTGCACTTGATCATGGTGTATTACCTTTTTCTGTACTGTTGAATTTGGTTTGCTAATATTTTGGGGAGATTTTTGTGTCCATACTCATCAGGGATATTGGCCTGTAGCTTTTTTTTGATTTGCTGCATCCTAGTCTGTTTTGCTATTAGGGTAATGCTGGTCTTGTGGAATGTGTTAGGAGGAATGCCTTCCTCTTCAATTTGTTGAAATAGCTTGAGGAGGATTGGTACTATTCCTTCTTTGTGTGTTTGGCAGAATTCAGCAGCGAAGCCAACCAATCTTGCACTTTTCTTTGTTGGAAGACTTTTTATTACTGATTCAATCTCATTATTCATTATTGTTCTGCTCAAGTTTTCTATTTTTTTTTTTCCTGATTCAATCTTGGTAGGTTGCATGTGTACAGGAATTTATTTAGGTCCTCTACATTTTCCAGTTTGTTAGTAGATAGTTGTTCATAATAGTCCCTGATCATCTTTTATATTTCTGTGGTATCTGTTGTCATGTCTCCTTTTTTGTTTCTGATTTTATTTATTTGGGTTTTCTCTTTTTTATTTTTTGTTAGTCTAACTAGCAGTTTATTGATTTTGTTTATCTTTTCAAAATGCCAACTTTTCATTACATTGATCATTTGTATTATTTTCTTAGTCTCTATTTCATTTAATTCTGCTCTGATCTTTATTTCTTTTTTTCCACTAATTTTGGGTTTGGTTTATTCTTGCCTTTTTAGTTCCTTGAGGTACATCATTAACTTGCTTATTTGAAATATTTCTACCTTTTTTGACGTAGGGATTTATTGCTATAAACCTCTCTCATCACTGCTTTTGCTGTATCCCATAGGTTTTGGTATGTTGTGTTTGGATTTTCATGTTTCAAAAAACATTTTTTTTTCTCTTCTTAATGTCCTCCTTGACATGATGGTCATTTAGGAGCATGTTGTTTAGTTTAAATGTATTTGCACAGTTTCCAAAGTTCCTGTTGTTATTGGTTTCTAGTTTTATTCTATTGTGGTCTGAGAGAATACTTAATATGACTTAGATTTCTAAAAATTTATTGAGACTCATTTTGTGTCATAACATATGATGTATTCTGAAGAATTTTCCATGTGTTAATGAGAAGATTGTGTGTTCTATATTTGTTGGATGAAATGTTCTGTAAGTGTCTGTTAGGTCCATTTATTCTAATGTGCTTTTTAAATCCAATGTTTCTTTGTTAATTTTCTGTCTAGATGATCTGTCTATGCTAAGAGTCAGTATTGAAGTCCTCAACTAATACTGTATTGGAGTCTATCTCTACCCTTAGATCTAATAATATTTGCTTTACATATCTAGGTGCTCCAGTGTTGTGTGATATATGTTTATAATTGTTCCATCCTCTTAATCAATTGATTCCTTTATTATTATATAGTGAACTTCTTTGTCTCTTTTTACTGTTTTTGACCTAAACTCTGTGTTATCTAAGTATAGAAACTCCTGCTTGCTTTTGGTTTCTCTCTGGAACATATTTTCCCATTTCTTTACTTTTATAAAGTCTATATGTGTCTTTACAGGTGTGATGAGTTTCTTGTAAGCAGCATGTAGTTGGGTCATTTAAAAAATTGATTCCGTTAGTCTGTGTATTTTATGTAGAAAGTTTAGTCCATTTACATTGAAGATTATTAATATATGCAGGCTTATTCCAGTCGTTTTATTAATTGATTTCTGGTTGTTCTGTAGATTCTTTGTTCCTTTTTCTCTTATTGTTTGTCACTGTGGCTTGGTGGTTCCTGTTGAGTCCTTTCTCTTCCTTGTTTGTGTGTTTGTTCTACCTGTGGGTGTTACACTTTTGTGTGTCTTCATGATGGTAGAAATCATCCTTTTGCTTTTAGCTGTAGGACTCCCTCAAGCATTTCTTATTTGTTCGGGTTAGTAGTGATAAATTCCCTCAGCTTTTACTTGTCTGGGGAAGATTTCATTTTTTCTTTGTTTATGAAAGATAGCTTTGCTGGATATAGTATCCTTGACTGGCAGTTTTTACTTTCCACTTTTTGAATATATCATCCCATTCTCTAAGTTTTCTGCTGAGAAGTGTGCTGTTAGTGTATGGGGGGTTCTCTCATAAGTGATGAGATACTTTTCTCATGCTGCTTTTAAAATTCTCTCTCTCTGTTTTTCTTTTCTTCTTCTTTTTTTTTTTTTTTTTTTTTTTTGAGATGGTGTCTTGCTCTGTTGCCCAGGCTGGAGTGGAGTGGTGCAATCTCAGCTTACTGCAGCCTCCGCCTGCCGGGTTCAAGCAATTATCCTGTCTCAGCCTCCCGAGTATCTGGGACTACAGGCATGCACCACCATGCCAAGCTATTTTTTTGTATTTTAGTAGGTACAGGGTTTCACCATTCTGGCCAGGCTGGTTTCAAACTCCTGACCTCATGATCCGCCTGCCTCGGCCTCCCAAAGTTCTGGGATTACAGGTGTGAGTCACCATGCCTGGCCTAAAATTCTCTCTTTGACTTCTGACAGCTTGACTGTAATGTGTGGTAGGGAAGACCTTTTTGAATTGTATTTGTTTGGGAATATCTGAGCTTTTTGTATTTGTATGTCTAAATCCCTGGCTAGACTTGTGAGATTTTCAGCTACCATTTTGTTTAATAGATTGTTTTCTCTTTGCCTCCTGGCAAATTACATTGTTAATTTCACTGGGTCAGTGAAAATGTGAATATTTGGTTACTTTATGGTGTTCTATATGTCATGTAGACTTTGTTCATTCTTTTTAAAAATTTTTATCTGACTGGGTTATTTCTATAAACTTTTCAAGCTCTAAAATTCTTTCTTCAGCTTTATCTAGTCTACGGTTGAAGTTTTCAAATGTATTTTGTATTTTATTCAATTAATTCTCCAGTTCCAGAATTTCTGTTAGGTTCCTTTTATGATATCTCTTTGGTAAATTTCTTATTAATTCCTGAATTGTTTTTCTGATATCTTTGTATTGTTTTTATGAGTTCTTTTGTATGTCACTGAGCTTCTTTAATAGCATTATTTTCATTCTTTGTCTGGAATTTCATAATTTTTTTTCATTGGAATCTGTTACTAGATAATTAATTCTGTTCCACTGAAGATGTCATATTCTCATACTTTTTTATGTTTCTTACATTCTTACATTGACATCTGAACATCTGGTGCAACCATCACCTCTTTCATTTTTTTTTTTTTGAATTTCTTTTTGGAGGAGAGGACTTTTCCCTGAAAATGTGTTTATGGTTTTGTTACGGTGGGGCACCCTGGCTTTGATTGTGGGTTTGTGAAGTAGTGTAGTCTCTGTGTGATTTCTTTGGTTGTAAACAGTGTCACTAGTGTCTGTGACTTCCTCAGTGGCTGAGGGTATGGTTGTTAGTAGAGGCAGGCTGTGGTGAAGTTTTGCTGTAGACAGGGACATTTGGTTGACCAGTTCTCAGTACCCAGCATTGGCAGCTGCAGGTGGGGGATGTCAGTGGGACTCCAGGGATGTGTAGATGGATGCAGGGGCTGTTGGGCCTTAGGGCATGATGCAGTTTGGTGGGGGCTGGGTTCTCAAAATAGTACCTTGCTGTAGCTGCTAAGGACTCAAGGGGTGTGCAAGACCCAGCATGAGCTCCCTCTCTGGAGCAATGCCATTGCATGGTCTCTAAGCAGCCTCTCTCTGTTAGTCTCAGAGCCTGTGTGGGTAGAGGGGCTCTCCTGTGGCTAGGATTACAGGAGTCTGTGGTGGGAATGTAGACCTCTGGGGCTACTCACTTACCTTTTCCTTGCATTGGGGAGCTTCTCCGTGCTTTCTGCCAATTCAGGCAGAACAGGGTGCCTTGCTTCCTTCTCCTCCCAGGTTTTAGGTATTTCCTGCCACTTCTCTGTTGAATTCCAGCATTCTCTCTTAAGTGATCTATTTGAAGTGTCTCCCTCATTTGTTAATACAAGCACCTACTGTGTATCTTATATCATTGTTTTATTTAATTTTATCTTCAAACAAACCCTAAGAATTAGCTACTATTATTTTCATTTTACAAATGAAGGAATTGAAACTCAGAGACGTAAAGTAACTTGTTCAAATTACACTGTTAATGAGCAGTGGATCATTGGCTGGACACTAGTTTTCATCCAGTGTCAAAGTCTACTCTATTTTCATTGTACTTCATGCCTGCTCATTTTTAACAACTCCACCAGAGACTTTAGAGACCATTTCTCTTTTTTATTTACCTATTTGCATAGGCAATGTGTATTCTCCTTATTTGAATTCAGTCTTTCTCCCTGGAGTTCACTAAGAGTTTAATATATGTCTGCTTTCATTTAGGCTGTTGGCTGTGACTGCTTGGCTTATTTCATTTATTGTAAAGGATGTACACATTTTATGTATTATGCTCCAGGGCAGCTTAGTGAATCATTCTGTGATTCAAAATATCAAACTAGTGGTTTTTTGAACTGCAGCCATCATTTGGTCCAATCATAGAAGTTTAGCCATTTGGAAGTTTTCTCTGATAACCATTTTGTTTCAAGGTGACAAGTCACAAACTGAACTGAAAAATAATAACACAAACGTTGGGAATAAACTACAACTACATATAACATCTCACAAATTAAATGTTGAGTAGAAGGCGCCAGATTCAAAAGATTACATATTGTATGATTCCATTTATGTAATATGCAGAAACAGATGAAGCAAGTATATGGTGAGAGAAGTCGAGCTGCTGGTTTTCCTGGGTTGGGGGTGGGGCGCTGGTAACAATTAGAGGGAAGAATGGGGGAGACTTCTAGGTGCTGGTCATATTCTGCTTTTGGATTTGGGTGCCAGTCACATAGGTACGCCCACTTTTTACTGTTCGTTGAGCTGTATGCTTGTAATTTGTGTACTTTTCATACATATGGTATATTTCAATATTCAAAAATTTATTTTATACTTATGGTATATTTCAAAAATATATTTCAATAAATATACCATACATATGGTATATTTCAATAAAAATAAATGTTTTGAGCTCCACTATGAGCTAAACATCATAGTAGATGTTTTACGTAAGTTGTCTATAATCTTCACAATCTTAATAACGTCATAACTGTAATTGTCACAAACTTTCAAAGTGGGTATTCTTCTATCTAGTTAACAGATATCAAAACTGAGGCTCACTGACTAAATTTACCCAAGATCACATAATGAATAAATGGTAGAGCTGAGATTCGAAATCCAGGAAGCTTGACTCCAAAATAGCCAACATTTCTCTTTATGGCATGCGGACTATATTATATCATGACATTGTTTAGTAGAGTACCGTGTTTGATCAATAGCTGTTCTTTTGAGAAACATCATTGAGATTGGTGACAAATACAAAATTCTGGGTGGAATAAATTTTAAAAAGTGAGTTTGATTTAGTAAATATAGGTCTTTATGAGGGCCTGCTCATGAAGGAAAACAATTTCAATGGGAATAGAAATCAAAGAGGCTGAGAATTGGGAATCTTGTTGGCAGAAGTGTGGTGATGGATAGAGCTAGTCTCTTAACATTTCATGGTGTCACAGGGATGGAAGACCCCTGGGAGCATGCAGCTTAGCTTCTCAATGGAGCTGGCCTTTCTTCTGTCATATTCCTGACAGCAGGCTATTTTTTATTCAGCTTTTACTTAAACGTCTAACCTCTCCCTACCTGGACAGGACCCTTTACAATGAACAAAGCACTTCCCCAGCCATAATGTCATCTGGCTATCAACTGTGTGAGGGACAGAGGTGAGAACATTACCTCCACTTTACGGGAATGGAGACTGAGCATTAGAAAGATAGTGACGTGCTTGAGATGATACAGCTGTAGGTGGGAGCAGGACCCCTGAATTAATTTCAACGTTCTTTCCTCTATACCGCATGCCTCTTTCCATGCAGGAGCTTACTCCGCAGAAGGCACCCTGACCCCCACTTCCACCCAAAGTTTTAATTTCCCAGCCAGCTCTCCTCTGAGAACACCTGCTCTTTGTGTGTCCAGCATGCTCCCTCCAGCTGTGTGGCTCCTGCAGGAGCTGCCATATTCTGACATAGCCCTGACCCTGATCACAGTTGATTGGTTCACGTGGGTTCCTAGTCCAGGCTGGCCTGGGAGGTCTGATTTTCCTCCTATATTGACAGTCTCTGCAATAAACCATTTATAGTTATCTGCTCTATGTTAATTTAATTACAGAGACACAGGAACAGATAACCTGGATTACAGTTTTTAGTTGTTTGTCTTTTCTATGGTTTCCTCCATCATTTGTTGAGGAGAACTCTTCCTGGAATGCCCCTCACCTTTTTCTAGACATAGAGTGACTTTCTACCATCGACCATGGTGTGGTCCCTCGCTCAGGGCTAAGCTCTGCCCCCATTCAAGCAGAACATCCTGTCACTCTCCTGGCCTGTGCAGCCAGCCCCCGTGCCTCCATCTGAAACCTACTTCTGCTTGATTTGCTTGTCAGCCCACACCTAGTAAGGTCCTTGGATTCTTTGTATGACTCTCTCTTATATGCTGTTGGTACATTCATGTGTCTTCCCCAGGGGACCCTAGGCTTTGCTGGTGGCAAGAAATCATGGCCTGTGCGTCTCTGTTTCTCTGACTTCACCAGGGGGTAGGCCAGAGCTCTGCTCAAAGAAGGGCCTTCGAAGAATTCAAATAAAATATAAAATAAATGAATGGAAATTAACTTGCTTCAGAATGTGTGGTAACATTTTGGTGCATCACAATTCTGGGGAGACAGATTTCAGATCAAAGGAAGAATCTTTTTTTTTTAATCACTGAGAGGGTCAGTGATAGAGTCCTGCCCAGGAAAGGGTCTGGGCCAAGCTCTGGTGCTTTGGTGTTGAAGCAGAGGTGGACATTCACTTGGAGGATGGCTGGACAGGAGGGAAGCATGGCCAGGTGATGGTGTGATCTACTTTGTTGAACATGAATCACAAGGCATGTTTTACATCACAGTCTCAGTTCTCTCTCTTTTCCCTCCCTGTATATATATATATATAAAATTGAAACAAATGTTTCATAAAAATTCTTTTTTTGTTATGTTTTATTCTGTTTTTTTCGAAAATGTTTTCTGACTGTGGACACACAAGTAACTTTCCAGTCTTTATTTTTAAAAAACACCGTATTTGATGATGATGGTAAAAGTTGTGGCAGTTCACAGTAGCTGCTAGCATATTTTTAAAGTAGATGCTAAGAGCTTTAGAACACATGCTTCATTTCTGAACAACAAGTCTGTTTTCATTTTGTGGACACATTAATTTTGTAATTGACAAAATTAATTGAAACTGAACTATTTTTCTCTTTGACCACTAGAAAGCTCAAAGCAAAGTCTGTAGCTTTTCTCTGTCCTAGAATCACAGGGAATGCAGTTATGTGGACTGATATTTTCCTTGCCTTTCTTTTTTCCCTTTTATTCGTGGTTTCTCCTCTTTGCTATTTGTTTTTCTTGCTGCCTCATATGTGGGTTGATAAATGTTTAATACCCTTTGTGGTGTGAAATAATCTAGGGTAAATGACAAAAAATAAATAACTAAACATCTTTTAATGTAATTGTTACAACAGTTTATGATCAAGTACCCCCATTTTGTAGATAAGAACATGAGTCTCAGGGAGGTTAGTAGAGCTTGAACATGGGGGATCTTGATTTCGAGAACAAAATGAAGCCTCTCTAAAACGCATCCGCACTTCTTCCCTTGAAGTTGCCTTTTGGTCTTGAGAACCTATGATTCTGCTTCCCCCGTCAGAGGGCAGGCGGGGTGGGTGTAGGACGGCAGCAGAGGGACTCCCAGGCCTCTGTCAGTAGCACAATCACCTCTGAGCCTTCTACACAGAAAGTCCATTCAAATTCCACCTCCCATTTCTCCTTTCACAGAAGGGCCTACTTGTCTCTCCATCAGCAATCATAGTTCTTTGTTAGGTTAATGAAGTGTGGCAGCAGCATGCCTGCAGGATAGATTAGGTAGGAGCCTTATATCTGTGCCATCCTGTCACCTTCAGCAACTGAGTCAAGGCAGAATCATCTTTGCTTTCATTGTTACCTAAGCAGACCATGGGCAGCTCTGGGTCAGGGACCAGGCCTCCCTGTCTAGGGTCTAGCACTGACAAGGGATAGGGAAATCTCTATGAGTACATAAGCAAGCAAATGAAGCTACCCTTTCATAATATTGAGTATAATAATTATCACAACAGCGGCAGCTGCGGCAGCCATAGCACCTAACTCCATTGTATGGTTGCTGAATGCCAGGTTCTTCTAAAGAGTTCATGGATATCTTCCATCTAATCTTCATGTTCGCATGATGATGTAGGTACCATTTTGATCTTCATTTTAGAGATGGGAATACTAAGTCACAGAAGAGTTAGGTCACCAGCTTGCACACATTCACACAGCTTAGAAGAAGCAGAATCAGAATTAATTAATTAATTAATTAATTTTTTTCAGACAGAGTCTCGCTCTGTCGCCCAGGCTGGAGTGCAATGGCACCATCTCAGCTCACTGTAACCTCTGCCTCCCAGGTTCAAGCGATTCCCCTCCCTCAGCCTCCCAAGTAGCTGGTATTAAAGGCGTCTGCCACCACGCCCAGCTGATTTTTTATTTTTAGTAGAGAAGGATTTCACCATCTTGGCGAGGCTGGTCTCAAACCCCTGACCTCGTGATCCACCCGCCTCGGCCTCCCAAAGTGTTGGGATTACAGGCGTGAGCCACCATGCCTGGCCACAGAATCAGAACTTAAATGCTGGTGATCTTGCTTTACAACCCATGATCTTAATCACTGTGGGCAAAATGGTATCATTCCCCACTGACTCCCATTGGATGCCCCAAGATCGGGCTCAGAAACCTTGGCTGTGAATTATTAGGGCCTCTGATATCCCAGCATTCTTTCCTGGGTATTGTGTAGATAGGATTCCATTCCTAGGCCCTCTCAATGCTCTGATTATATTGTAGGTTTATACTGGTTTGGTTTCAAATCATGAAGCAAGAAGGAAGCAGTCTCACCCCCTGCCCAGTCTGTCCTGCCCAGCTGGCCTCTTCCCACGAGAGCTGTACCGTCTGAAGTGGCATGCCCGAAGCCTGGAAGAACCTCTAGTTCCAAGCCAGCCAAGTCTCATTCCTGCCTTCAAAGGCCCACCTCAAGCAGACGCCAGATCCCGGCATCAGATCCCCGTCCAACTCATGCAAACCACAGAACTCCGGGGCAGCTCAGGTTGCAGAATCCGGAGTCGAGATCAAGTGGTTTAATACCAAAGGAAAACATTTTCAGTTTTGTTAGAAAGAAAGCAAAACAGGGATGATATTTAATCCTCCAGCTTGCTAGTTCATTTTCACTTGGTCAACTCTTGATAGGATGTGATTCCTGAGTGCCCCAACCCACAAGTTTAGGGTCAAAGAAGTCACTGTTTTTACATGGATCAAGCGGACATCAGGAGACAGATTTGGACCCACCAAGTATCCACAGAGGGACTTTTTTCTTACCAACTGCTGGGATGATTGATTTTGCATAGATTTTCTTGTTGATCCTTATAATAGCTGCTTTGTCTTCCACTATTTTTAGTCTCATTTTATAGATTTGAGGATGAAATTTACAGAAGAAAGAAAAATAACATTTTATTGATCCTAGAAAGTAGAAGGGCTGGGCTCAAATCCCACATTCTGATTCCAAGCCCAGTACTTTGTATTCATGATCTCAGGTTCAAATGTTTCCTCCACTTTCACTTTCAGATGCTCCCTCCGGCCATTCCATCATAGGGCTCTGTAAGGTTGAAAGGTTGTGTAAGGTAAGGGGCATGTGCTTTGCTGGTCCCCGTGCTCTTCCCTTTTCCTGCATAGACCACAGGACTATACTCTCTGGGCTCTTTTGCAGCTCAGTATGGCTACTGTCCCGAGTTTGGGCTGGTGCAATGTGAGCAGAAGTGACCTGCGCAGATGTAGTTTGGGCCTCCTGGGAAGCAGCCTCTGAACTAGAGATCAGCATGCAGGTTAATCTGGGAGTGCTCTTGAGATTGAGACCAACTACAGGGAAGAGAAGGAAGCAGGTGGGAGGAGGGAGAAGTTAGACTGTGATGACTGAGTGATGCCGACTCAGCTATGGCCTCAGCTGACCAGGCAGAACTCTAAGGCTGGGATGGCTCTTCTGCACTGGGGTGCAGGATAGGGTGATGGAGCTAGGCCTTTAGACCCCTGTGTTGACCAGTCATCTGCCCTAGAAATGGGATAAGACCTTGTGTGAGGCAACTCCCTTCAGCCCAGGACATTTCCGGAAGGTGATTTAAGGTAAAGATGAGCTTCCAGCAATACTCCTGTTGACTGAGGAAGTCAGCCCTTCAGCCTGATGGGGCATCTGGGTGGCATATCACAATGTCCACTACATGCCCCACTTGCAGCCCTGGTTCATAAAAACCTTGTACATATAATCCTTACCTCATTTACTTTCTGAATGAAGAGAATTCCAAGGACCTAGAGGATGTTGGAACCACAAGATGAAAGCAGCCTGGGGCCCTGAGTGACTGCCTGGAGCAAAGCTCCCCAGACCAAAGTGTTGAAATGAACAACAAGAAAACCCTTCCTGTGTTGCTAAGTCGCAGAAATTTTGGGTGTGTGACTCATGACTCTTTTTTTTTTCTTTCTTTTTTGAGACAGAGTCTCAGTCTGTATCCCAGGCTGGAGTGCAGTGGTACAAGCTCAGCTCACTGCAGCCTCCATCTCTGGGGTTCAAGCGATTCTCGTGCCTCAGCCTCCTGAGTAGCTGAGATTGCAGGTGCCTCCAACATGACCGGCTAATTTTTGTATTTTTAGTAGAGGCGGGGTTTCACCATTTTGGCCAGGCTGGTCTCGAACTCCTGACCTCAGGTGATCCACCTGCCTTGGCCTCCCAAAATGCTGGGATTACAGGCATGAGCCACCACACCTGGCCGGGTGTGCGACTCTTAACAGTCAGCTTACTTTAACATAGGTGGAAAGACAAAGATGCTGAGGGGATCAATGAGAGGAAAATTGGGGGCCTGCAGAGTTGTAGTATAATTTCAGAGATAGGGTAGTTGTATACCCATGGCCTTAAGAAGCAGATGTGGATTCCTCTCTCCAGTGCTGCCTGTACACAGACATCCCATACATGTGAAGAAGCACCCAGGGCTGTGCACAGTAGAGCAACTGAAGGCACCAGCTCTGGAGTCGGGTTGCCTGGCTCTACACCCAGCCCCATCTCTTGCTTGCCTTACTGTTTTGGGCCAGTTTTGAAATCACCTGTGGCTCAGGCAGAGGTGAGAGAGCTCACTGAGCCAGGCCAGAGCATCCTGGGGGCTCTACACTTCCTGGCATGGGCTTATCCAGGCAGGCTAGGGGAGGGGGTAGAGATCTCTCTCAGGTCATGTTGGGCTAAGTTGGATAATAAAGGTTTAGCCAGAGCTTCTGGGTCTCAGATTCTCTAAGAGGAGCAGGAGGAAGAAATTCACCCACATCACTTTCTAGAACCTTGCCATCCCACTGCCTCTAGCACTGGGTGGCTAGTGAGGCAAATGGGAGATGAGGTGGGACCATGCTGAGCTCAGAGGCTCCTAAGTGCCATGCCATGAGTTTGGTCTTCATTGGGCAGGCAAAGGGGAGACAATCAATAGCAGTAAAAAGAGCTGCTCCATCTAGTTTGTGGTTTCTTAGAGCCAGAAACGTGGCAGCTGGGTGGCAGGTGACCTGAAACAGAATAAGTTTATGGAGGGCAATGATCCAAAGTGGAGGGACAGGACAAGGGCTTACAGCAGAGCACCACAGTTACAGAAATGCCGATTGGTGTGAGAGATTGCAGGTGAGGGACGGTGGGAACAGCCGCTGATTTCAGGAGCTGGGAGGAGGTGTAGAGAGTGAGTGAGGGTGAGTCCACCCTCACTCACCTCAGGGTTATTAGGGAGGGAAATTGCACAGCATCCTCCTTGCCTCCCTCAGGACAGAGACTGTGCTTTTCTCCATTCTGTGCTGGCAGTGCTGTGTGGAGCACGTGGTGGCTGGATTGGATGAATCGCACGACTGTGGCACAGCCTTTCCTAGCCATCTCCTACTGTCTCCCGCTTTCCATGGCCACCACATCAGCACATCAGTTCTTTGTCTCTGCCGAAGTTTCAGTTCGTGAGCCTACCTGTCTGGGCCTCTCAGAATTCTAGCAAATCCTCAAAATGCCACAGCTTCCTTGGCTTCTGTCCAAGTGCTGCTCCTGGTGGTCTGGGCGGATGCTGCTGTTAAAGGTAGGCTGTGATGTGGTGAATAAGGGACACTGACCAGAGCTGCCAGGCGGAGACCCCGGCCAGGTCTAGGGTCACCAGAATTTAGCAAATAAAAATAGGGGATGCCCCAATTGTATCTGAACTTTGACTTCCGGATAAAAAATAAATACATTTGTAGCATAGATATGTGTTGGATATTGCATGGTTCATACTTATTTGTTGCTCATCTGAAATTCAAATTTAATTGAGCGTCTCCTGTTTTATGTGGGAAGCCTCCTGGATTGCTCGTGGTCTGGTTTGGATGGTTAGAGGGAGCTTTACTAACGGTGGTGCCTCTTACGGTACTGAGGAGCAGCTCTGCCCACTCTAAGAGAGGGAGCTGCAGCCCCCATGCTGGCCCAGCGCTGAGTTCATCCTAATAGCAATTCCATCGTACTTTCTTTCATTCATAAAACTCACCAGCGAGGCAATGACAACTGGGGGGCAGGGGTGGGGGGCGGGGGCTGGTTGGCAGCCGGGCCCTCATCCCTCATGCTGCCGCTGACAAAGCTTGCTAACAGACCATTGCGGTTCCAGCACATTAGTGATCGTTATGGCCCTAATGAAGATTTGTGACGCTGCTGGAAGAGGCTTCCAGCCCACTGTTGTCTCAGGCAGAAGGGGAGGGGGTGCCTTGGGGAGCTGCTGTTGGGAAGGGAGGTTCTGGGGACTGGAAGAGCTGGGAAGGATGAGTGGCAAGGGGCAGAGAAGAGAGAGTAAGCTGGAGAGGTAAGGGCTGAGGCTGAGGGGAGAGCGGCAGTGGAGGGGGATAAGGTATCTGCAGCTGGAGTCTGGGGCCATTCAGACAAGGGAGTAGACAGAGTGGCAAGAGGTCGGGAAAACAGCAAGAAGTTAGCAGATGGGGGTAACTCGTTTCCTGGGGCTGTTGGAACAAATTACCACAAACTTGGGGCTTCAAACAACAGAAATGTCTACTCTCACAGCTCTGGCGGCTAGCAGTCTGAAATCGGTTTCACTGAGCAGAAAATGAAATTAAGGTATGAATAGGGCTGTGCTCCCTCCAGAGGTTCTAGGGGAGTATCCGTTCCCTGTGTCTCCCAGCTGCTGGTGGCTCCAGGCATTCCTTGGCTGATGGCTCCACCACTTCATTCTCTGCCTCCCTTGTCCCAAGACTCTTACTGCTGTTCAGGAAGGACACCTGTGAGTGCATTTAGGACCCCCCATGATAATCCAGAATGAGCTCCTCCTCCTCCTCTCAAGACCATAAACTTAATCCCATCTTTTGCTATATTAAGTATTATCCCCTGGTCCAGCTATTAGAATGCGGACATATCATTTTGGGGGCTGCTACCAGGTGTGAGGAAGGACTGAGCATTGTGCCAGGGTAGGGAAGCTTCCTTCAAGGACTCACTTGAAACACTTGCCCCAGTTTTCATTCCCTTCCCCTTACTCTAGTACCTTGAATCAAAGGCAGGGTCATTCACATGTCTCCACGGGGGCAGGTGTGTGCCCTGAGGTGGGGGGAGCACTGAGTTGGGTGGGAGTCCCAGCTCTGCCTTTGACCCACCTTGTGACCTTGTGCTGGTCATGCCTCCTCTTTGAGACTGTCTCACCTTCTGCAAATGAGGATGTTGAATTGCATGATCTCTAAGGGCCTTTCTAGCCTAGAGACCAGTTGATGAACTCCAATCTCATTTTACACTGGAGAAACTGAAGTCCATGGAAATTGAACCTCAAGTCTCTAAGAACATAGAGCCCAATTAAGGCTGTTGTTCACAGTGAGTTTTGGTTTCAGCTCACAGTCTGCTCTTAGCAGCTCTTTCTAATTCAGAACTGAGGTCATAATTCAATCTGTGATTGACCTCAGAGCCAAGCGGATTTTGCTTAAGCCATGCCCTGACTTAGTATCATGGCACAAACCCAGATCAATAGAGAAGCAGCTATAGTGCAATGAAATTAGACAGATTGGGCTCTGTGTGACCCTGGGCGAGTCACTGAACATTTCCCAATCTCAATGTTCTCATTTGAAAAGTAAGGATATTTTGAAGGCTATTGATTTATGAGAATTAGAAATAAATAAATAAATGCAAAATGCTCCATAGGATTTTTGGTATGTGTGTGGGGCTCAGCCAAGGGTAACTCTTTACCATTGGAGGGCTTCCTCTAAGGTGTCTCCTATTTCTCTCCCCTCATTCTCTCTGTTCTAGCCCTGGCCCCACCTCCCTGCTATTCCTGGAATGTGCCCATCCTGCTTTTGTCCCAGGCCCTGGCGCTGGGTCCCCTCTGCACAGAACGTCCTTCTCCCAAATAGACACAAAGCTCAGGCTCACTCCTCCCTTCCCTTGGGCATTCACAGCCAAGTTACCTTCTTAGAGAGACTTTTTTGGCACCCTTTCCTGCTTTGTTTTTCTTCCTGGAAGGTATCACTATATAATTTACTCTATGTTTTACATACTTTGTAAATTGCCTGTTCCCCTTTTTAAACTGTAAGCTTCGTGAGGTCAGGGATTCTAGCTTATTTTTATCACTGCTGAATTCCCACTTATAACAGTGCCTGGCCCACAATAGGTACTCAAAAATATTTGTTGAATGAGTGAATGAGTGAGAGAGTGAAGGAAAATGTCTTCAAGCTGCTCTAAAACCAGACAGGAAAGAGTGAAGAGTACGTCAACAAATCCCTTGAAATGATTTTGTTTTTTAAAGGAATGAGACTTAATTCCAGTGTAGTTTGCAAACTGGGAGTGGCAGCTTTTGGAACACAACAGAGGGGCGTTTTGGGAGAACAAAGAGAGGGGCTGTCTCTTATAGAAAACGTTCCTGCCCAGGTTCCCACTCTGGTTCACTATGCAAAAGAAGGATGCAAACTTGTTTGGTTCTGATTGGCTGACACAGGTCACAGTCCGTTGATTAGGTATAGGAGGCAAAATGGGATTTTCCAGCACCTTTGATGCAGGCGGCATGAGCAGGAACAGACAGCTATGAAACTCCCAAAGTTACTTGATGATGTGAGTTTTCTGGGCATGCAGAGTACATGCCTGACCTCCTGTCAACAAATGGCTGCTCGTCTGTAATTTGAATTTAGGCCTGGTTAGCTACTCAGGATCCATCTGGAGGGATTGGCTCTTGTAGGGTTTACAAGGAGGAGTTGAGCTACCAGTTAGGAGACTGCAACCATCAGGCAAAAGCTGATGGTGGGGGCATGGAGTGGGGCTGATGGCGGAGGGGGTGGGATGTGGGTGGACTTGAGGGATCTTTTGAAGGTAAAGATACTAAGATGTGCTGATGTGTGAGCTGTAGGAGGATGCCAAGGTTGCCTGGAGCCTGTGGTGGTTCCACGTGGTGGTTCTATTGACTGAGCTGGAGGTGACTGGGGAGGGGAGAACCAGATTCATGATGTCCATGTCCAGTGGCCTTTTCCATGAGGGAGACATGGAGGAAAATGAACTCTGCCAGCATTTACAGACGTTGCGTTCTACTTCAACCTTGAGGATGAGTTCAGTTTGACTTAAAGTGATATACTTCAGCTTTCTGGGCTGGAAATTCTTCAACTTTAGAGCAAGAGTGGGGTGAATGGAGCCCACTTGGGGTCTTGGGCAGGCAATGTGGCCATGGAAAAGGCTTGGCTTTGGAGTGAGACGAATTCGTGCTGAAATCCAACCCTTGCCATCAACTCGTTAGTTAATTTCATTGGACTCAATTTCCTCCTCTCTAGAATGAGGTGGTAATTCGACCTCACAAAAATGCGGTGCATTTCAAGCAATATAACATCTCTGAGTGCCAAACCCTGTGCCAGGCACATAGCAGAACAATCAATAAATGCTCATTTTCTCCCTCTGGCCCCCTGGCCCCTGCAGTACACTAACGTCATGATTTCACAGTTCCCAGCAGCAGCCACTTCTAAGCAGATGGAGTTGCATGACATTGTGAAGCACCTAACCCTCTTACCTGTGCGTGTCTCAGAAACTCACTATTTCAGTGCAAATATGCTACATGGATTATTTTGAAAAGGCCATTTAATAATATCTTTCAAGTGACAACATTGAAAGGAAGACCTATTGCTTTGTTTGGTGGTGACTGAATTTATTATACATAAAGAATAAAAATTAATCTCTTCTTTCTCTGCCATTACCTTTCTCTTAGATTTCTCACACCAGGTGTTCAAATCCCAGAGAGAAAACTTCCTCTTTTCAGTCTGACATTTTCAAATGTGTTGATACATACCCGATGGAGTGATTCTGCAGAAGATGGTGCCACTCATAGCTCCAACCTGAATGAAGTAGCTCCCCGAATTCTATTTATGTCATAATGAATATATTCAACTTAATTTTGTCAAAGACTTCATAGGCGCACCTGCAGCTAAGAGTGCAGTATGGATCTGGAGTGATTCTGAATTTTCTTTCCACAAAAATAATTTTGGCAGCTTGGGATCAATATCTTCCTCCCATATGTTTCATATTCTCTATAAAGTATAATTGAAGACACCCTTCTCAACAGTACTTCTCAGTACGAATACATTCAGAAATTCTAAATAGGTAATTTGAAAAGGAAGGAAACTAACATTTGGCGAGTGTTTTCTATGACATTCCAGGGCTGTGTGTTATGCACCTTTGCATATGTCATTTCATTTAATCTGCACAACAATGTGAGAACGACGATGTCAAGCTTACTTTTGCAGGACAGGAGACTGAGGCTCAGAGAGGCTAAAATACTTGCCTAAGATCACACAGTCATTAGCGGTACAGCCAGGATCGGAAGCCAACGTTGTCTGACTCCAGAGCTTGCTCTGTTGTGTGTGCTCTCAACACTACATCTCTAATTCTCCACCCCTCCCAATCCCAAGCCTCTCCTTATTGAGAATATGGACTAAATCTTTGGGGGAAAATCCAAATGCTGACACCAAATCTAGAAAGAGCTTTCTTGGACTGGACTTTGAAGGAACATTTTTGGCTCAAACTTACACTTGGACCACATCTACTTCATCTTTAGTTAATCGGCTTCAGTGTTCTCATTTCCTTGTGTGTAAACGGAAGCAAAGTTGGACAAGGATGTCCGTGACCTTGGACCAAAGGAGACTTTCACTTTATTTGAGGAAATCCTTGTCTTCCTCCAGGAGATGAGAAGGAATCGGTCCCAGCCCAGGGAGATGGATTCTTTCCTCTGCTGCTCTGACAGCCATCTCGGCAACTCTCCCGACCAAACTCCCCAGGCTGTGGCGTGCCCCGCCGTGTGGTTCCTGTTGGGGTAAGATTTGGCTCCATGTCTCCCTCCACCCATTAATCTTCATTTTAGTTTGTTACTTATAAAGATACATCTTGAAACACTCAAGAAGTGAAGGAGGAGTTCCTCCCTGTCACAGACAGCATGCTTCAAGGATTGCTATTTCTTCAACCTGGCCAACTTGGATGTCAAAGTGGACATCCTCTGGGAGGAAACGGCCTTGGAATTTTTCCTTGCTTTTCACTATGTCCCCCTCCCTATATCCAGATTTGTCTAAAACAGCAAAACCCATTTTATTATTGTGTCTATGACCAAGAGGACAGGGATGCCTTTTGTGGCCCCAGAGTTGAGGGATCCCTTGACCTCGTGGTGATCCCAGTGACCATGGTCCCCACACCATGTGCCTCAGCCTGGCTGCCCTGTAATGTCCTCTTCCTGGAGCCAGTGCACTTCCACTCAACCCAGCAAGCTCATAGGCAATTTCCTGGGCAGCAAATAGTTATTATTACTCAGATTTTGGGACAGGGTTCTTGTCCTTGGGACCCACCCTACCCTCACACCTTTGTTAAATGGATATTGCTACTGGTAGTTACCTACTTATTTTTTCCTGCGCTTCTGTTTTGGGGAAAGTCAGATAGGGGAGAGGTTCTGACCATTGGACAGCTGGTTGAAAGAATAAGCATTCCTTAGGAAGCGGAGAATTCTTATCTTGAGGGAATAAGAATCCTGGTATAATGCATTATCTAATTTTGACTTTCAGGAAAATGGCTTCATGGGGGCCAGAAAAGAAAGGAATTAACATTTACTGAGCTCCTGCTATTCTATTAAGTCCCTGTGTTCATGGCCTTTGCTATCTACTTTATTTACATTTACATTATCTTATTTAATTTCTGGCAACCATAGATTTTTTTTTTTTTTTTTTTTTTTTTTTGGTAAGGAAAATTCAGGCTCAAGGAAGGTAGCAGAGGTAAATCTGGGATATAATTGCCAGATAGCCCCAGCTTCAAACTTTATGCTTTTTCTGTCATTACACAAATCTGATTTTTTTTTCTTTCCTTTTCCAATTTTGTATTTTAGGGAAGTTCAATTAATCAGTACTTGTTATAGAAAATTAGACTTACTTTTCTGTGGTTTCATTAAGTTGATTTAAATTATTGATTGCCACAAATTAGAATAAACCATTGGGATTTACATTACCTTGTTTATTAATTCACCAATGTTTATTGGACACCTGCTGTTTTCAAGAAACTAAGAATAAAAAATAAGACCTCGTTACTTTTCTCAAACAGCCCAGAGTATGGCCTCAGAGACAACTATGTAAACTGCAATATATTAAGTGAACAGAGAAACGTGTATAATGGTATAGGATTATGAAATAGGAAGTGGTTAATTCTGGCCTGGAAAAGTCAGGGATGGCTGTGGTGACATTTTATTAGGTTTTAAAGAATAAGTAGGAGTTTCCTAGACAAATAATTATTATTGAGAAGGATAGTTACAACACATATGATAGTGTGAACTTTCAAATAGGATTGCGTATGAGAAGGCCAAGCAACATCCATTGTTAGTCTACCAAGATGTTTCACAAGGCAGTCAGTATCAACGAGAATTTTTCATGGTGTAAGGTCTGATCTTTAGCCTTGTTATAAGGGCAATTCACTAAGATTGTGTTCCATTTCTTGGTGCAGACTCGCATTAACCAAGCTCATAAGGCTGAGGTAAAAACCATACTTCCAATGTGATATAGTCTGGATATTTGTCCCCATCCATATCTCATGTTGGATTGTAATCTCCAGAGTTGGAGGTGGGGCCTGGTGGAAGGTGTTTTGACCATGGGAGTGTATCCCTCATGAATAGCTTCGGCCATCCTCTTGGTGACAAGTGAGCTCTTGCTCTGAGTTCACATGAGATCTGGTTGTTTAAAAGTATGTGACACCTCCCCTGACTCCTCTCTGTCTCCCTTGCCCCTGCTCTTGCCATGTGACATGCCTGTTCCCCCTTTGCCTTTCACAATGATTGTGAGCTTCCTAAGGCTTCATCGGAAGCTGAGCAGATGTCAGCACCATGCTTCCTGTGAAGCTTGCAGAAGTGTGAGCCAATTAAACTTCTTTTCTTTTTTTTTCTTTTTTCTTTTTCTTTTTTTTTTTTTTTGAGACAGAGTCTCGCTCTGTCACCCAGGCTGGAGTGCAGTGGCCCCATCTCGGCTCATGGCAAGCTCCGCTTCCCGGGTTCCGGGTTCATGCCATTCTCCTGCCTCAGCCTCCCGAGTAGCTGGGACTACAGGCACCTGCCACCACACCCGGCTAAATTTTTTTTTTGTATTTTTAGTAGAGTTGGGGTTTCACCGTGTTAGCCAGGATGGTTTTGATCTCCTGACCTCGTGATCTGCCCACTTCGGCCTCCCAAAGTGCTGGAATTACAGGCATGAGCCACTGCACCCGGCCTAAACTTCTTTTCTTTATAAATTACCTAGTTTCAGGTATTTCTTTATAGCAGTGCAAAAACAGCCTAATACATTGCATATTAAATTAGAATGAGAGACATATCTGTCACACTGGCCAAAATATTTGCACTAGTCAAATAGCAACTTCTCTTCTTGTGGGCAAGTTACATGGGAAAGTCAATGATAGTATCAAAGTTCCTTGGTGAAAATGCATTCAGAGTATGATTATATACAGTTAGATAATTTAAGTGTCCCATGGCCCTGTGCTCCAGTAGCCTCTTCCGTCCGTTTTTGTAGTTGAACTAAATTTGCCGCAGAGACTGCAAGGGTTGAGCCCTTAGACCTGCTTCTTCCCTGGCCATTGCTGATATGCTGATATGGGCACTACTCTGTGCTCTTCTTACTCTGCTTCCAGGAATGACCAGGTGTCCTGCTTAACTTCACCTGTATTAATGTCTCCAGTTATTAATATAATAGCTTGGCTTTCAAGCCATTCTCTGTTTTTCAGTTAACTTTCAACATCTCGGCTCTGAGCTGGTGTCTCTGATACTGTTATTAACTCTCTGTTATTAACTTTACTTCCCTAATTTCCAAGTTGTTGGCAACCCTCACGACTGTTCCCCTGTAGAGATAATATCTGTGCTGCAGGATTTATGGAAAGACTGAGACAATGCATGGGAAAAGAGCCCTGTGCTGGGCAGCTGGTTAGTTCATTCTGTTCCTTTCTTTCCAAGGGTGGAAACTGTACAAATCCTCTCCCTAGATCTGTATCTCACTGGTCTCAGAAGACAAGGTTAAATTACTAAATCTCCTCTCTACTAAGCCTAAACTGTGGAGCAGGGAAAAGACTTTTCCCCCACTTTTAAGAGACCTTTTATTAATACTAGTAATGATCTCTGTGTTTGGGTCAGCAACTTCAATTACATTTTATAGGATCTTAGAGCTGGAGAGCATCTTTCTCAGACCTGTGCCTGTCAGCAGAGTTAGTTACAATGTCATTAGAAGAATAGTAGTGGCATTCCTAGAGGAGACTGTGACATTTCCTTCTGCTCCTACAGTAGCCTTAAGAAAGTCTTTACTGCTGCTAGACTTCAATTTTCATGGTGATAACTCAAGCTTTGGCTTTAGCATGTGTTGAGAACAAGAAAGATACCATCCACTCCCCAATGAAAGGCATCTTAGTATAGGCCCCAATAGACATCCAAGTCTTCTGTGCATTCCAGGCTTTGCATCTGTCCATTTAAAGAGTGAGACAATAATTTCCTGATCTTCAATAAAGCAGATTACCTTCCATAATATAGGTGAGCCTCATCCAATCATTTGAAGTCCTTAATAGAAAAAGACTCACATCCCTAGAAGAAGAGGGAATTCTACCACCAAACCACCTTTTGACTTGAATTGCAACTCTTAGTTTGAGTCTCCAGCCTGACAGCCTACCCTGCCAATACTGGACTTGTCAAGGCTCTCTCTGTCCTCCTGGGGAGGCAGGAGAAACAGGCACACTTGGTGAAACTTTTATTTTAAAAAATCTCTGTATAAGTGGACCTGTCCAGTTCAAACCTGTGTTGTTCAAGGGTTCTGTTTCTCTGGCAAACTCTGACTAATACAAATTTTGGTACTGAGAATTCGGGTGCTGCTCTAACAAATACCTAAAACTCGGGAAGTGGATTTAGAACTGGGTAATGAGTGGAGGCTGAAAGAATTTTTGAGGTGCATGTTAGAAAAAGCAGAGTTTGCTTGAAGAGGCTGTTGGTAGAATGATGAACGTTAAGGGTGCTTCTGGTTAAGGCTCAGATAGAAACGAATATATGATTGGAAACTGGAGGGAAGATGATCCTTGTTTTAAAATCACAAAGAGCTTGCCTCCATTGTTTCTCAGTATTTTGTGGAAGGTAGAACTTTCAAGTGATCGACTGGGATATTTAGCTGAGGAGATTCTTAGCAAAGTATCAAAGGCACTGCATGGTTTCTCCTTGCTGCTGATAGTAAAATGTGAGAGAGGAGGGAGAGAAATTGAAGAAGGAATTATTAAGCAAACAGGAACCAGAACCTGAAGATGTGGAAAATTCTCAGTCTATCCATATTGCAAGGAATAAGAAAGTGCATTCTGGAGAGAACATCAAGGTTGTGTTTGACAATCATCTGCAGTGAAGAGATTACAGGTGTGACTCATGGATCCAATCAATCATCTCAGCAGCAATGCTGCCAGCTTGGACTGAAGGATCAGAGATGGGGCGGAATGAAGGGAGGATATCAGGCTTCTGAGATTCCATGGGATGGACCAATAGAGCTATCCAGCTGTGAACAGCTGTAAACATGCATTATCCTTCAAAAAGAGGGAAGAAGAACTGCAAAAGCAGTTCAGAGGTCAGCAGGGATACCATTGCCACTGCCACCATGGGTCCAGAGGGCGTTCCAGGAGGTGGGGCTATCTCCTCCTTGGCCCGTAGGATGGGGCTGCCACCCAGGGCCTTGGGAGCAGGGCAGCCACCCAGGGCTTCAGGGACAGGGCTGCCTCCCTGGTGGTCCAGAGGACAGAGAATGGAGCCAAAGAGGATTGTTTTTGAGCCTTCAAATCTAATAGTATTTGCCTTTCTAAATTTCAGACTTGCTTGAGACCTGTCACCCCTTTTTCTGATTTTTCCCTTTTGGGATGGGAATATCTGTCCAATGCCTGTCCTACCCATTGCATTTTGGAAGCAGATAACTTGTCTTATTTCATAGGTCCACAGTTGAGGAAGAATTTCACCTCATGATGAATTGTACCTTGAGTTTTATATTACTTGATATGGTGATATTTAGAGGAGATTTTGAAGTTGATATTGGAATGGGTTAAGACTTTTGCAGATATTGGGATGGGATGAATATATTATGTGTTTGAGAAGGACATGACTTTTGTGGAGTGACAGGGCAGAGTGTTATGGGCTAAATCATGCCCCTCAACTCATATGTTGAAGTCCAAACCAGCAGTGCCTCAGAATGTGACTCTATTTGTAGATAAAGCCTTTAAAGAGATATGGAAGGTAAAATGAGGTCATATGGGTGGGTCCTAATGCAATATGTCTGGTGTCCTTATAAGAAGATGAGAAATGAGGACGCAGACACACAGAGCTCAGAGCAACTGTGTGAGTTACACAGTGAGAAGACAGCCATCTGCAAACCCAGGGGAGGCCTCAGAAAAAACAGGCCCTGCTGACACCTTGATCTTGGACTTCCAGCCTCTAGAATGGTGACAACATAAATTTCTGTTATCTAAGCCAGTCAGTCTGTAGTATTTCATTATGGCAACTCAAACTAATATAGTCACTAACATCAATTAGACAGTTTCAGTGGGGGAGAAAGCTAGCCACACCATTTTGTTGGCATTAAGAAGATAAATCTTGGTTACTTGACTGACTGTTATTTCGAAGTTGATACTGTATAGACCCAAGCTTCATGATATGTTTCTTCATCTATGATTTTTTTAGATGTAATATCACATTCTCTCAAGTCTATTGCTTTAATAGCCTGAGGAGTATTTGCTTCTGAGGATCATATATCAAATCACTTTCATTTTAGTAAGAATATCTTTCTTTCCTTGTAAAAAAAAAATACTGTGATTTACGTGCAGAAACTCTTGGAAATAAGTCTGTTTTCAATTCCAACAGTCTCCTCTTATAACATTTTCATTTCCAGTGTAGACTTCAAGTCCCCCAACTCTCACTGGAAGTTTTGCTTTCAGACACTCTCTGGAGCCACACTAGCTCAAGCTGGCTGTCTTCCACCAAAAAAATGCAGGCCTGAAGAACCTCCTCTTTGGGAATATTCTTGACCTCTCCTACATCTCCCATGAAGGTTCTGCATAATCCTACCTGACAGAGGAATCTTCCTTCCAACCCTGAGTTTTATATGCCTAAATTCTAACTTTAAGCACAAATATGTATAAAAACTTGAAAATTCCTTGTTGACATCTCATTTCCTGGCTGTGGTTATCATCCCTGAGGAAAGGAAATAGCAGAGCAAGTGTGAAAGAGAACCTTGCCAATATTTGTCAATAGAAAGACTCAAAGATCATCTTTCTGCAGTGGTGATACAGTAGTTCATGAACAAAACTTCTCATTAGTTTGCTTTTCTGGTTCACCAGAAAAATCTTTCCTGTTTCACACTTTTTAAATTATTTTATTCATTTATTTTTATTTATTTATTTATTTTGAGACAGAGTCTCGCTCTGTCGTCCAGGCTGGAGTGCAGTGGCGTGATCTTGGCTCACTGCAATCTCCACCTTCTGGGTTCACGTCATTCTCCTGCCTTACTTAGCCTCCCAAGTAGCTGGGACTACAGGCGCCCGCCACCACGCCCGGCTAATTTTTTTTATGTTTTTAGTAGAGACGGGGTTTCACCGTGTTAGCCAGGATGGTCTCGATCTCCTGACCTTGTGATCCGCCCGGCTCGGCCTCCCAAAGTGCTGGGATTACAAGCATGAGCCACTGCACCCAGTCTCCTGTTTCATCCTTTTAAATAAACATCTTTAGAAAATATTGCAGCCAAATTCACAACCAAATGGAACACTATGTTAAACAGAACTGATGTTGTTTTTTAATGATTGAATATCTTGACTTTAGGTTCTTACTGGAAACAACAGAAAAATTATCCAGGATAATGTGGGAGATCAGAGTAGCTGAACACCAATTAGAGTAGTACTTATTATGCTTTTTTCTATCTTAAAAATAGGGTGTTTCCCAGCCCTACCTCCTTTTCCCACAAAAAACCAACAAAATAAATAAACAAATAAACAAAGCCAGACATTTGTAGATTCTGGTTAATTGGGTTCCAAGGAATTCTGAACTCACAGAAATTTTGTGGGTAGTTACAGTTCTAGTTGATGGTGTGTTGGGGGGTGTTAGAGGGAGGGCAGGGGCCTTGATATTCATTGTATAACTTTGACCAAGTCATTCCAACTTTGAGCCTTGACAAGGAAATCATATCTGCCTCACAAATTTTTGTGTGCATCAAATGAGTTAATGGATATGAATTCACTCTAAGCCACAACTGGGCTATGCAGATGTTAGTCATTATTTTCAAAGAGCATATGTGACCTAGTTTTTATTGTGGCTTACTTATGGAGAGAAGAGCATTATAAATGCCTCTTGGCTTATTGGGAGCAAATCTAATCCAGTGACTTTAACTACCAATGATCACTTTAAAGGCAAATGCCTTGCTATAAAAGTAGGTGAACTCCATGGACTATTCATATTTTCTAAATTCTTATTTGCTAATTAATTATAAGTGGCATTTCCATGAGCACACTAAATGTTTAAAAATTCATTTAAGTAAAAATTATACTCTTCCTTAGAGCATCACCTCCAAACTCTCCCACTTTGGTCAGCTAGAGAAGGAAAACACTTCTTGGAATTTTTTCATGTGATATGGTTTGACAGTGTCCCCACCCAAATCTCATGTTGAAGTGTAGCTCCCATAATTCCCACATGTTGTGGGAGGGACCCAGTGGGAGATAATTGAATCATGGGGGTGGTTTCCCCCATACTGTTCTTGCCATAGTGAATAAGTCTCACAAGAGCAGATGATTTTATAAGGGGTTTCCCCTTTCACTTGTTTCTCACTACTCTCTTGTCTGCTACCAAGTAAGATGTGCCTTTCACCTTCCATCATGATTCTGAGGCTTCCCTAGCCACTTGGAAGTGTGAATCCATTAAATGTCTTTTTTTTTTATAAATTATATCTTTATCTGTGGCATGAAAATGGACTAATACACCATGCTGTAACATTTCCATTGTTTGTAAGGAACTTGTTTTTGTTATTTACACATTGTTTCTCAAACAATTTTTTAAATAGTTCTTCTGATATGTGTATTTTGCCATTAGGTTATTTTACATGAGAGAATTTTTACTGCCCAATTACCCTATGGAAGTGAGGATT
The DNA here is from genome assembly GCF_000001405.40 of Homo sapiens. Classification (NCBI taxonomy): domain Eukaryota; kingdom Metazoa; phylum Chordata; class Mammalia; order Primates; family Hominidae; genus Homo; species Homo sapiens. The sequence continues at coordinate 11,997,691 of NC_000002.12, forward strand.
TATAAAGCAAGAAAGTAACCTCTGGTTCATAATTTTGTATATGAGATGGAATTCTTCAAGATTACTTCACTTTTTCTTCCCCAAATTGTCCATCCCACCATCTTATCAGGCAATCACTGTGTGGCTTCCTGGTTCAGTGAATATTTTGTTAGAATTCAGAGAAAACTTGTGTGCTCTGGAAAAAAAAAAAAAGGGCGTGGGACTGGGTTGCAGGAGAACTGGGTTCCAGTTGTGGTCCTGCCGTGAATGAACTCTAACGTGTTGCCATCATCCCTAGCACTCCCTGGGCTTCAACTTACACATCTGAAAAATAAGTGGTTGAAGTAGATCTCCTCCAAGATTTGTTTCAAATTCGAATTTTCTATAATTAGCAAGTATATGGTATATTGAGAGAATATGAACTTCAAAGCCCAGCAGACGTGGGATCTGTATGACTGGGGAAGTTACTATAACTCTTTAAGCTGTAGTATTCTTTGTCTGTAAAATGGGGATGATCATATTCACCTCAAAATTATGAGGATTAAATGGGCCTATGTATATAAAATACTGTAACATAGAATAGAGATAATAAATGTTATTTACCATCTCCTCTTGCCATTATCTACTAAACAATCCCTGCCCAAACCATGTAGAAACAGAATAAGAAACTTCAGACATATTTTGCAGTGAAGCAGGAAACCTATCAGATGACGTGGCCACTTTCTCTTGTAAACCCACTGAGGGTGTGGGGCTGGAATGCAGCTGCCAACATGTCTGGTTCCTTTCTAGCTCTGAGCATCACCAGTACTTAAAGGGACTTTTCATGTAGCATCACTCAAATCTTCAAAGCTCATTTCAGAGAACATTGAGGATGCATTTTCTGACAAAGGACACTGGGAACATATGAAGTAATGACAGCCTGCGAGATGTAGTAAATATAGACAATAAAATACCAGAACTTCTAGGACTTTTGGTGACTTTTTTAGACAATGAAGCAGGAGAACATTAGAAGTTGGGACTGATCCAGGAATGCAGAGATGTGGCCATCACACCTAGATGGTTTTCTTCCCTACGATCATAATAATGTTTGTGGGAACTTGATTTCAGTATACCATGAAGAGATCAGAAATGACAGCTGCTTTTGGAATGCTGACCTCACCAAAATTCCATTTTGTTTCCTCCCAAATTTCCTAACCAAACAGTGCAGAATCTCAATACCCTGTATTCTTCACAGAGGAGAAGCTTGACACACAGTTCAGTGGTGGTGGTTGGTGTGCAGGCCAGGGGGATGAAATGAAATTTAATTGTGGGAAATGCAAAACTCTTGTATTTAAGTAAAAATATAAAAATTAATCCATTGTGCCAGTGTAGCTTGGCAGGCTTGGGGTTTGGTGAAGAGAAGTAGTTAAATTTGTGTCTCAGTGGTTTGAGATGACTATGTGCTCTCTATACACAAACCATGTGACAAGGCTACCAAAACAGCAAATTCAAAAGTAAGTTGCTTTATTTAAAAAATTGTGGTTTTTTTTTTTTTTTTTAGAAGAAATGTTATTTCTTGTGTGATTTGCATGCCCAAGGGCCTAACTTGAGTGTTGTGTTCCAATTGTAATGGCTACAGTTTAAAACGAAATAGGTCTTACTAACCTGGACCATTGAGGCTTTACCCACGCTGGGTGGGTGGTCACTTTGGGATGCCTTTTCCTATCCGTCCCTTGGGGAATTGCTGCTCCTCCCTCAAGACCTTCAAGGACATCTACACATCTTGTGTTTTGTACTACAGAACATGCTGTAGATTAATCCATACCAGTCATTTACAGGCAATACCTCTCTGAGCCATAGATTCCCTTGGGGCATGGACTGTGTCTTACTCAACTTGGCATCCCTCTTGGCTGGATAAGATGGTAATGGTAATTAGTGCTGTATGCCCATTTGTTGAATAGATATATTGGTGAGAAGCTTTGCAAAAGTATTTAATTATTTATCTTTTGTTTGACAAATATTTTTATTGCGCTTTTATGTTGGGATACCAAAGTAGATCTTGCACAGATCCTGTCTCAAGCAGTTCTCAATCTGGCTGAATTCTCTCACATGAAGAGTGGCTGAAGAAATCAGGAATATTTAGCCAGGGTACAAAAGTCTTAGGAAGAGCTTGGCCATGTCTCCTGACATTTACAGAGCCAGGTTGGGGGTATATTCAGCTTGTGCAACTCCAGAGGGCAAAAATAGGTGGGATTTTGAGGGAGGAAGATTTCTAATAATAACAGGAGCCCAGGGATGAAATGGTTTGTTTTCAAAAATGGCAAACTCTGCCCAGTGGCCATGTTAGTGGCTGATGCCTGTGATGTTCATCTGAGCAGAGGGGATGTCTGTGAGGAAAGAAAATGAGAGCTAAGTTCTGAGTTCCTCTTTGGTCCTAAAGAGCTGCTCTTTTCCCTGCCAAAGTGGTTTCCAAAGTTTCACCAGATAGACATTTGGTCCCAGGCTCTTAGCCTTTTCTGCTAAGAATAAAGCCAAAAGGCAAAATGGAATATAAGGTCTATATGTTGAGATAGACTTAGAGGGGCTGCCATAATGTGATCCAAGGAAGAGTTCAGTGGCCTGCTGGGAATGGTCATGGCATCACCACATCTGTTTTTGCTCCTATGGTAGACATCAATCTAATGGAGATGAAGCTTTATATGTGGACACAGCATCCTAAACTTGGCACACTCCAGCCATTACTAGGAGTCTTATTGATACACTGGAGCAGAGAATATAATTTCTGAGTGAAATTTCTCAAATTTAGCTGTTAATCTCTGTAGGGAGAAGATGTAAAAGAGCTATCCCAAAGTTTAAATGTTTCTAGAAACATTAAGCATCTATTCTTTTGTTTATTCAAAGGCATGTATTGAAAATAGTTATTAATTTCCATGTTTCAGAAAGCCTATCAAACATTTAAAATAGGTAATTCAATTCTGATAACAATCCTGTAAGATAGGTCCTATTATTCAGCCTGTTTTACAGAAGAAGGAACTCAGATGTCAGAGGGGTTGAATAATTTGCCCAAGGTTACAGTGCTGTACGGTATGGAATGAGAATGCAGGCAATCAGGTTCTAGAGCTTTTGGATAAGGGACAGCTAAGGAGAACTGGACAAGGTTGTGCCTTTATTCAACCAAATTTTTCATGTGCCATTCTAGGCCCTACACTAGGAGCTGGGGACACATATGGAAGTCACAGTCCTAGTCCTTAAAGAGCTCATGGTTTGAAGGGGAGCTAGGGAAGTAGTAGTGATAGTATTATTGGGAATACACTTGAGGGTAGGATGAGGGAAGGATGGCAATAGATGCAAAGGGATTCCATGCAGAAGAGACAATTGGAGTCAGGAAAAGCACAACAAAGTGTAGGTTGGATGGTAGTGGAGCGAAGTGGTGGCGGGTGAGAAAGGGTGGCTTACAAACAACTCCCAGCCTTGTAGGAGACAGAAGATGGGTTTCATAATAATTATATGACAATTTCAGAAGAAATGAGATGAAGTGCTCTCTGGGACTTTCAAGGACAGTAAGATCATTTCCGGCTGGGGATAAGCATGGGGAGGCTTCCTGGAAAAGATGGTATCTGAGGTGGGTCTTGAGGGATGAGGAGGATTTGGACAAGTTTAGACAAAAATCATAAGGGTGGCAAGTAGAGTGTCAGATATGAATAAAAAGACTTAAATAAAACCAGGAATTATAAACAGCTCATTTTTCCAATGTCTTATTTCATGAAGAGAGAACATTTTTCCATTTGGGTTTGACATCTACCTACAACAAAAGAATCTCCTGGAGTATTTGTAATCCATGTATATTGGTGTGAATTTCTACCATTTCTCAATTTGCCAAAGAGAGTTGACTTATGCAGGGTACCTGATTATCTTGTGTTGGATGCTTTTTGGTGTCCAGAGTTATGAAAAAAATTCTCACTCAATATTTGGATGCTCTTTAAAGAATGCCAAGTATGTCACGGAGATTGGATCTCTGCATTTGATTACAAAATTTAGTAACCAAAATAGAGTGAATGGAGAAGAGTAGGCTGGGAGCAATGGTGATTAGGGAGTGATACAATTCAGCATTAATAGAGTTTGGCCCCCTATGATTGAGAAAGAGTGATTCTTGGCTTTCACATTTATGAGGTTTCACCATTTTGGAGTTTCCCCAAAATCTAAGATATATTATTTATGACATGAGCAAATGAATGAATGAAGACATACATGAACAGACTCTTTTGGGGCTTCAAATAACTATAGAATTGGAATAAGAGTCCACTGGCCCAGTGGGGCTGAAAGTGAGGACAGTTGACTGCCTCCTGGATGATTGGGCAGATTTACAGACACCCTTCACCTCATCCTTGACCTCAGGACCTTCTGTTCACTCTGTTTCCTCCTGCCCTTTCTCTTCACCTTCCTTACTTCCCTTCCTCTTCCTGTTGTGGTCTTTTTACCTTCCGCAACTGTCAGGAAACTGTTTGGAAGGGTATGTTCTGTTAGCACCTCTTGTAACTTTAGTCTGATTACACATTGAGGCATTTCACAGATTATCCAAAAGGAGATTGAATGAATTAAGTTGCGTTGTAGGGACCTGTTAGCTTTTTAATCTCTGCTCCAAGATTATAAGAGTATAGGAATTACGTATTAGTATAGGAATGGGTCACTGTCTGTCTGTCTATCTATCTATCTATCTATCTATCTATCTATCTATCTATCCATCTATCCATCTATCAGTCTATCTATTCATGCATCCTATCTATCATCTTATCTATCACCTATCTATCCATCTATCTAATATATCCATCCATCTGTCTGTCTATGTATCTATCTATATGCACACATTAAATATACATGTTAGGTTATCTCTATATGTCAACTGTATCTAATGTACATACTGCAATGAACTAAACGTTTATGTCCTCTCAAAATTCATATGTTGAAATCCTAACCCCCAAGGTAATGGTATTAGGAGGTGAGGCCTTTGGGAGGTGATTAGGTCATGAGGGTGGAGTCTTATGAATGGAATTAATGCCTTTATAAAATAGGCTCATGGGAGCCCGTTCACCCCTCCCACCATGTGAGGACACAGCAAGAAGGCACTGCCTGTGAGAGAGAAAGTAGACCCTCACCAGACACCAACTCTGCCTTGATTTTGGACTTCCCAGTCTTGAGAGCTGTGAGAATAAATTTCTGTTGTTTATAAGCCACCCAGTCTATGATATTTTGTTAAAGCAGCCCAAATGGACTAAGACACTTAGACACACACACAAACCCACACACACACAAATACACACCACACATTAGTTTATAGACAGATAATAGTTATCTTGACTACCACTGAGAACCTTTTATGTGCCAGTCACTTTGCTGGCTCTGAACGTTTCTCACTCTCAACCCCTACATTCCCACTGTAAGATAAAGAAACTCAACAGTATTAAGAGTTTACAGTAAACGACCGAATTGGATTTGAACCTGAGTTGGTTTGGTTTTGAAGTCTGTGATCTTCCCACCAAACCACCAAACTTGTGTTCCATAAGGACCCTGGGTGGGAAAAAGGAATGCGTGGACATTTCTCCTCCCAGTGCTGTGGGTCCCAGCTGCCCAGTGTCTTAAAAAGGCCCTGCTGCAGGGACAGGATGCTGAGATTCCAGTCCTCACTGAGACTGAATTGCCATGTGAACCAGTGTGAGCTCCTCACCTCTCTGAGCTTTGCAAATAGTATCATGAGATAAAACTCTACTCATGGGCCCTTCTAACTCTCACATACCAGGCTTTTGTTTTATTCAGAAACATCTCCTTTACTAACAGGCAAGCCACGGAGTCAGTCAAATAATACACGAGTGTGTATATTCACTAAGAAGAATGCAATTCCTTGCTCATGCATGTAAGTTGCACTCCAAAAATAACTGAATCAGACAGTTTTGATGGCTATGAAACTGGTGCCTGAGGAATTTTGGAGAGTTTTCCATTTGCTGGAGGTAGAAAAGGTCATTATTTATTTTCTCTCACAAGCCAGATCAATGAGCCCTTCTTAATCCTTGGACTGGTTTTCTGGCATTTTTCAATACCCAGAAACACATAAAATATGTTATTTGAGAAATTTAGCAGGCGTGTTTCAAAGTTAGGTGAAACTAATTTAGAATAAGATATCTTTGTTTATTTTGAAACATAACTGGAACTTGGAGAAACATAAGTTATTTTGAATTTAAGGGTTTGAATGATATTCCTGTGCCCCAGACCAACAAGTTCTTTTCTATTTTAAAGATACTTTTTGCTGAAGGATAGGATTTTGAGCATGTAAAATTTGAATATGAAAGAAGCCTCTAATTTTTACCCCAGTTCAAATTATTGACTGTGATAGGCCCAGAAAAGATGGAATTGATAAAAATAGCAAATTGCTGTTTTTATATTTCAGAAGAAACAAACAGATTTTTGATAACTGTTTCTTAGAAAGAGTTGGAATGGGCTGGGCACAGTGGCTCACACTTGTAATCCCAGCACTTTGGGAGGCCGAGGCAGGCGGATCATTTGAGGTCAGGAGTTTGAGACCAGCTTGGCCAATGTGGTGAATCCTCAACTCTACTAAAAATACAAAAAAATTAGCCGGGCATGGTAGCACATGCCTGTAATCTCAGCTACTTGGGAGGCCGAGGCAGGAGAATCACTTGAACCTGGAAAGCGGAGGTTGCAGTGAGCCAAGATCGGGCCACTGCACTCCAGCCTGGGTGACAGAGTGAGACTCTGTCTCAAAAAAAAAAAAAAAAAAAAAAAAAGAGTTGGAACATCCCACTGCATGCAGCCTTGCGCATAGTTACAAAAACACCGCCAGAGTTATAATTTCTGGATGACAAGTCTATTTGGTTTCTGTGGTAAATTTAAGATTCCTGCAGAATCTTAAATGCAATATTAACAAAACTCATAACCACTGTCGACTTCTCATTATTAAAGTGTTATCTTTTAATTGTATAAAACTTGGAAACTGTATTTAATGTGGTGTCCATGATAGGACTGAATAGCAGAGACTTTGAGAAAAACATCCAGGTCAGACTGCTTTGGGATTATACTTTGGGGAATTTGGGATGAGACCGTAGGCTGGTGGATAGGGAAGGGGTTTGTCACTGAGCGAATGTTTCAGTCCTTGATGTAAACCTTAGAGAAGGAAATGAGGGCTCATGAGATGGACCTTACTCATGTTTTATAGGTAAATTCTTCTAGAACAAACTCCCTGGGGTTGGCAGTCAGCCTGGCCCTCATTGAGGCCTGGTGAAGCCTGATGTGGATTCGTAGTGAGTAACTTGCCACTGTCCCGTAGGGTCAGGATGGAAGCCAGGCACCTGGGACCTGGGCTGGGAAGGGATGCCCAGGTGAGTCTGGACCTGGGGAGCAATAATTGCAAATGATTCTGTCCACGTAATTTTCCGTCCATTGTCCCAGAATGCTCCATGTCTTTTGTATGTTACAATCTAGGTTTCTCGGTGGTGGTAGACGTGATGGTAGTGCTATTAGTGGTAACGATATTGACAATAATAAAACACTTTTAAAGTGCTTATGAATATTTCTGGTACTATTCTGAATACTAAATGATAATGTATTTTGTCCTCACAATGCCCTTGTGAATGAGGAACTAATATTTTCCTGATTTTACAGGTTAGAAAATGAAGGGACAGAGAGGTTTCCTTTTTTTTTGACTAATTTCCTTAGAAAGGAAGTATATTACTTTGCTAGGGCTGCCATAACAAAATACCACTGACTGGGCGGCTGCAACAACAGAAATTTATTTTCTTGCAGAAAGGCGGCTGACAGTCCAAGATCAAGGTGCCAGCAGGGCTGGTTTTTCCTGAGACCTACTTCCTTGGTTTGTAGATGGCCATCTTATTGCTGTGTCTTCACATGGTCTTGTCTCAGAGGCATGCATGTCTCCAGCCAAATGTCCTCTTCTTGTAAGGACACCAGCCCTATTGGACTAGGACCCCACACTTATAACCTTAACTAAGCCTGTAAAGGCTCTGTCTTCAAATACAGTCACATTAGGGGCTAGAACTTTGACATGTGAATTTCATATCATAAATACAGAGAAGTGCAATTTGGTGGTAATAGCTAAGATGAATAGGAATTCTGATATGATTTTGAGACACATTCTCACTTAAAGTCTCAGCATATAAATAAAGTTTAATCACCTTGAAGATCAGACAGCTTCTTAAATATAATGATCCATTCTCAATTACCTATTAGTGGGAGGCCACGATAATAGAGAACTGAATTCCAAATATAATTAAAAATATTCGTGTCACTGCTTAGATGCCATCTCTTTCTTTACCAAACTTAAAAAAAGAAAAGTCTCTCCCCTAGAGCTCTTAAACCACATGATTCAGCTACTAACCGAAGCTCACCCTTTTGGATTTCCCCTGCTGTACTGTGGTCGAGGTGCTAATTAGCAGGGAAAGTGCCAAATGGCAGGCAGCCAGAGGAAAAGCAGAGAAGCTGAAAGACCTGCACAAACTGCAGGTTTGTGAGTTGCAAAATTGAGATATGCCTCTAATGAGTTATGTATTAAAGCCCCTCTGCCCCATGACAGCAACGTCACCCTGGCAGAGACCTCCAGTTTCCTTACCTGGTAAACGGGGATTATAATAATACCACATTCCCAGGCTTGCAGGGTATTAGACCAAATCAGCTAAGAGCAGCAGACTAAGAAACTGGTCTTTATTGAGCATATATTTTATGTCAGACACTTGGCAACATGATTCATTTAATTCTCACATTGATTCTATAAGGTAGGCATGGCTAGCTCCATTTTGTGGATGGGTAAACTGAGGCTGGAGAAACTTGCCAAGTGTCACATACCAATTACACTTGAACCTCACTCCAAAGGCTTTGCTCCTTCTACTGACCCGTGTTGCAGAAATGCCTGGCCTTTTGTGAGCACTCGGTAAATGTCTGTCATTGTTGGAGAGAAAAGGAAAAAAATTATCTCCTTGCTATGAATTTAAACAATATATTTTAAAGCTGCTGGGAGCCTTTTTGTCCTGGTTTTCTGCATCTGATTTACCTGTCCCATTTTAACCATTCATGTGAACATTGTTATGTAACTAGCACATGCTTTTACTGTGTATAACTTAGTGTTACATAAATCTAAAGGCTGCTGACTGCTAGCAATCTTTTAAATGTAATGAGCTGAAAGATTTGCTTTGAGCCTTGGGGCAGGATAGCTTTGGCTTAACCATTTGCTGAGTTCAGCTTTTAGGAGGATAAGTTTACTGCATCCCTTCAATAATCCAACTGAAGCCTGGATTCCAAGCAACTGTAGATGAGATTTAAGTCTCCAAGAATGTTAGAAACTTAAATAAAACAAGGCTTAAGCAGAAAGTCCTCACAATGGTGTCCACATTCCATCAGGATGACGTAATCGAAGGTTGGAACCAGGCGGCCTCTGCCTTTGTGTTCCGGGACCCCTCACTCAGTGCAGAGGGAAATTGACACAGCCATGATGAGGCCTGGCTCACAAGAGCCATAGTTACTGTAGGAGTTTCTGTGGCTAAATATGCTTAGCTATTGGTGGGTTTCTCAGCTATGACAATGGTCTCCGTAAAAACACAGAACAAAAATTTTTGGTTAATTGAGGTCAAATTTTGTGTTAAAGGAGGGTTAATTTCCCTCCCCTCTAAGAGAAGAGTCTCTATGTGTTTAAAAACATGTTAACATTTAGTCTTGTCTGTTTTGTTGATCAGTTGAAGTCAGAGCAATAAAATCCCAGGGGTGGAAAGGGTGCAAAGGGCCATTGGGTTCATTTCCCTCATTTGGAAGCCAAACACATGCAGGTGATGATCACACTGTCCTTGAGCTGGGTGCAGAGATCAGCTCTGCCACATGCTGTTTGTTAATTTAATAAGATGAAGTGTGGGACCCAGGCTGAGTTCCTCAACACATTTTTTCATCTGTAAAATGGGGATTATAAAAAATAATAGTACCTACCTTAAAGGGCTAGGCACAGAGCCGTAGATGAGTTAACATGTGTTTTGAACAGATCTGGGTATACTGTGGTGTGAAACATTTGCAATTCTTCTTATATTACAGAGGCAAGGACATGTGCTGGATGTGTATGCAGTCTTTGAAGCTGGAGAGGCCTGTGTTGGAAACTGTGCTCTGTCCCATGCCAGTTCCCTGACCTTGGGTAAGTCACATAAAGTGTGAGTCTTTTATTTTTTTCTAGAGTGGAAATGGGGCTATGAATTCCTAACACTGGTAGGATTATAAGGAAAAGGACAAGATTAAAGTAAACAATACATTATAAGCATGGTGGCTAGCACATGGCTAGTCTTCTCAATGAATATTTTTTAGAAAATATAAAAAGGATGAATATCGGATATCTTAGTAACTCCTTTAGCTTTAAGCACACATCTCTACACACAGCCACATACAAACGTATTGGCTACACATTGGACTCCTTTTTTTTTTTTTTTTTTGAGACAGGGTCTTGCTCTGTTGCTGAGGCTGGAATGCAATGGCACAAACATGGCTCGCTGCAGCCATGACCTCCCGGGCTCCTGATTCTCCCACTTCAGTCTCCTGAGTAGCTGTGATGACAGGTGCATGCCACCACACCTGGCTAGTTTTTTAATTTTTTGTAGAGATAGGGTCTTGCCATGTTGCCCAGGCTGCACATTTAACTACTTTTACTTTTTCCTTCTTAACTTCTTGACATATGGTAGAGAACACAACCTAAAGTCACCAAATAGGTGAAAAATCTAGATTTCCTTTTTTTTTTTTAAATTTTGTTTTTGACCCATTTCCTTAGAAAGGAAGTATATTCGTTTGTTAGGGTGGCCATAACAAAATACTATAGACGGGGTGGATTCAACAACAGAAATTTATTTTTGGCTAAAAATCCAAGATCGAGGATTGCATCTTTCCAATTTCTGGCAGGGCTGGTTCCTGCTTGGTTTGTAGACAGCCATCTTATTGCTGTGTCTTCCCATGGTCTTGTCTTTGTGGGCATGCATGTCTGTACCCAAATCTCTTCTTATAAGGACATCAGTCCTAGCAGACTAGGACCCCACACTAATAACCTTCATTAACTCTGTGAAGGCCCTGTCTCCAAACACAGTCACATTGGGGGTTAAGGCTTTGACATATGAATTTTGGGGACATAATTCATTTCATAAAAGAAAGATATCACTTTCTGCTTCCTCATTCATGTTGACTCATTCAGAGAAAATTTGTGGTATATTTACCATCTGCAAGCCACAGAAAGGCCTCAGAAGAAACCGGCCGTGCTGACACTTTGATGGTGGACTTGTAGCCTCCAGAATTGTAAGAAAATACATTTTCTTTTGGTTTAATCCAACCAGTCTATGGTGCTTGTGGCAACACTAGAAAACGAATATACTCCTCTATCTGGATAATAAACACTATACTTAAAACATTTGAATATCTGCTGTGTTCCAAGCGGTTGATATTTTGAATATTTTTATAATATTTCTGAATCTGTTGATCCTATTATCTGCATTTCAAAGATGATCAGTTGAAATTTGAACCTCAAAGTCTTGCTGTATGTATTCTTTCATACTTTGATCATAAATCATGAATCTCAAAAATCATAAATCTGAGTTTTCTGCCTTTCATTGATCTGTATGACTTCTCTCTGATCCCTGTAAATATTTTCTCTAATTAGCAATAGAATGTAGACTGCATCCAGTACTAGGAAGAGAACAGTTATGTTGGAGCTAGTGAGAGGATCCCCTGGGACTTCTGGGACCTGTTTTGCCACAGAGACATCATAGACTTTCATTTGCTTTGGAACATACATTTGCAGCCAGAATTTATGCAACAGGTGTACTCCTGAAAATGTTGTATATAAATCAATTTGTTGGCAGTGGGAAAACATATTGGATGCAATAGAACTTACTCTTTAACTGAAACATACAAATCCATTTTTTAAAAATTTAATTTGATGAATTAATAATTCACCCTGTTTAACTTTGTATGAATCAGCATTTTCCTATATTGGTCTCTGTGGTCAGCTCATGGTGAATTTTTACATGTGGGATAATCTCATCTCCTCCCAGTCCCTCTCTCTCTGCCTCCAGTCTCCTCACACCCTTTCCTCTGACCTCAGACAAGTCAATGGGTTTTTTGTTGGTTTGTTTGTTTGTTTTTTAACCCTGCATAGATCATTGGCTGGATGAGGATCAGACAAGATCGTGAACATAAACGCACTTTGAAATCTACGAGGTGCAGATTGTTATTATTATACTAGCAGGAGGGATGCAGTTTATTATTTCCCCTAGGAGACATTCTTTATTTCTATTTGTTAAGCCTGATTATTGTAGCTCTTGACCATGTCTTTGTAACTTAATAACTAGATCAAAATAAGCTCCTGGAAATGGATCTTTTTTGGCACAGGCTGGGAATAGAGAAGCTTTTTAATAAATTCTTGCTGATACAGGGACTTTGGGGCAATGGCAGTTAGATGAAGGTGGGTTGCAAAATCTCTCTCAATGACCAGCTGAGGGAACACAAGCTGTAAAAGCTAAGAAAGATTCACCAGTAGCAAAGCAATCAAAGAAACAGGTAAAAAGTGATGTCATACACTTTGATAGGCAGGTCTCATGAAGGAAATAGAAGATTCTTGGCACAGCTTGGCATAGGACTGACCCTCCTAACCCTCAGGAAGTCATACAGAAGGAAGGTGATTTAAAAAAAATTATATACTTTCCCATCAGTACTACTAGATTTAAAGAGAAGCAGAATTTGGGGGTCTTAAGATAAATCCCGCCTGATGGGAGATGTTAGAAGGCTTCTCTCTGCCAGCAGCTCTTGGTTGGGGGATAGTTTTCTGGAAGAATCTTTTGACACATTCAAATGTGATATCCAAATGCTTGGCACATGTTATGAGAATCTGAAGTGGGGAAAAAAAAAACAAACCACCAAACTGGATCTATTGAAACTTCAGGGGGCGCACATCAGAAGCAAATGCAAAACTGCTCATGGGACCCAGTGTTCAAAATAGACACTTTTGGAATCTGTTGAGCCTTGCTTGATGGCTTAGTAGCTGATAAATCTGTGTAACTCTTCCCTATGTGCGAGGGAGCAAGTGTATTTTGCCTCTTTTCCCCCCATTTCTGCTTTGCTATGCACTTTCCCGAGCTAGGCATACCTGTCTGGATTTCTAGTTTCCTTTCTCCAAATTTCAGAGGTACGTGCTTGTACACGTGCACGTGTACATTTAAAACAAAAATAGTTTCTCTTTGTTCTCTGTTAGAATTCCTCATTACTCATTAACTTCTGTGTGATGATTCTTCTAAGCAGATCCAAAGGATTGTTGGTAAAAGTGCCTTTGTAGGTCATTTTAACTCAGGGATGGCACCTGTTTGGGTGTCTCCATGCCCAGCTGAAGGCCTATGAAATCTGTTAGCTATCTGATCTGCTTTCTCCACATGAAGCTGGTTTTTATTTTGATACTTGCTGTTACCATAGTAAGCCTGGATAGCTCTGTAATGAAGAAGAATTCTGAAAGATGAGGACTGCTTTCTCTGACTTTTTGACTTGTCATAGGGGCCAAGTGCAGCTCACCCTGGCCTGTTTGTGATTCCCAGGAATTGGCATGGACCAGTTCAAATCTGCAGGTGGAGGACCTCTGGGGAGGATGACTCAGAGACAGGGGTTCCAGGTCCACTACCTCTCCTAGTGCAGGGGTTCTCTTTCAGGACTCACACAAAGCCTTGGGATTTGGTTTCTGTAGGAAATTTCTTTTTCTTTCCAGATTACTCATCCCTGAAGGGTACCATCTAGGACTTCTGGTGAGGAGTCACCTGATAACTGTTGGATGTTTCCTTTGCCTTCAACTGTTCAATATCTCATTAAATCCTCCTGATAGTCAGCAAAAGTGGGCTCAGGGACATGAGAAATGCAGCCATGATCAGTGACAATGCTGAAAAACATCAAACCTAAGCCTGTGCTCTTTTCACCTTGCTGTGTGGTGTCAGGCTGTAACCTGAGGTCAACACTGTGCTAGTGTTCATTGGATGGTTGATGATACTGAGGGTAGTAGTGTAAAGAGGATGGAATATTACGGATTTCTTGAGTGAGAATGAGGCTCTGCTTAGCAAATTGGAGAGTGCTACATTCAGAAGAAAACCCTGGGACCAATAAAAGGAATGTCCTACCTGGCAGGTGGAAATCTTCTAGAAGAAAATCTTCTAGGGAATATTACAAGATATGGTTACTTTGCAGGCCACGTCTCAGAGCTTTGAAGTCAAAGATGAATTAAAGTCCCTCCCAGTTGGCATGACACACAAGCTTCTTCATAGTCTGACCCTTGCCTAAGGGTCCACCCTCTTTTCCCACAAGTTGACCCACCTGGCCCCACATGGCACAGCTTGCTATTCACTGCTTTGGCATGCTCTTTCATGCCTCCGTACCTTTGCTCATGTTGCTTCCTTCTCCAAGAATGTACCTACCCCTTCAAAATCTCCCCACATGTTGAAAAACATCTACTTATCCTTTAAGTCCAAGCTTATGTCTCATGTGTAGCCTTGGCTAGCGAGCGACTGTTCTTCTGATATAAACTCTTCAAGGATGGAGATGATGTCCTGCTTATCTCCCTAGGGCTCAGCACTCTGCATAATGCATGTAAGATCCCCAAATAAGTGTTTGGTGTGAGGAGAGAGAGGCAGTGTGGGCCTCTGAAGGCCAGAAGGCCTGGGCTCTTGTCCCCACATAGCCACTTCTAGATTTGTGAGCTTGGGAAAATCACTTACCTTTGAGACTCAGTTTCCTCATTTGTGAAATGAGGATAATGTTAAAACCACACTCACTAGGTTTTTGAAATACAAGTAAGGTAAGAAATGCAACCTATAAAATGGGATCTAGGTTTGAGAAGTAAGAATTGAATATACCAACATAAAATTAAAGACTGATACATTATACTACATTGAGATGTTTTGATCCTCAAAAGACATCATAAAGAAAGTGAAAAGACCAGCTGCAAAGTAGGAGATGATGAATGTAACACCAGTAACTGAAAAAATCCTAGTATTAAGAACTCCTCAAATCAATACGAAAAAATCTAACCAATAAATATGAGCAAAGGCACAAACAGGCATTTCACAGGAAAGGAGACACATAGGATGAATAAATATGTGGAAATGGAAGCTGATTCCACAGTGTGATGCCATCTTACATGCATCTGAGTGGCAAAATTTAAGAAGTTTGACATTTCTATGTTTTGAAAAGAATGTAGAACAATGGTTTTTCTGCTACTTTGCTATGGAAATGTAAACTGCTGTAATCATTTTGAAAAGCAAGTTGCAATTCTTTTTTTGTTTTTAAGAGACTAGGTCTCACTGTTTTGCCTAGGCTGGAGTGCTGTGGCTTTTCATAGGCATGATCATAGCACACTATGGCCTCAAACTCCTTGTCTCAAGGGATCCTCCTGCCTCAGCCTCCCAAGCAGCTGGGACTACAGGTATGTGACACCATGCCTGGCTGTGATTCTTTTATAAATTTGAATATTCACATTTGCTAGCATCCAGCAATTTCCTTGTAGGTATATACCTAAGAGAAAATCTTGCTTATGTGTACCAGAAGATGTGTATAAGAATATTTACAGCCAGTACTCTTTCTAATAAAAAATCAAATAACTCATACAGATACTGACAGGGGAATGGATTAGTAAACTGTGGAATAGTGACATAAACAAATATTATATAATTGTGAAAGTGAATGAATTTAATCATAGTATGGATAAATAATATCAACATAATTCTAAATGGGAAAAATAAGTCTGATACATAGAGTTTGATGATAACGTGGTGTTAAAGATTAAGAAAACTAAATGATACATTGTTATATACACACATAAATGCAATATTATGATGAACCCCAGATTCAGGATGTTGGTTACCCCTGGTGGGGAAGAGGAGACAGAAGGATGACATATGGAGGAACATAAGATAAATATTAATTGGTGGAAAGGTTTCAGTTCTGGTTTAGGTGGTGTGTTATAGAAAGTCTTTATGTTTTTAAACAAATACTAAAGATGCAATGTCATGCAGTGCCCAAGGATGGCCAATGAGTGTGCCATTGCTGATTCAATTCAATTCTACATCTCTTTCCTGAAACACACGTTCATTACGTTTTTACCATGCATGTGCATCTCATGTGGCTGCGTACTCCTGGTGTGTGGGAGAGCAAGCTGGAGGGGAAAGAAAGAAGAGTAGGGTGAGCCTTGATTAGTTTATAATTGACTGCTAATGTTGGAGAAGGATCACTTGAAGTGATGTTCGATCTTGAGAAAGTCACTGCCCTACTTTGCCTCAGTTTCCCCAGCTTTGAAAAGGGAAATGCATTCAGTGGCTTGGAATTCGCCTTCCTTCTGTGACTCCTCTTCTCTGCAGACATTTTTCTCAGGCTTCTCTTCTGTGTCTGTGTCCCTGTCACTGCCACAGAGACCACACCCCAAACACACCCAGGCCATCAGTCTGGGGAAGTGGAACCCAGCAGCCACGGGCAGAATTCTGGCTCCTGCTCCTGTTGGCATCTATGTTTTCTGCTCCGACTGTCCAACCACATTTGTTAATCACACAATTTAGTGCCCTGTAAACAGGGCCACTGTTTCACTTCCCCACAGGCATTCTTGGAAATAGCAGCTGAGGAAGATTTGTTTCTAGTCATGAACCAAATATGAAGGTCACATGATTTTGTGATATTTTTTCCTTACCAGAGAAATATGGGAGGCTTAAGTAGGCCAACCTTCCAATTAATCCTAAGAACAGCTGCCTTCGAGGTGGGTGAGCCCGAATATGATTCATTTTCCTAGTCATTTATCAAGGAAAAGAAACGGTCCATTGGCCTCCAATAGCTTTAATTCATTGGAGGCTAAACTATAGCACAGCTGGTAGACCCCAGCTTCACAGGCGTGATCCAGACTGTGACCTGTATTCACCTTTGCTTTTGAGTGGAAATGTTAGACTATATAAATAGTGCACGTGGACACACACACAGTGCAGGAGTTGGCATCTTCCTGCCAGTGACAGCACTGTGGGAAGCCCCAAGTGGCCTTGCCCAGGTGCACTTATAATTGCTCCTGTTTCTCCTTGGCTATCGTAGCCTCATTTGTCTAATTCTTAGCTCTGCTGAGCAGAGGGCTTTTCCAGTCATCCATGCAATGGAATGGTGGCCTGTCAGGAGTGGATGGATGTAGGAAGGGCTAAATGGAGATTTCCATCTCCACGTTTATTTCAAAACTTAACTCTGGAGTGAAGTGACCTTTTCAAAATCCTGGGAACGCTCATCATCTCCACTAAGTGGGTGAGGAGGTCACTTTGGTCTAGGTTTTCCAAATTTCTTGGGCTTTGCCTGATGGATTCCCCATGATCAGAATGAATCCCAAGAGAGAAGTCTTTCACCCTGGCAGGAAATAGATTAGTTAGGGACAGACCTATGAATTTTTTTTCTGGAATGACGGTGATGTTCAGTTTCAGTAGTGACACACTAAGGGAGCTAAAAATCTAGCAAAAAACAAAACAAAACAAAAAAACAATGTTTTGAAGGACTGAGCTGATCCTGACCAATGGGTCGGGGCTCTGCAGACTTTGGTGATATGGAACAAGGGAAAGGATAAGAGAACAACAGTGGAGTCATCTCAGAGATTATCTTTCTGGAAGATGACTTAGGGGTTTTCATTCCAGTTTCCAGGGATGTAAATGAAGGGAGATCCTGTGTGCCTGGAAAGACATATTCAAGGTCACTTTTCCCAAAGGCATTGTGCCCCTGGCTTGAGGCTGGGATGCCTGTCCCGAGCAGAGTCGGCTCTGCCCTAGACCTCTTCCTGGTGATTCTGTCCATGCCATCAGCCGCTACACACCTGTTGAAGGCTCCCAAATCACTGGAGTCATCCCAGACCTCTCTCCTGGTTTGTTTGTTTGAGATGGAGTCTCACTCTGTCGCCCAGGCTGGAGTGCAGTGGCACAATCTCAGCTCACTGCAACCTCTGCTTCCCAGGTTCAAGAAATCCCCCTGCCTCAGCCTCCTGAGTAGCTGGGATTACAAGTGTATGCCACCATGCCTGGTTATTTATTTATTTATATATTTTTTAGTAGAGATGGGGTTTCACCATGTTGGCCAGCCTGGGCTTGAACTCCCGATCTCAAGTGATCTGCTCACCTCAGCCTCCCAAAGTGCTGGGATTACAGGCGTGAACCACCATGCCCTACCTCTCTCCTGGGTTTTTGACTCATGCATCCAACAGATTCCTAGTTCTTATCCATTTCAGACCTTGTGTCTGATTTAAATTCCCTGTCTTTCCCTGAACCCACTTGTCCTCTGATCTCTTGGGACTGCCACCACCAATTACCAATTCACCTGGGCTAGACTTTGGATGTCATCTTGTATTAGTCAGGGTTCGCTAGAGAAACAGAACCAATCAGATATGTGTCTGTGTCTATAGAAAGAGATTTATTAAAAGGAATTAGCTCACATGATTATGGATGCTAACACATCCCCAAGATCTTTAGGGTGAGTAGGCAAGTTGGAGACCCAGGAAGAGCAAACATTTCAGTTCAAGTCCAAAGGGAGGAAAAATCCACTGTTTCAGTGTGAAGGTCATTAGGCAGGAGGAATTCTCTTGCTTTCGGGAAGCTCAGCCCTTTTGTTCTATTCAGGCCTTCAACTGATCAAATATTGCCCACATTAAGGAGGGCAATCTGCTTTACTAATCTCATGCAAAAACAGCCTCACAGAAACACCCAGAGAAATATTCGTATATCTGAGTGCCCTGTGGCCTAGTCAGGTTGGTTCATAACATCAACCATTGCATCTTCCCAGGCCCCATGTCAGTCATCACGTCTTGCTTCCTGCCAGTATCTCTCCTCTCTGCCCCTTCTTCCTTTTCTACTGGGCCTGCAACAGTTCAGCCAAAAAGCAGCACTTTCCAATAACCTCCAAATCAGACTTCCTGCTCCTTCTTCCTCCACATCCAGCCTTTCCACTGCCCCAGTGCAAGATCTGAGACACACCCCTCACTTTCGACCCTCAATGGCTCTCTGTCCCTCTGTTTCCTACAAAGTAACAGCCAATCTCTGTTCATGGCACTCACAGCTCTGCATGGTCCAGTCCTAACTCCTTTCTAGCTTAAGTTCCCATTTCATTCCCACAGATACTCCGCTTCCACAGCAGCAAGTTCCTCCTCACTTTTCAAGCACTCCTGTTCCTATACTCTCTCATCACAGTATTTCCATATTTTTGAGAATACTTATTGCTCATTTCATATCTTCAAGAGCTGATAGGCAGCTGGTCAGACTTCTCTGCTCCTGAGGTTAAGTGGGCCACTCACAGGTCTTTGCATTTTGACACTGGCCTCTTTACCCTGACTCTGTCATGTCATTTCAATCTCTTGCAAGTGTGTGCACACTGCCTTATTCTAGAAGATATGATTGGTGTGTGGGATTCATCTCTGTGCAGTTTAATGCAAGTTCTCTCAGCAAAGAATGGACATTAGATTCAGAAGAACTGTGTGTGAATCCTGACTCTAATACTTTCTTGCTGTGTGATGTGGAGAGACGCTTAACCTTTCTGAACAACAGTTCCTATATCTGCACAACAATGTAAAAATTTTCATTTCAATGTTATGAATAGTAAAGAAAATAGGTGCACAAATGCCCGAACAGCATCTGGATTCTAGTGCATATTCATAGCCCTTGTTAGATAGAAGGGAAAGTGAATTTACCACCCTTCTCTTTTAAGATATTTAGTTATCACATATGGGATGTTAGTTTTCTTATGTATTATTTTCCCCTCATTTTACTTTGGTTCTCCTTAATGCACTCAATCCTCAACACAACTTTTAGGAGGGCTTGAATTCATGTTACATGCTAGTAATCTCTCTTTCTTTTTTTTATGGCTATTTGACTTGAATTCCCACTTGAGAACTAACGCTGACCAGTGTAAAACTTTTACGCTACAGAAGTATGCAACATCCTGTTGCCAACCACCATCAAACACGGCTCTGTGATGCGATGTGACTTCCATAAGGTGACAAGGGTGCCACTCTCTAGGCTTTGAAGGAACCAGTGTGAACCCCCACTCTGATTCTCCTCAGAAGAAACGAAGTGTTGAAAATTAGATTCAGCTGCAAGTGTTTGCAGCGTCACATTCAGAAAGACAGATCAGAAGCTGCTAGAGGCTATTTTCAGAGAACTCCTAATAGGTACAGAACCAAAATACAGACATGGTTGTTAACACTCTGGGAAATGCCAACTTCAAGCTGGATCTGAGCCAGCAGAGAAATTGAAAGTCCTAGATAGCTTATCTCAGAGCAAATCTGTATTATGTAGAAAGTGTGAGATGCAATTATACGGGAGAATTATATAGGAGTGCTCGTTCTCTGCTGTGCATCGCCATGGTGCCTTGAAACTGACGATATCAAGGTGCGTTTGACATTTCCTAAATCTTTATTTCCCTGGAGCAGGTCATTGTTCTTCCCTGTATTCTTTCTTATGCCTCCTCTTTAAACTCTACCCATTTTCTCTGGTCTGTCTCATGCTTTCCCAGGGCTTCACTCACCGTATATCCCTAAACGAATAACTCATTATATATTTCTAGCCTTGAATTTCTTTTGAACTTCAGACCTGCGTTTCAAGTTCCCCACAAGGCACCTAAATTCAATACCTCTTCTTCCGCCTCTGTTACCCAGCATTTGAGCACAAGTTCTTTGACTTCAAGCTGAGATCTTTTTGCTCTTTAAAACAACAACTTTCCTAAGGTACCTTTGCTAACTGAGATTAAACCACCCATTTAGAATATTCTCTTGGAAAGGTAAGAGAATCAGGTCTGTAGCATTGATTAGAATTTGGATTCAGAACCTGGGATCAAGTCTCAGCTCTGCTGCCCTGCAGGAGCACGGCTCTCATCTTTTTCATCGATGAAATGATGATCTGTAAAGGATGATAGCTGATAAGAAATGAGTCATTATGTTGTGATTACTGTGTGCAGGCTCTGTTCCCGGTGCCATACATATGTGTGGCACTTTGTATATATACAAACTGTTAAAGCAATGTAAATATGGCCTGAGAAGGACTCCGTATTTCTCTGTTCGGGTCCTGTGGATAAACTGAAACCTAACTTCATAGGCAGACAAGATTGAAAACCTAACTTAGGAGTATGTGCCTGTAACAACAGCTGAGTCTTGGCCAATCCCAGTGGCCATACTTCAACCACTCATCAATTGCTAAGTGTTTAAACTACGTTTAAATATGGCAAATGCCAACCTGTAACCAATCCAGCTGTTTCTGTACCTCACTGCCGATTTCTGTATATCACTTCCCTTTTTTGTCTATAAATTTGTTCTGACCACGAGGCATATCTGGAGTGTCTCTGAATCTACTGTGATTTTGAGGGCTGCCTGATTTGCAAATCATTTATTGCTCAATTAAACTCTTTTAAATGTAATTCAACTGAAGTTTTACTTTTACTCTATGAGGATCGTGCTATTATTCAAATTCTAGGGAATGAAGTTACTGAGTTCGTGGAACCGCCTCCCTTATATGTTTGTCATGGGTTACATGCCATACCATGCAGGGTGCTCCTAGTTCCGTGCCTGACATATAGTAGGTTAGTGTTCCTTGCCCTTTAAATTCCACCTTACCCCACCCAACAAGATTTTAAGCTTTGCTTGATGTCCGTTGTAGCTTAAATGTATGCATTTTGAGTTTTACAACAAATATATCAAGCATAGAATATAGTTCTTCAAATGTTCTGTGCCTCTTTGCAGATTTCCATTCATCCTCAGGGGGATATACGCACCTCTTGAGGTTGAGACCCGTCTCCTATGGAGGTGGTAAGTCACAGGAATGACCATTTTCTAATTTGACATCATTCTCTTTCTTCTGAAGGCCCTTTCTGGGGTTGTCAGGGCATAAAGGAAGAACTTCAGGAGACTCACTTCTGGAAAGTACTTCAATTCTGAAGTCCAGGTTTCTTTACTGGAATGCAATGGTGTTGACGCATCAGGGCCACAGGTGCATGGCCCTGAATTTCAGCTAAGTTATCCCCACGTGGCTGCAGGTCTCCCCAGCTCATCCCTCACCCATATTTGAGAAGGGCATGGCTGGTAGGGGGCAGTGCAGCCTGAGGTCAGAGAGCAGTTAGGCTTGGGTAGGTAACAGGGCCACACAGAGCTGATTTGATAGTCTTGGTTTTAAGTACAAAATCGTGATGTTGTTAGAACTCAGCCCATCCAAGTCCATGGCTCCACTGATTCTGTCAGTACTGTCAATTCTCCCAGTATAATCTACCATTACGATTTTCATAGGAAGATGCAATAAGAGATAAGTCAGAATGCAGAGCTGAAGGCAGAACTTAAATAAGATATTTTGTTTTTCCATGTATCCTTGGGAGAGACAAAGGTGCAGTCTTGCCTTAGGCTGTGGATGGGATTTGGAGGAGTTGGGAGGGAGTGGGAGCTGGGGAGAGCCAGCCACTGGCATCTCCTGGCATGGAGGTGACAGCCAAGGTCAAGGGCATACCTGTGTGTTCAAAAGATGTGGGGAAATTCCACATGGGCAGTGTTTAGGTTCTGACTTACCTAAAATGAACCAGTTAACATAAATGTGACTATGATGTAAAGGTATGAAAGAGGCCTTCACAGCCTTTCCCCTCAGAACCTTGTATACTTATGGTGGCTTTGTTTTGTTGACCAAGAAGATGACTGAAAAGGCGAATGGTAAGAAACAGGTCCAAATTTTCCATAAAGTATCAAGAAAGAAATGGGAGAAGACAGGGCCTGGAGAGCCAGTTGGTCTACAGATTTTAGAGAGAAATTAGAAATGAATCAGAGAAGGGAGATTTTAGAGAAGAGTAGCTGTCAAAGTATGTAAGATTTGGGGATAATAAAGTTTCTTTTAGAATTTTTGCTGTGTGTCTGAAAATGTAATTTTCCCATTGGTACCTCTGAGGAAATCCATTTCACATTTAAAGTGTTTTTTTCTGAAGCTTCTCCCCTTCTTCCTTGGGGTTGGGTGTGTCTTTTGGATACAGGGCAGTGTGGTATGATGGTTAAAGGCACAGCCTCTTTAACCAGACTGCCAGGCATGTTCTAGCTTTACTGCTCCATAGCAGTGTGACTTTGAGCAAGTATCGAATGCCTTTGTGCCTCAGTTTCCTCATCCATGATATAGGGATACTCATCATATTCCCCCAACAGAATTGCATGTGGTGTAATTTGAAACTGACCCAATTGCTCCATAGAACTGATGTTTATAGATTATTTTGAATAAGCATAGAAATTGACATTCCCCATCTTGAAACTTGAGAAACTGACATTTGTCTTATCTGAGTTCCTTTCCCAGGAAACCATCAGTCAGGCCACTCAGATAGTATCAAGTAACTGAAATGTACCAGATCACCGCATCTGGGCAATGAGAAGTCAGACCCCTTGCCTATCATGACTGCCTAACCGACCACCTGCTACCTGTTGACCAGCTCCTCTTCCTTACCCCTCCCTAATTCCTGTTTTTATGCATGTAGATACATTTTTTCCCTGCTATATAAACCCCTAATTTTAGTCAGCCAGGGAGATGGATTTGAGACTAAGCTCCCATCTCCTCAGCTGTAGCACCTGATTAAAGCCTTCTTCCCTGGCAATACTTGTTCTATCAGTGATTGGCTTTCTGTGCAGTGAGCAGCAGAACCTAGACCGAAACCCTAGTGTTTCAATAACAAAATGAGGTATCACTTGCAGAGCATGGAGGGCAGTGCTGGGACACAGTGAGAGCCATGAAAGACTGGATTGTTGAATTGTAATGTGACACCTTGTTGGCACCAGCTGCAGTGGGAATTTCAAGGAGTAATTATATCAGATTTTTGACTCATTTTCTGTGATATTGCTTATTAAATAATAGCTATGGATCCAAGTCAAGAATTCACCACTGATATTTCTGTCGGCTCTAGGGTGCAAGGGGTGTGGATTAACCCTGTCGTAGGGTGTGGTGGGACTTGAAGTACCACCCTAGAGACAAAGGGAGACTGGGCAGGGTGCTGAGCTGGGAAAAGAAGATTTAAAAACAAAAAATGAAAGTAATCATGATAATCAGCTAATTCTGTCTTCAGGACTGGATATTTCAGATGGAGGAGTGGTTTATCCAGCATTATAATTCACTCGTATGAGAAATTCTCTGAATTTCTCCTGGCAAAACTCCAAGCTTGATGGTTGCCTGATTTCTTAGCAGAGCTGAATGCTGTCTGGAAGGGGAGGTCAGATGTGGCTGAGGAGCCTGCACTAAGTCGAGGCTTGACTCTGTCCCACAGCTGGAGAAGTGCTGGGGTAAGTGATGGGCAACAAAGGCTCAAGCCCCTTCTGGGAATTGACATGGAGGGCTGCTGGGAAGATGAACCGTAGGTACAATGTGGTCTCCTGAAGGACCTGGTGCAGGGCTACATAGGTAACTGATCCCCAGCTGTGGGGCAGCTGACAATCAAAGGCCCTGTGCCCTCATTTGCTTCTAGTTTGATAGGGCTGGTCACAAGCAGAATTTCCATGGTAGCCTGATTCCTGCTGCCCACAGGACCGGCACAGGTGGGACATAGTTGGTAGCAAACCCTGCTCTGTCCAGGACTCTGGTGAGGTGGACACACTAGGCATTTTCTCTGCTGGTAGCAGGACATCTAGCAGCTGACAGCATTCAGAAGGGGAAAGACTTGGTGACACTTTAGCATTCTCGCTTTTTTATGGAAGAAATACATCTCCTCTTTGTGAACATCCATACAGTTTACTAGTGGGTGACCCTAAAATGGGCAAAGATCAGAACACATGTGTGTTCTCAACGATTCCTTCTAGTTCCTCTCCCAATTCCCTCAAAGAGGACTTTGAGACTCTGGCAAGTCCAGACTACCTTTTGAATGCATTTCGTGTGTCTCACCCTATACATCTCCCTTATGAAGGTTTTTCAGTGCTTTTTTTGGGTGGGTATATATCTTGCCACAATATTCACAGAGACAGGCCATGGTACAGCCTCAATTCAGCAATTGATGTTCTGGCTTCCATGACTCTGCCTGCTACTTTCCTTACCTGATAGGTGCACACACCTAAGTTACTCTGTGCTAAGAGGGAAAGGAAGACAGGAGCTAATACAATCAAGTATGGCAGCCAATGCCTAGCATAGTAAGGTGCCGTAGCAAGTGAGGCTGTGTCCATGCTTCCCATGCTGAGTAGGAAGTCTAAATCTGAAGGTATGGCCCTGAGAAGACAAATAAGAGGAGAACTACAAGAAAGCTGAGGCAAAGCAATGTCAGACCTAAGTGGCCTGTAGGGGACAATCTGAGATCGGAGGCTGCAGGGCCAAAAAAAAAAAAAAGGTTTGAGAAAAATGAGAGGTTGGGGCAAAGTGGGCCATGAAAACACAATACTCAAACTTAGAAGTTGGTTTAGTGTTGAGGTAAGTTTTGCAATCCCATTCACTTTTCTGGTGTATATATGTATAAAATTCTTAAAAGTAACTGATATGATTTGGCCATGCCCCCATCCGTATCTCATCTGAAATTGTAGTTCCCATAATTCCCACATGTCATGGGAGGGACCCAGTGGGAGGTAATTGAGGCAGTTACTCCCATGCTGCTGTTCTCATGACAGTGAGTGAGTTCTCATGAGATCTGATGGTTTCATAAGGGGCTTTTTGCCCCCTTTGCTCATTCTTCTCCTTGCTGCTACCATGTGAAGAAGAACATGTTTGCTTCCCCTTCCACTGTGATTGTAAGTTTCCTGAGGCCTCCCAACCCTGCTGTACTGTGAGTCAATTAAAACTCTTTCCTCCCCTTCTGCGCGGTCACGCCGAGCCAGCGCCTGGGCCTGGAACCAGGCCACAGCCCCCCAGCTTCACCCACCACCTCCCTACCATGGACCCCCGCAAAGTGAATGAGCTTCGGGCCTTTGTGAACATGTGTAAGCAGGATCTGAGTGTTCTGCACACCGAGGAAATGTGCTTCCTGAGGGAGTGGGTGGAGAGCCTGCGGGTAAAGTACCACCTGCTACTCAGAAAGCTAAATCAGAAGAAAATGCCAAGGAAGAAAAACCTAATAGTAAGAAGGTGGAGGAAGACTTAAAGGCAGACGAACCATCAAGTGAGGAAAGTGATCTAGAAATTGACAAAGAAGGTGTGATTGAACCAGACACTGATGCCCCTCAAGAAATGGGAGGTGAAAATGCAGAGATAACGGAGGAGATGATGGATCAGGCAAATGATAAGAAAGTGGCTGCTATTGAAGCCCTAAATGATGGTGAACTCCAGAAAGCCATTGACTTATTCACAGATGCCATCAAGCTGAATCCTCGCTTGGCTGTTTTGTATGCCAAGAGGGCCAGTGTCTTCGTCAAATTACAGAAGCCAAATGCTGCCATCCGAGACTGTGACAGAGCCATTGAAATAAATCCTGATTCAGCTCAGCCTCACAAGTGGCGAGGGAAAGCACATAGACTTCTAGGCCACTGGGAAGAAGCAGCCCATGATCTTGCCCTTGCCTGTAAATTGGATTATGATGAAGATGCTAGTGTAATGCTGAAAGAAGTTCAACTTAGGGCACAGAAAATTGCAGAACATCAGAGAAAGTATGAGCAAAAACGTGAAGAGTGAGAGATCAAAGCAAGAATAGAATGAGTTAAGAAGGCTCGAGAAGAGCATGAGAGGGAGGAAGAAGCCAGACCGCAGTCAGGAGCTCAGTATGGCTCTTTTCCAGGTGGCTTTCCTGGGGGAATGCCTGGCAATTTTCCCAGAGGAATGCCTGGAATGGCCGGAATGCCTGGACTCAATGAAATTCTTAGTGATCCAGAGGTTCTTGCAACCATACAGGATCCAGAAGTTATGGTGGCCTTCCAGGATGTGGCTCAGAACCCAGCAAATATGTCAAAATACCAGAGCAACCCAAAGGTTATGAATCTCATCAGTAAATTGTCAGCCAAGTTTGGAGGTCAAGTGTAATGCCCTTCTGATAAATAAAGCCCTTGCTGAAGGAAAAGCAACCTAGGTCACCTTATCGATGTTGCAATAATACAAACCAATGTACCTGTGACATGTACATCAAGAGAGCTGGGGTGCTTTGAAGATAATCCCCACCCCTCTCCCCCAAATGCAGCTGAAGCATTTTACAGTGGTTTGCCATTAGGGTATTCATTCAGATAATGTTTTCCTACTAGGAATTACAAACTTTATTCACTTTTTAAACCTTCAAAATATTTAAAACAAATTTAAAGGGTCTGTTAATTCTTATATTTTTCTTTACTAATCATTTTGGATTTTTTTCTTTGAATTATTGGGCAGGGAAGATACTTATGTATGGAAGATTATTGCTCTAATTTGAGTGAAATAAAAGTCATTAGTGCGAGGCAAACATAACTCATTTGAGGATAAAGTTTGTGTTGGATATGTGGTTCCTGATGCATTTGGACTTGTCTTTTTAAATGCTTTATCTTTTTTTTTAAAGATTTATTTCAATACAACTAATTGGGACCACCTGTATTTCAGTAGGACCTGGGTAGGGATTGGAAGTACTTGGCAGGGCAGCAGCAATCTTGCTGTGTTTTATGTAACATGCATCCTTGGGCAGGTTGCCCTTAAATCTTACACTGTGGTGAAGGGATGATTTTTTTTGTAATGCTGCAGTAGAGTTGGAGTACTTAGTTCTCTTCTTGTCCAGTATATCTAATAAGTATTTCATATTATTTCCACATAAGGGAAATAAGGGAGTACTTTTCTTTTTATATTTCTATGCTTAAAATTCTCTTTCCTAGTCAAAAATTGCCCAACTCTGTGTTTGCTTTCTGCTTGTTACATTTTTCTCCCTTTTCTTGGGCTAAAGACAGGCTTTTTCCACCAGCATCATCACTGCTATCATCATTAACAGCGTAATTATACAGGCATATTTAATGCTGAGTTTAATTTAATATGTAATACATATGGTAATTGTAGGGTAATACCCACAACAACTGTAGTTACTTTCTTGGCCATGAGAATGCTTATTTAAGTGTTAGACTTCCATTCTGGCAAAATCTTGCCATATCAGAAGACATTGGAAAGAGGGATTTCCTTTGGTGTCTGGTCTTCTACTTAGAAAATACCTATTGCAGTTAGAGTTTATCTTGTAGTATTCATCTTTGTATTCTGAAGATAATAAGGTTTGAATTAAATTGATATATCCAGAAGGGAACCAATTTTTTTGATCCAATGTGAATTATAAATGAGATAATCCACAGTTATTCATTGTGGAGTTGTTGAGACTATGAAAGACTCATTGTCTTTGTATTCAGCTCTTCCTTAAATAGCGTAACCATACCCCCACCTCTGCTTGCTTTCCTTCCCTCCCCTCCAATGATAAAGAAAATGGTAAATTTTCTGTTGTGCATTCAATTCTTATTTTAAATAAAACTAAGTATAGGCATTGTACCTGACATTGCTACATTTCTACCAATGTTTCAATTAACGTGCTAGTGTTTAAAAACATTTTCAAGGGATAAGAGCTTCCGTACTTTGCTTATTTGAAGAATCAGTGGTAGGAGCAGTGAAGTAAATTCTATGGAGTACATTTCTAAAATAGCACGTTTCTGAAATCACAAATAAGTTTACTCAGGTTCTAACCCTTTGCTGTACCCCAGCAGACAGAAATGCGTATGTTACATAAATGAGAAAAAGCTATTATGCTGATGGAGCATGCTTTTTAAATCCTTTAAAAACACTCACCATATAAACTTGCCTTTGAGCTTGTGTGTTCTCTTTGTTAATGTGTAGAGTTCTCCTCTCTCAAAATTGCCAGTGTGTACTTGGCTTAACTCAAGAACAGTTTCTTCCGGATTCCTTATTTGATTTATTTAACCTAATTATATTCTAATATTGCAAATATTACCGTAAGTGGGTAAAAGTAAAATTCCTCTTCTGAAAAAAAAACAAAAACAAAACCTCTTTCCTTTATAAGTTATCCAGTCTTATGCTTTTATTAGCAGGGTGAGAACGGACTAATACAGTAACATTGGGTCATAATGAACATGATAAGCAAAGCTGAAAGAGTTAGTTAAATTATTCCAGGGATCACGTCTATCCTATCAAACTTACTTTTTTCCTTTTGGGAATCACTTTTAAAAATACAAGGGCTTTACATGTGCGTTACTCATTATAGCAGCCATTACAAGCATATTCTGAATCTGACATCTAAGCAACATTTTGACATCTACGACCTGCAGAGTTGAGAGGCACCAAAGAGACCATTTCACTTCACAGGTGGTAAAACTGTGGCCCAGGTAATGTGCGTAAACTGTTGAGGATTTCATGGTTTGAACTGGAACTTCTGTCTATTAGATTGAGTGGTATCAAATTTTATTTGGAAGATGAATATTGATATCTTACTCTGCTCTGGGCTTATTTAAATTCATATTAAGAAAAAATTAAAATAAGCCATATGTCATGGCACACCAACAGAGAAATATCAGTTTTCTATTAATAATGTTTACATTTTATAATGTATCAAGGTTTTCCAAGTGTTTTCTAAGCGAGCTCAATATTGGAAAGACAGATATCACTTTTAGAGAGAAGGAAACAGATGTCCAGAGTCACCAAGTGACTTGGCCGAGGCCTCACCATTTAGGAAACAGTGAGAGCCAAGTTCCACACCTGTGTGGTGACTTATTCTCTGGTCCACTGCACAGATGCCTGGGACAAACCTCACCAGGTTCTTCCTTTCAAACCTGATGTTTTTTCCTGGATGATGAAGCATTTTGTCTACAGGTCTGTATATGTGGAAGAGAGAAAGGTGATTTTTTTTTCCTTAAGTCATTCTCAGAGCTTTTATCTCTCTAGCAGTTTCTGACCTTCACCTCCCTTCTTCTTCTCACTCATTTTCCTTTCTTATCACATATTAGCTCTAGCGTTTTCAGTTTTTATCAATACATTTTGTAGATTTTTATAGACTAGTACAGAAGTTGCCAAACTATGGCCCACCGCTTGTTTTTTAAAATAAAGCTGAAGTAAATAACAACGTCATTGAGATACGATTTATGTGCCAAAAAATTCGCCCTTGTAAAGTATACAATTTAGAGGTTTTTAGTATATTTAGAGATTTGTGCAATCATGACCACTGTAAGACAGTTCCATCACCTGGAAAGAAATCCTATATGCATTGAGTCACTCCCTATTATCCCAGGCCCCACCTAACCCTAAGCAACCACAAATCTGCTTTCTGACTCTATGAAACTGCCTATTCTGAACATTTCAAATAAATGGAATTATACAAGATATAGTCTCTTGTGACCAGTTTCTGTTAGGTAGCATGATGCTTTCAGGGTTCATCCATGTTGTGGCACTCATTGGTACTCCATTTCTTTTTATACTGCTTAAAAGTCCACTGTGTGGACATACCACGTTTTGTTTACATATTCATCTGTTGATGGACCCTTGGGTTTTTTCCATCTTTTGACTATTATGAATAATGTTGCTATGAACATTCATGTACAAATTTTTAGGAGGGCATGTGTTTTCATTTGTCCTGGATATATACCTAGCAGTGGAATTATTGGTTCATATGGTAACTCTGTCTGATATTTTGAGGAATTGCCAAACTTATTTTTCAAAGTAACTCTACCATTTTACAATCCACCCAGCAATGAAATGAGTGTTCCCATTTCTCTACATCTTTGCCAAAACGTGTTATTTTTCATTTTGCTTTACAATACTTTTGGGAACTGGTATTTTGTCCGTCTTCTTTATTTTCATCATTTTAGTGGGTGTAAAGTGTATATCATTGTATTTTTTATTTGAATTTTTCTATTGGCTAAGGATGATGAGCGTTTTTTCATGTGCTTATTGGTCATTTATGTATCTTCTTTAAACAGATGTCTATTTAAATCCTTTGCCCTTTAAAAAATTGGGTTGTCTTTTTGTTGCATTCTATGAGATTGTATATATATATGTATATACACACACACACATACATACACACACACACACACACACACACACACACACACACACACACATATATATGGATATTCAGGAACCAAATCCCTTATTAATGTGATTTGCAAGTAATTTTTCCCATTCTATGGGTTATATGTTCACTTTATGATGATGTTCTTTGAAACCCCAAAGTTTTGAATTTTTGTGAACTCCAATTTATCTATTTTTTTCCCTTTATCACTTGTGCTCCTGGTGTCATATATGGATTGAAACCATTGCCTAACCCAAAGCCACAAAGAGTTACTCTTATATTTTCTTCTATAAGTTTAATAATCTTAGCGTTTATATTTAGGTATATGATCCATTTTGAGTTGATTTTTTATACCTGTGAAGTAGTGGTCCAACTTCATGTTTTACATATTGTTTGTTTGTTTGTTTGAGATGGAGTCTCCCTCTGTTTTCCAGGCTGGAGTGCAGTGGCATGATCTCGGCTCACTGCAACCTCTGCCTCCGGGGTTCAAACGATTCTCCCAAGTAGCTGGGACTACAGGTGCTTGCCACCATGCCTGGCTAATTTTTTGTATATTTAGTAGAGACGGGGTTTCACCGTGTTAGCCAGGATGGTCTCGATCTCCAGATCTCGTGATCCATCCACCTCGGCCTTCCAAAGTGCTGGGATTACAGGTGTGAGCCACCATGCCTGGCCACATATTGTTTTAAAACAACAATTTTGTAAAACATCCAGTTGTCCCAATGCCATTTGTTGAAAATACAGTTTTTGCCTCCGTTGAATTATCTTGTCATGCTTGTTGAAAATCAATTGATATAAGTATTATTCCCTTCCATTTTAATAGCTGGCCTTAACATTCCCATTCATGATCTTATATTTATCCCATTGAAGGCAATACCGCTGGCTCACCCTTGTATAAACAGATCAAAGAGAGCCTGTCTAAAAGTTTCAGTGTATTTATTTTTAAACTTGGAGAAGGGAAAGTCTTTCTAGGCAGCATAGAAAACCCAGAAGCTATAAAAGAAAAGATATACACATATGACTATATACAAATTTTGCATTTCTGTTTGGCACAGAAGAGTTCAAACAAAGGAAGACAAACAAATCTGGGGAATGGATCTGCAACAAATACGACAAATGAAAGGCTAATTTTCTTCATCTTTAAAAAGCCCACCAATAAGACATTTATAAATTAATAGAAAACCCAATAAAGAAATATGAACAAGTACATTTAAAAGGTGTTCAATATATCTCTTAGTTAACGCGATGCAAATAAAAATTATGAATCACCGTGTTTTTTCCTTAGGAAGGTAAACATTAAAACACTGGCTCATGGGAAGTGCTGCTAGTGACTGGCTGATGGGGTGGAGAACATCTATTCTCACAAATTATGGGGGTGCAAGTTGTTGCTACTATTATGGATTGTAATTTGCCAATGTTTGTTAAAATACAAATTGCTCATATTTTGATCTACAAATTTCATTGCTATGAATACTTGCTAGAATGAAGAAAAAAAAAACAAAAGGAAAACAAGCTTGGAAGCAGTCTAAATGTTTAATCAGGAATATTAAACAGTCATCAGGTAGCTTCATGTATCTTAATATGGAAAAATCTCTAAAAATATTTTCAGGGGAAGATTTAAAATACTGTAAATTTGGACATCATATGGACCAAATTGTATAATCTCCCCCCCACAAATCAGAACTTCCACAACATCATGTGTTTCAGAAACACAGACCATGAAGTGAAATCTCATCATACACACATTTTAAAAATGTAAATATAAAATAAAATGTGTAAAAACACAATGTAAAGGTAAACATGCCAAGTGAAAATTAAAAATTATAAATGCATTCGTATGTGTCAGCATAACATTAAGTCTAAGCATAGTGTGTATTGTTGCTGTTCTTAAAAGGATGCATTAAGTATCTGATGATAGTGATTATTGTTTGGGGGAGGGACCAAGAATGGAAAGATGTATGTACTTTTCATTTTATAACATTGCACACCACTGAGCAGCCTCATCCAGTGCAGGGTATTATTTTTAACCTTAAAAAATAGGGTCAACTGGGGCCAGGAGCGGTAGCTCACGCCTGTAATCCCAGAACTTTGGGAGGCCAAGGCGGGTGGATCGCGAGGTCAGGAGATCGAGACCATCCTGGCTAACGTGGTGAAACCCCGTCTCTATTAAAAATACAAAAAATTAGCTGGGTGTGGTGGCAGGCGCCTGTAGTCCCAGCTACTTGGGAGGCTGAGGAAGGAGAATGGTGTGAACCTGGGAGGCGGAGCTTGCAGTGAGCCAAGCTCGTGCCACTGCACTCCAGCCTGGGTGACAGAGCGAGACTCCATCTCAAAAAAAAAAAAAAAAAAAAAAAAAAAGATCACTTGGGATTATTTGAGTGGTGGGATGATAAGCCAAAATTTTCCGGCTTTCTAGATCTCTGTATTAAAAACAAGTTATAGTTGTTTTTTTAAATTAACATTCTTAAAATACCTACCAGTTGTAGTTTACTAACTGCAGTCAAATTTCTAAAGCTTGTTAGGTGATGGGGCTGCTAGAAGCCATGTGCTTATGAGACAATGCATTCAATGTTGACATTCATCATCTGCTTCTTTTTAAATAATTTTGGTAAACTATTCCTAACATAAAATTTACAACTTAACCATTTTTAAGTGTGCCGCTCAGCGGCATTAGGTACATTTACATTGTTGTGCAACCATCATCATCCATCTCCACAAGTCTTTTCATCATCCCAGACTGATACCCTGTCCCCATTTAATAATAGTTCCTCATTCTTCACTCCGACTCCTGGCAACCACCATTCTGCTCTTCGTGTCTATGAATTTGGCGGCTCTAGGTACCTCACGTAAGTGCAATCATGCCATATTTGTCCTTCTGGGACTGGTTTACTCCACTTAAGATAATGTCCTCAAGGTTCATCTGTATTGTGGTGTGTCAGAATTTCTTTCCCTTTGGAGACTGAATAATATTCCACTGATGTATGTGGCACATTTTGTTTCTCTGTTGATCCACCGATGAACACTTGGGTTGCTTCCACCTGTTGGCTATCGTGAATAATTCCGCCGTGCATATGAATGCATAAGTGTCTGTGTGAGACCCTGCTTTCAGTTCTTTTGGAAATATGCCCAGAAGTGGAATTTCTGGATCATGTGGAAATTCTGTATTTAATCTTTTGAGGAACCGCCATACTGCTTTCCACAATGGCTGCACCGTTTAACTCTCCTACCAGCAATGCACAAGAGTCCCAGCTTCTCCACATCCTTGCCAATGGTTATTTTATGTATGTGTCTGTGTGTGTGTGTGCGTTTTCTGATAGTGACCATTCACATGAGTGCAAGGTGATATCTCATTGTGGTTTTTATTTGCATTTTTATCTGCTCATTCTTACAGCAAACATTCACTGCCAGCACACAGGTGCCAAGACCTGGGACACGCACTAGTGCCCAGAGGGGCCCTGCTGTCATCGCCCTCAGAGTGGGG
The DNA here is from genome assembly GCF_000001405.40 of Homo sapiens. NCBI lineage: Eukaryota > Metazoa > Chordata > Mammalia > Primates > Hominidae > Homo > Homo sapiens. The sequence continues at coordinate 12,032,111 of NC_000002.12, forward strand.
TGGGGGTACTGATAACCAAATGCAAGCTGGCATTACCCCTCCTGGCAGGCAGTGAGGGGTAGCCTGCACGTGGCACTGTGGGGACCCTGGGGTGGTGTGATGCTGGCTTGCTTGGTCATCTCCAGGACTTCCTAGTAGGCTAGAGACAGTGAGTTCCAAACACTTAGGAAAAAATTATAGAATAACACTTAACAAAAAATTATAGAATAACACATAACAGTGAGAAATTTCTACTCGTTTACTTATTGTTCTCCCTGCAAGCTGGGAAAAGACAAGCATTCTTTGATTTTGCTGTTAGAACGTGGGGTTCCTTGGAACAAGTTCCAAGCACCACAGGCTTAAATGAAACATGTATTTCCACAGAGATGAAAGAAAAGGGAGGGTAAGATATCTCCTATGCAATTGCTTTGTATGCAGCCCAGGCTGTGAGGAGGAACAGTTTAGGCAACAGCAACACCACCCCCTGGCATTTGCAGAGGGCATTTAACTCTTCAAAGCACTGCCTCATAACCAAAGGAGGTGGCGTCCATGCGGAGAAAAGGTTATCACTTTTTTTTTTCTTGGCCTATAATTACTCATGTGCTTCATGCACCTGGTGGAAATTATATTTAACAGTACATGCAAATGCTTATTTCCTGAATGAATTTACATTTTCTTAGCTACTTTCTACTGTTCCCTTAATGTGGGCTTTATTAACCAGTTTTTATGCATTTTTGTTGATGTTAGCTTCTTGGCTAGTAACATTCTCATTTGGAGCTATCTTGGAGGTAGGACATAAAATGTATATGTGTTTATAAGTATAACATTCTTGAAAAATCAGTTATTAAAAAACAAAACAAAAAAGATTTTATAGCCAGAGTAGTGGAAGTCTAAGCTTCCACTACTTTCTTTTTAATGTCATTGGTTGATAGGTATTATACAAGTAATTGCTACCTTTAAAAAATTGATGAGGTTTAGTGTTTACTCCTGCTGAGTGAATTTTTTTCAGGATACCAAGCATTCTTTCTGTACTCTGAGTCATAGGTCAAAAAGTGGCTCTTAGATTCATGTATTTACTCTTTCTGAAAGCTTCTGCCTCCATTGTGGCATTGTAAAAGTGTCCTGGCTTTTTTAGGGGGAAAGGGAATGGGTGTGATGCTTTCTTTCTGGAAGCTTCTGCCTCCATTGTGGCATTGTAAAAGTGTCCTCGTTTTTTTAGGGGGAAAGGGAATGGGGTGTGATGCCTTATAGGTGAAAAGATTTCTCTTATTCCGTCAAGACACAGGAGGTCTCAGAATGGTGCGAGTTTTGGCAGCCTGACTGGTTTCTTCAGGCCATGGGAGGAAGATAGAGCAGCAATGTTCAGGGACCTGATGTGCTCAGAGAGGCTCCCAGAGCACTGCGTCCACTGCAGGATCTTTTTGGTTTTTGATTCATTCAAGAAATATGAATTTATTATCTCTATTACGGGTTGACTTCTGTCCCAACAAAAGTATGCTGGAGTCCTAGCCCCAGGTGCCTGTGAATGTGACCTGATTTAGAAATTGGGTCTTTGCAAGTATAATGAAATTAAGATGATGTCATATGAAATCAGGATGAGCCCTAATTCCATATGACCGCTGCCCCTCTAAGAAGAAGAGGAAAGACATAAACCCAGACTCAGAGAGGACATCACGTGAAGATGGAGGGAGAGGTGGGAGTGACGTGTCCATGAGCTAAGGAGCATCAGGGACTTGTGGTAAATCCCCAGAAGCCAGGAGAGAGGCAGGACGTGGATTCTCCCTCAAAGCCCGCAGTAGTAACCAAGCCTAAGACACCTGGGTTTTAGGCTTCTAACTTCCAGGACTGAGAGAGAATAAATGTCTGCTGTGTATTGCCATCAGGTCTATGGTGATTTGCTATGGTAGCCCCAGGAAACTCAGACAATGTCCAATATCCCAGATGCCACTTGGCACTGAGAAGCGTTAGGTAAAGGGGACAGTGTCTTTGCCCTGAAGAGGTAACACCAATGGAGGAACACACCCATGGAATGGGGGCAGTGGGTCCCATGTGGAGGATGGTAGGCTTTGGAGTCAGACCGAAGCAACTTCCAGTTGGGAGCTGATTTTCTTAAACTTTTTGGAGTTTGGGGTTTTTCCTTTTTACAGTGCAGGGCACCAGTGTCCTTCTCATGGGATTCCTGGTGGAAGGGTGAACACAGGTGTGGAGCTGAATGAGTTTGACCAGGGCCCAGCCTGCCGAAGGCCCCCAGCTAACACTTGCTATGGAAGGCCTGGACACACCGTCCTCACTCAGGTCATCCATTTAGAGTCAGTCTCTGCTCTTTCAAATTCACTTTGGTAGTTTTTGTCCTTGCATGGTGTTTATTTAAGGAACCATTCGGTTGGTTGAAACCTCACAGCATTTAGGTTTTGGCTCAATGCATTGGAACAATCTAGAAGGTATTTATAGCTAAAAACGTTTGTGCACCCCAAACCACATTATTTTACATCTCCTAACACTTGAACGAGCTCTGGTTTGGTTTGGATCTTTAAACCTTCTTGTGGTGTGGAGGAGAGTGAATTTTCCAACATCCCTCTCTCATCTCTGTAAATATCTTGGTCCCACCCCATCCAGTCGTCCCAAGCTGCGGTCTTCATCAGGTGACGCACAGGCAGCCCGATTATAATAACGTGGGCAGATGCTGTGTGAGGAGCCTTGATGGCCATTATTGGCAGATATTGGGCAAGACACTTTAATAGCTCACAACCTGCCTTTGTCTGGACTCACTTCAAGTCCTTTAACAGACACCTTCTATGGACAAAAATTGGTTTTCATTTTTGGGTCTTGGCAAGACAGAAACACAGAAAAACACATTTCTTCTGTTTCTTCTATACACCTGTGTAGGAACAAGCCAGGATTTATGAAGTTTGTCCTTTTTGAAAAACTCATTTTATTCCTAGCCAATATCATGACCTTAATGTGCATTCCAGCAATATCTCCAAAGGCAGCAGAGGGAGTGGGCCACGGAGGCATCAGTGCTGCCTCGTCGGGGACTGAAATCAGGCCGGAGCAGACAGTGGAGAAGGAAATATTTGGAGAAATAAGAACTGTGTTTTTATTCTTTTGTTGCCAGAAAGCCAAAACCGAAGCTGGAATTTTGTGGTTCCAGCACTTTTTGTGCCTCCCAGTCATTTTTCACAGATGGTTCTGGTTTAAGGAGAAGGCACTTTATCCACCAGAGGGAACGAGGCCCAGCGAATGTGCCCAAGCTGCCCATTCTCGTGCCTTGGTTTACTCTGCAGCTGGAGAAGATGAGAGCTCAGAGAAGATGGCTCAAAAGCCACCAATTAGGATGCAAAAAGGGAGCGATAAAATTACTCTGCAACAATGAAACTTGAACTTTCCTTTACATGATGTCACCTTGGGAGCACCAACTGCAGAGTCAGTCACGTGCTTCCTGGAGCCCACCTCCTACAAAGCTGAAGCTCACGTTTGGGCAGTTCTCAGTTTGCTTCTTTCTTTTCATTTGCTTCTGAGCAGCTTGGTGCCTTGCCATGCATCAAGACTTTAAGATAAAAGGGGCATAGCAAAGGTGGAGGTGGCATCACCTCTTCTCTTCACTGCTGAGTGGGTGAAGCCTTTCCTGACCACGTGTCTCTTCAGCAGCCCCTTGTCACACCCAGTCTTTGGCCCCTTCTCACCCCTCATCACCTCTCCTTGAAATCTCCCACCTTCCTACCAAGTGAGGTGGCTGGGTGTGTCAGGAAAGCTGGGCTGCCCCTCGTACATCATTGCAGCTCCCCTTTCCCCACCAACCCAGCACTGTGGAAGGAAGCCCACGTCTTTCTCAGCATACTCCTCTGCGACGCCTGGGCCATTTTCTTTGTCTTGTGTATACTGACTTGTTGGCTTTATTAGCAAGTTTCTCCTCCCTTTTCAGCATCCAGCACAGTTGTCCCCTCCTCTAGGAGGGCCTTTTCTTTCATTCCTCATAGGGTTGACACCATTTCTTTATGACAGCTCTTAACACTTTTAGGTTCTAGTTATTCACTAAAGTTTGGACTGTGGATTTCACTCCAGGGAAAGCATGCTACTTAGTGCTGCATTCTCAATGGCTAGTCATATGTGGTGCATAAAAAGGAGTCAATAGCTGGTTCTTACAGCCTTATAGATAAACTTACAGATTAGAGACTTTCCTCTGACATATCCAATTATCTATGTGGCTTTAACTTTCAGGCATGTGTCACCTGACCTAGTGCAGCATATCTCATTGAGTTTAAAATTGAGAAAAAATGGCATAGGTTCCACTTATACAGTGATTTGCAATTCACATACTTTCATGAAAGCTTTGATTTGGGGCCTTATCCATGGGAAACAGGAAGGGCATACACTCAATCCAGGAAATGAATATTGTCATCCCCATTTTACAGATGAGAAAACTGAGACTCACAGCAGTTTGTTGATTTATTCCTAGTTACAAAGAGAGTAAATTCAGAGCTGGGTCTTGTACCCGGGCCATCTGAATCCCAGCTCAAAATTTTTTAACAACATTGTATTGTTGTTGTTACAAAAGCATAACAATCATTTTGTGGGTTTTATAAAATAAAAGAAAACCACAACCCTCCATGATAACAACCATAACAAAGCCCTTGAACACTTCGGGGCAGATGCTATCTATATTTACGGGTGTAGCGTGTGCTGAAATGCCACTGGTGTGTGAGCAATACCCAAAGCCCGGGCACACAGGACCGGCTGTGTTGGGCAAACATCGTCACAGCTCATCGAACTCAAAGATTTGCAAACATAAAACATTTTCCAAGACTTGTCTCCACGAATGAGTGAGCCAAGCCCCTGGGGTGTGGCTATGTTACTCCATCAAAACAAACCCCAAAGCAGACCTTGGTGGGGTTTCAGGTCTTCTATTTGGGAATAAAGGTATGATTCATAATTATTTGGTCCAGGTGTGCAAGTGCAGGCCAGACCTTCCTTCAGAGCCAAGCTGGGCTGATGGACTCTAGCATTCCTCTTCTACAGGCCCTTATAGTGCCATTTCCAGGTTCGCTTTGGGCAGAGATGCAGGGGAGGCTATAAAAGCCAAATTCGCCATTCAGATGGTCTGTGGTTTATTAAGTGGGTTTAGATGACGTCTCAATACTTATGGGTGAGATCTTTTGGATCCTTAGGTTACCCCAGGTACTTAGGTCAAAGGCGATCTTGGCCCTCTGTGGGTCCTTTAAAATAAGGCTCAGGGAGGGTCACTCTATGTCTAATTGAGCCAGTGAACCCAAAGCAACATGTTTGCGTTGGAGAAACTCATCAGCAGCACCTGTACCTGGTCCCTACTCATGTCTGGGCTGCCCAGTTCTCCTCTCCCCTTTCCCCAGCTCAGGCCCTATCAGTTTCCTCCTTCCTTCTTGAACCATGTCATGTGACTTCTCCTTGAACAAACCCCAATGGCTGGCCCAGCTCCCTGACTCTACCCTGCCTCTTAAAATATCAGCTGAGCTGAATGATCTAAGCACAGCCCCAGACTCAATTTATCCTGGTCATACCTGAGAGCCATAACCTTGCCCCAAACCCTCTCCACGTAGGGAGACAGCAGAACATGGAGGGCAGAGTCCCATCCTGGGGACAGATAGCCTGGGATGAGAGCCCTGGTTCTGCTCAGGGTGATGTGTGTGGTTTTCGTCACACCATTACAAACCTTGGCTTTGTTTCTGCATCTGTAGATGTGAGGCTGTGCAAATAGCAGGGCACATCAGGGGTCTGTTTCTGTTCCTGGCTACCTGTCCCTGAGCCACACCCTTTCCCTTCCCTATGCCTCAGTTTACTCCTTCATGAAATGCAGCTTATAGTACCTAACCCAGGGGTTAAAATATATACCATTTTAAAATGTAACTATCAGTATTGACCAATCATTGTCCTGATTTTTTTATAGTGTACTTTTCTAATCATATGTTTTAAAGCCAAGAGAACTGGTTGAATGAATGTTTATTTTCCTGAAGGTATTTTTAAGATAAAGCTTCCTAATGGCCTATAAACGTTTCATATATGTGTAGTTTGATACATATTGTCACATTTGAAAATCATGTGAGTTGAAACTGGTTTTATACAAAATATAAAATAGTGGAAATTTTATAATTACAATCATGTAATTAAAAGTATTAACTAAAATATGTATGTATGTGTCTATATATATACCATTTACGTATATATATATACCATTTACAAGATCATAGATTTGGTAGGGATTGAATGAGATGATGGATAGGAAGCACTTTTTGTAATATCTGTGTTTTAGTCTGTTTGGGCTGCTGTGACAAAGTACCATAGACTGGGCAGCTTATAAAGAACAGAAACTTATTTCTCAGAGTTCTGCAGGCTGGAAGTCCAAGATCAGGGTGCCAGCAGGGTCAGGTTCTGGTGAGTGTCCTCTTCCAGCCTGCAGACAGCTGTCTTCTCATGATGTCCTCACATGGTGGAGAGAGGGCGGGACAGCCCTCTGGGGTCCCTTTAACAAGGGTACCAATCCTATTCATGAGGATCCCACTCTCATGACCTAATGGCCCCCAGGTATCCTGCCTCTTAATACCACCATCTTGGGGTTAGGATTTCAGCATATTAATTTGGGGAGGACATAAACACTCAGTCCATTGCATATCTGTTTCATAGTAAGGACTCAGTAAATGCCAGTTATTTTTATTCTCATTATTAGGGAGGGCTAGGGCCTGCCTGGGAGAACCAGAGGTGGGTGGTCAGCTTCGTCATGACAGAAGCAGGAGCCACCAGGGCCTGTAAAAGGAGAAGGGTCCAGGTCAGGTGGGTGGAAGGCTGCAGGGGTGAGTCAGGAGAGGGTGTCACCTGCAGTGGTCGGATCAGAGGCAGCAGGGCTCTCATCCCCGGCTGCTTGTTGAGGATGGAGGGGCAGGAAGTCCTAGGTGGAAGGATGGAATTCTGGGAGCAGTGTAGTTGGGTGGGGGGCTGAGGGCAGGAATCGAAGCCAAGGATGGGTCTGGATCTGAGAAACCACAGGCAGGGAGATCAGGGCCTAGCAAACTTTGAGGACACCTTTGGTGTGCCAGGTACTGTAGGGTGTGAGGCACAGAGGAGAGGAAGAGGAGGGCTCCACTCACCTGGGAGGACTCCAAAGCCAAGTGCAAGTGGCCTAAGGGGTCAGCCCGAGTCTGAATATTAGGAAACAGAGATCCCTGATGTGTTTTTGACTAAAAAAATCATTTTATGGTTTTTCTCATTAAAAATAGTAAGCACAAAGTATTTCACAGGCACACGTAGGAGGGGCTATATATAAATGTATGCTATGATGACAAAAGAGTTTGGATTCAAAGGACCAGAATTCAATGATGTTACTCTTTGTGCAGACTTGGGGCTCTGTTTCCTTATCTAGTAAAAGGGGATAATGATAAGGTCATTGATTTGTCTGGTCATTTTGACCATTACATGAGACAGAGAAGGTGAAAGTGTTTTGCACACTATGCCACCCAAATGCTAACTGTCATACTTGAAGATCTATTTTTCCTTCTGAGAGATAAATCATACATGTTTTTAATCTCTGCCCTCTGTTTTCCCTTTTACAGTTCTCAGGTAGATGCTACTGTCTGCTTCTCTCTCCATTCAGTGATTATAAAATAACTTGGGAAGCTAAACAGCCTGTAATTTTCCTAACTCAGAACCTTGGTAGCCTTTGCTCTGTGAGCTGGGAATTTTAGAAAGGCTTCCAGAAAATGCTCTGATTTTCTGCGGTTGTCACTTTGATGGGAGCCCTTTCCCAGCTCGGCTTGTCCCTTCCTTTCAGAGACCTAGGGAAAGAGAACTCACACTGGTGGAGTAGGGATGGGTGCTGGGCACCTGCGCACGGGGTGTCTGGCACATGTGACTAAATGAACCGGAAGCTGAGTGGGGGATGTGCATGGCACAGGACTCGAGAACAGGTCCGCCCTGAGGGAAACTGAGTCAAACTGAGGACCAGCCCTTTGTTTCAGGAACTGTTCTCCCTTTCCCATATGAATATCTCGTTCTCACTCTGCAGTAAAATGCATCTCTCTCCCACTGTCTTCCCACACCTCAGTTTCTGATCAGCTCTGGCCCGACATTGGCGTGTGAGCCAATCATGTGTTTACAGCACGTTGAGGTGGATCACGCTCTGTGGTGCTTGGTGTTTTTACATTTTTGGCGACCTTTGAAAAAAAGAATAGACAAATGGCCCTGGCTGCCGAAACAAAGTACCACAGGCTGCATGGCTTAAACAACAGACATTATAGAAGCAGCAGAGACTCTAGAGCCTGGGAGTCTGAGCTCCTGGTGTTGGCAGGGTTAGTTTCTTCTGAACCTCTCTTCTGGGATTGCAGGTGGCTGTCTTGTCCCTGTGTCCTCACGTGGCCATTCCTTTGTGTGTGTCTGCATCCTAACGTTTCTTTATTTTATGCTATTTTAATTTTTGTGGATACATAGTAGATGTATATACTAATCTCTTCTTGCAAAGGCACCAGTCAGATTGGATTAGGACCCACCCTAGTAACCTCATTTTAACTTAGTTACCTCTTTTAAGACCGTATGTCCAAATACAGTCACATCTGAGGTACTTGGGGTTAGGGCTTCAATATATGTATTTGGAGGTACACATTTCAGTGCATAACAGAATACAAAATTGTGAATACAAAATGGGGTTTGGAGCTTTGGAAAGGTTCTGCCCAAGTGAGGGGTCCTGGAGCCTAAGCCTCACGGGCTTCCTTGTAAATTGGCTTCCGAGTGGCAGCAGCCCTTGGCTATGACCATGTTAGTGGGGTGTGGGGGAGCAGTGGGAACAGATGTGTCTGGAGTGTCATGTGCGGATCAGGCAGGTGTTACCACCTGAGGGCAAGGAAGGGGACCTGCCAGCCTGCTCTCTGTAGACTCATTTTAGTGCATAAGTAAGGATGATTGAGGATGCAGGTGGATTTTCTGAAACAATAAACCCATCAAAAATGAAACACCACCACCATCACCACCACCATTGAAACACCTATGAACTTCAAAGCAGAGCATCTTCCATGAAATGCATTTCTTTCCTTATGGACTCTACTACTTCTTGCCCTATTCACAACATGGCCAGAGCTTTACAGAGTAAAAATAATTCCAACTGGAGAGCGCTTAACAGTTTATAAGGCACCCTCGCATCCACACCCCACCCATCTTCTGAGACAGGTGTCAGCATTCACCTGTACTGCTGGGGAATCCCAGGCTCAGCAGGTTGAAGTGACTCCCCCATGCTCCACAGTGAATGAGTGCCAGGGGCCCTGCACCGCATGTGCGTCTTAAGGGCTGAGCTCTTTTTACTACTGTACACCATTTTTCTTTGTGTGCCAGGGGCGATGTCTCTAAAAATAAATCTTCATGCTAATGGGACTATCATGACAAAGCAACAGACACTCAAGCCTTCAGGCCTGGAATCCGGGCCATAAAATTAAGCTACATGAGACGAGAGAGTGTAGTTGGTTACAAGGGAGTTGGAAATTATCAGAGATCTGACCAGCCAAATATGAATCTATGGAAATATTCATTTATTATCAGTTTTTACCCTGCCTAAAGTCACAGTGGATAGGATAGTGTGGCCTAGCCAGGTAATTGAAACGTTTCAGCACATTGGGTGGATCTTGGCCTGGGAAACTAAGACAAGACTGAGGAACCTCAAGGAAAACCAAAATGGGGAATAGGGTATGATTTGATTCATGCCAGCTTGATTCATGTTAACTATACTTTGCAGTAATTACTCTAATTAGTGGTTTTGAGCATGATGAAAGAAAATAATTGTAAGTATTTATGGCTGGTCAGTGGGTTACAGATTGGACAATCAAGAAAAGTAGACAATGAAACATGGTATAGCTGAGTTTACTCCATGCTGTAATTAACATTCAATGCACTCATCATTATGTTCATTTGGTGACAGCACAACATTTAGTGTGAGTTCAGGAGCCACGGCAGAGCAGCTTTGAAGGCAGCGTCTCTGGAGTGACTGATCTTTATGCCCCAGCCTCTATGAGGGGAGCCACACAGTAAGAGAAGGCCCATGAAGATTGGTTGGTTGGTTGAGGGAATGAATGAAATCATGAGATCCACACTATTGAATTGAGAAAGAATGGACAACTTTGTTCTACATGTGAAGCCCACCACCCAGGCTGAGCAGACAAATATTGAGAACAAAATGAAATCCGGAAACGGTATGCTGCACTTAGGGCAAAAGTGACCTGGTAATTTCTCCTTCATGAGTCCTTAGTAAAGGGACTTCCTAGAGATGTGCTGAAGTAAAATCATTTCCTGGATATGCCCTCTCCATTTCCACCTTTGCTTTCATACATATTACTTGTATGACTATGCTACTTCCTCTGTAAAGTGGAGCTAAAAGAGAACCACCTGGTAGTTCTGTCGGGATTGAGTGAGCTCACATGCATGCTGTCCACTCTGGGCAGGAACACAGTAGACGCTCAGTGAGTATCGGTGGCTGCTCCCCAGCATTCTCACCCCATCCCCGTCTCCTCTTGCCCAGGCTCCTGGAAATTCTCCTTTGTTCCCCACACATCTTCAAGTCCAGCTCAAGCCCACAAGTGTTCCCCAGCTCCCCTGCATGCATCCTCTCTCTTCCAAACAGCCCCATTCTCGGTTCTGAGTTGGGTCCTAGTTGGATGTACTTAACCTTGTTCCTCAAAGCACTCTCATGGGACAACAGGAATCCCCCCCCCTTTTTTTTAATGTTTCTCTTTCACTCAATTCTTAACGGGTGATTACAAATTGGTTAGATCCAATTAGAGAATCTTGACGTGGCCACTTAACTAGCTATGTGGCTTAGAGTCCACCACTTTCTCTCTTGAGCCTCAAGTTCCTTGTCTGTAGGAAAAGGGATAATGATTTCTACCTTGCAGGGTTACAGTGATTAGAAATAGTGTTTATCAAGTGCACAGTACAGGTTTTAGCACATATAAGAGGCTCCACACGTAGTAGGTAATGATGATGATGATGATAACAATAATGATAGAATAATACAGCAGCAACAACTGATGTTTATTGAGCTCTTATTATATGTCCGACATTTTCAAAGAATGTTTCTCATCTAAACTGTCTTAATTTGGATAAATTCAACTACAAAGAATGCTGGACCAGGTTGGGAGTGGTGGCTCACTCCTGCAATCCCAGCACTTGGTGGAAGGATTGCTTGAGGCTAGGAGTTCAAGGCTACAGTGGGTTATGATTGCGCCACTTCCCCCCAGCCTGGGCAAGAGAGGGAGAGATGCTGTCTCTATACAAAGAAAACAAGAAAAGAAAGAAATGATACTGGACCTTGCACAATGCTTTTATGGGAAAGATGATGCATCTTGATGGAAAACAAATATAGGAGTATTTAATATGTGCCAATTGGTTTGCATATGTACAAAGCCAATCACCAAAACCATAAAACCAGCAATAATGAAGAATTTACCAAGATCCCATAGCTAGAGGAGAACACAGGGTCAGAATTTAAGCTCAGGTTTTTCTCACCTCAAAGTTCTGCTCTGAGGACAGGAGTGGTGCTAGGAGAATAATGCAGGCTTTACCCTGTCCCTAAGGTGCAGGGTCAATAGTCCAAATTGCAGTGTCTGAGGGATGTGGTAGAGTTTAGCCTGATTCAGGCTCTATTAGCCCTCAATGGACCTAGGGTATGAGGGCAGATACTAGTAGGCAGAATGGATGTTGTAATACAGGTGCATAAAAAGCTTGGGCTTCCAGGAGTTTGGTGCCTTTGAGAAGCTCAAGGCTGTGTAGACCTTGCCAGGGATGAGCTTCAGGTTTTGGAGTAAACTTCACTGAAAAGACCAAGGCACATGGAAAAGTATTTGGAGAAACAGGTGTGGTCTGTGGTGTGAAGGAACAGATCAATGCTAAAACTCCGTCTCTTAGTCAGTGAAACTAAGTTGCCTTCTCCACGGTCGTCTAAGGAATTGGCCAGACCTAAACTTACAGGACAGCCTAAAGCTCACAGGGTGGGAGTCATGTAATTCACATGGAAACTCTGGGAGGCGGTAGAATCACTTAGTTCCTGGTTAATGGAAAGGGAGACTGAGGATCATGGAAGTGATATAATTTTTCCAAGTTCATAAAGCTTATACATGTGGAAGTGTGGGTTTGATCCAATGTTCTTTGCTCTTCTGCTTGAGTTATTTGCCCTATTCCAGAGATGGGAAAAGGAATTCCAGGAGACAGCATGTGAAAAAGCTGAGGACTTGGAAGGGTGGCTGGTCAAAATATTCATTTGACAGGATCAGATAAATGGATTTTTGTGTGGAAAAAATGAAAGAGGAAGAAACACCAAACACTGCCATTGCTTAAGAACTTCTCCAAGTGCTCTAAAACTGGAGATGTGTCTAGTCCTTTATGGTAAAATATAGGCTGTCTGGGCTTCCATCTCCCCATATTGGAAGTAATGCTTAGGGAAGCTTGGTCTTGGGAGCCAGATGAATTTGGTTTCAAATTTGAGTTCCACTATTTACTAGCCTCTCTAGACTCAGTTTCTTCATCTACAGGGAGAATCATAAAGTCTACCTTGTGTGGATTGGGATCAATATAAAGAAATCACTTAGCCCTTCTTGGTGCCCATGAAATGATAGTTGCCATTTTTTACCATCATGACCCTCTATTTAGGAGGAGCAAAGAACATCTAGGAGATGATAGAGGGTCATGATGAGTTCTAGCATCTAGGAGATCACAACAACTAAGGGCTCCAAAAGGGAGAGAGAGATGAAGAGGAAACAGGGGAGACAAAAAAGCAGTATTTCAAGGAGACAAGAGGAATCTATTTTCACTTGTCATTTGCATGCGTGGAAGGATGAACACCCCAGAGGGTTTCTGCTGCTCCTGGCTAGGCGTTGCCGCTACTGGCCTGCAGAGGATGTGGGCATACCCTCAGTGCAACAAAACAAAACAAGTTCCCTTTCCTTTGGACCGTGATTAAAGCCACTGTGGGTGTGCTTTGCATGTACAAAGCGTATTTTCAATTGAGATCTTCAATCAGCATCTCATACAATTTGAGAAGCAGCCTTAAGCCTACTGCTAAGCTTGCTCAGGACTTGGCAGGGAGTGAATTCAATGCCAGCTCTACATACGGCGTCTACAGCTACGATTTCAGCCAGGGCTTTGGAATCTTCAGGTTTGGTGGAGCTGTCTTCTCCAGGGAGAGGCTCCTAGTGGCCCATAATCTGGATCTTTGCAGCTGAGTTAAGAGAAAAAATATTAGTATCATAATCTGCCAAGGAGTTTGCGGCCAAATGCCAGCTCTGACTGCTATTCATTCATGCACTTGATAGACATTTGCTGAGTGCCTACTGTGTCCCGGGTCCTGAGCCAAGTGCTGAAGGTTCAAATATAGTATTAAAAATAGCAAAATGTAGCTGCCATTTATTGAGTACCCAGTATGTGCCAGGCCCTGTGCTAGGCAATAATAACGTGAAGTGAGAACCAAGAATAGTGATAATTTTCACCACTTTTTAGTCATTTTCAGCTGGGTACTCAAGTTTTGCTCCTGTGTTTACCCCTCACACAGCTTTGAGAGGACGAATCCTAGTTAGGAATTGGTTACCATTTGCTATCCCTCAAAAACCTTTAATTACTTGTCACTTTTCCGTGAAAAAGTCATTAAAAATTTATATTTATTTCAGACGAGATGGGGCACATTCAGGGTGGTCTGGCTGTAGACTAAAAATTTGTATTTATTTCAAATAATAAGTATTCTTCAACAGTCATAATCTACCACTTCTCTTCTGGGATGTCTTCTAACTGAGAGAACCTTGAGCAGTCGCTGGGGCTTCCCATGCTATCCCAGTATCGGCCATGTGTCCGTGCGGCACGGGCAGATGGTTTTCCGGTCAGGTGTAACTGAAATGTATTTTCTCAACACAGTCTGGCAGGCAATGCAGTCTCCACAAATGCATATCACATCTCATAAAGAAACCATGCATATTGCATGAGCTCCAAATGTAGAAACAGATACTCATAAAATACAAGCCTCAAAATAAAACCGAAACATTTCAAAACAACAGCAGTTGCAACGCCACCAATTTATTTATTTAATTTTTTTTTTTTTCAACAAGATCGTGAAACAAATCCCCACAGTCCCTGAGCAGAATCTGAAAATCCCAACAGCCCTGGTGAGGGTTTGAAATGGGTCCTTCTTGTAGGTGGGGGAAGCAATAGACTGACAGACTCAGATAGCAGTTTTGTTGAGCAAAATGTCTTTTCCTGATCTGGAAGCTGGCAAAGATGAAAGCAAAATCAAATAGCAGTTTTTCCAGAATGGAGTCAGAAGGTCCTATTTTTGCAGATCCCATTTCTGAATGGTTTGAAGTCTTGGTAGCTGGGGCTACCTGCCCTGGTTTGGTCGTTTTCACTCTCAGTTTTGAGGTGACACAGGGCAGGGGTCTTGTTCTGTTTCCTCCCAGGTGCCTAGTGCAGTGCCCAGGACCTATGGCTCAGTGAACATCTGTTGGATGCTTTTCCCAGCCCTGTCCCCAGCTGTTCACTCTAATTCCATTCCCTCCTTTCCCGTTTTGGAGCACGTATTGCTATGCGAGTGAGAGTGACATTATGATGGGGATAACCTTTAATGTGCTCTAATTTATGAAAAAAGTAACATTTAAAAAGTTGGTACTTTATTATTAGTGCTGTGGACATCTGTTGATTTTGGATTTTTAGCATTCCTTTCCTCTTACAGTAACAACCACCTCCTTTCTGTTGGGAAATTGGCATTCCTTTCTTCTTGCCCCAGGGAGCATGGGTTGCTCTCCCCTTTACATGTTCTTTGCATCCCACACAGATTAGGCAGTTTCTGCAACATTGTAAATCACAATTTTTTTGTTTTGTTTTGAGATGGAGTCTCATTCTGTCGCCCAGGCTGGAGTGCAGTGACACGATCTTGGCTCACTGCAAGCTCCACCTCCTGGGTTCATGCCATTCTCCTGCCTCAGCCTCCCCCGAGTAGCTGGGACTACAGGTGCCCGCCACCATGCCCAGCTAATTTGTTTTATTTTTAGTACTGATGGGGTTTCACCATGTTAGCCAGGACAGTCTCGATCTCCTGACCTTGTGATCTGCCCGTCTCAGCCTCCCAAAGTGCTGGGATTACAGGCATGAGCCACCACGCCTGGACGTAACTCATTAATTTATTTGCCATTCTTTCTACTCCCTGGTCTATGTGCTTATTCAAGGTGAAAATGGTGTGTTATTTAACTCCGAAGTCTCAGCACATAGTGCAGGATGCCTGGGTGCAGTGCAGGTGCTTGGGGAATGCCTACTAATGTGAGTCCAGTACATTTTAATGGGCAGGAGGGATACTACTGACTTTCCATCAATTAGACACCACTTCAAGGAGCTTCCCAGCAGTGGGTGACGTTTGCATGGAGCCATCCTTAAACTCTCTTGCCCCTGTTTAGGTTTTGCTGCTGGTTCTGCAGTTTGTAGTCACAGACCAGAGGAAAGCCACAGGTAACTGGTAGCCAAGGGCTTAGAATCTTCAGGGATAAAGGTCTGGGTCACCCATAGGTCACCTGCAGAGGTGCAGGTCAAGATAAGGGAAAATTAAAACAGATGCTGGATGTGATAGTTTACTTTATCTGTCAACTTGGTAGGCCATGGTACCCAGATATTTGGTCAAATACTAGTCTAGATGTTGCTGTGAAGGTGTTTTTAGTTGATATCAATATCTAAATCAGTAGACTGATCTAAAAGAAGCAGATGATCCTTCCTAATGTGGGGTGGCCTCATCCAATCAGTTGAAGGCCTTAGGAGGAAAAAGACTGATGTCCCCCAAGGAAGACAGAATGCTGTCAGCAGAGAGCTTTGGACTCAGACTTGATCATCAGCTGTTTCCTGTGTCTCTAGCCTGCTGGCCACCTGCAGATTTTGGACTTGTTTGTCTCAGTAATTACACCAGCCAATTCTTTAAAATAAACTCTCAATCTGTATGTATATCTCCATCCATCTATCCATCCACATATCTATGTATGTATGTAAGTGTATCTATCTATCATCTATCTAATCTATCCATTCACCTATTATCTATTATCTATCCATCCATCTATTTACCTATTTGCTATCATCATTTATCTATCATGTTTCTATCTATTCTCTCTCTCTCTCTCTCTCTGTCTCTGTCTCTCTCCAGTTTTGTTTCTTTGGAAAGCCCTGAGTGATACCCTGGAAAAGAGGGGTGGTGAGTATCATTTACAGCCAGGAGACAAATGGGAGCTGTGGGGATTGTATTTTGTACCATAAATCCCCTCATTTAGGTTTTTCCAGGGAACAAGACAAATCAGTACCCTGGAGAAGCTGTTCCCTGAAGGGGCAAACTTACCAGAGGAAGCAGGTGGACCTGAATGCCACAAGGGGTGGATTAGGAAAGATTGTGCTGTTCAGCCTGAATCCCTTCTCCAAGGCCAACATGCCAAGTGCCTAGCTGCTGAAAATACCAACCACTGCCGCTGGTTCACAGCCCGCCTCACTAGGAGTTGCCCTTGGCTGTAGGGAGGGAATGGCCTTAATCAAGGTTTCATCCCCTTTAGAGGGTAGCTCCTGTCATGGCCAACTGATGCAGAGATACAAAGCTGTAGGCTCTGTGCCTCAAGCTGGGATCTGGAGAAGGGCAGTCGTGGCTCCAGAGCCCCCTAGAGGGCCAGTGAGGGCTCAGCGAGGACTCAGTGGCAGCTGCATTGTTGCTTGGTTTCCCCCTCTTCCCAGACCTGCTTCTTCATTTCCTTTGAGGTGTACCTTCAAGAAGCATTGCTCTGTAGTGTGACTCTCTGCCTCAAAGTCTGATTCCAGGGATCTTGATCTGGGACAGATGGTTGTTAGCATGTTACTTGGCACCAGCAGGTACTCAAGGAATGTTAGTTTTCTTCTGTTATGGCCTTAACCTACTCTTAGAGACTGTATCAGGAAAGAATTTCTAATGGCTTTCACCTTTTTTTTTTTTTTTTTTTTGAGACAGAGTCTCGCTCTGTGGCCAGGCTGAGTGCAGTGGTGTGATCTCGGCTCACTGCAACCTCCGCCTCTCAGGCTCAAGTGATTCTTCTGCCTCAGACTCCCGAGTAGCTGGGACTACAGGCACACGCCACCACACCTGGCTAATTTTTGTATTTTTAGTAGAGATGGGGTTTCACCATGTTGACCAGGATGGTCTCGATCTCCTGACCTTGTGATCCACCTGCCTCAGCCTCCCAAAATGCTGGGATTACAGGCCTGAGAAACCGTGCCCGGCCAGCTTTCACCTTTTATTTGTAGTGTCTATTTGGTAGCAATGGTCCCTGTCATTCAGTTTCAAAGGGAGTTGACTTCCTAACTTAAATTCATCTTTTCCTGCTTGAAGTGAACCCTTATTTCTCCCATCCTGCACTCTCCTTTTTTACACCCATGCACACACACACACACACCTCTTACATCGACTACAGCAATCAACCAACAAACATCAACTGTAGAAGAAGAGTATAATTGTTTCAATTTGTGTTTCTGAATAAAGTGGTTTCTAGATAAAGTTTGCATTTGACATAAGATTGTCCTTAGAATTTTTTTCTCTCAAACTAATTTAGAGGAGTGGAAAGAGATGGGATGAGAGTTACACTTAAGTTGCAAATACCTTTTCTGTAGTGCTGGGACAAAAATAAATCCATGAAGTTCATGGGTTAATAAAACATCTTGGCAGGGCATGGAGGCTCACACCTATAATCCTAGTACTTTGGGAGGCTGAGGTGGGCGATCATGTGGAGTCAGGAGTTCGAGATCAGCCTGGCCAACATATAGTGAAACCCTGTCTCTATTAAAAAAATACAAAAATTAGCTGGGCGTGGTGACACATGCCTGTAGTCTCAGCTACTAGGGAGGCTGAGGCAGGAGAATTGCTTGAACCCAGGAGGTGGAAGTTGCAGTGACCCGAGATTGCACCACTGCACTGCAGCCTGGGTGACAGAGCAAGACTCTGCCTCTCAAAAAAAAAAAAAAAAATCTTGCAACTGATTTTAATTCACTCTTGATTCTAAATTTCATCTCTCCTTTTTTTTTTTCTGTCTGCTTACTCAAAGGGATGTTTTGCAAATTGTAGAACCTTCAGATTGACATCAGTAAACAAACAACAACAGTTTATGCTACTTTGATATTTCGAAATACAAATTAAATGCTCTGTTTATCTGTCAGCATTGAATCCAGTCATACTAATTATCCTCTGGGAATTCGATAGTTTTAAAACCCTTTTACCGTCAGAATCCAGAGATAAAGGTGGGGATAAAAGGAGAGAAGGCAACTTGCTTAGTATCTTTTGCTACCAAACACCTCCAGTGACAGCACCATTTACTCTTTACCTCAGCATTGACAGAGGCAGAGTTGGTCTCCTGGAAATGAATTTTGCTGCAGTTGCTGCTATTACTATTGTTACCGTGGGGTCGCTCCTGTTCCTGTAAATGCTGAAAGCTACTCTGGATTCGTAGCCCAAAGCGAACTTCCTTCTACACACACTCACTCTGGTTCCACCACAGCTGTGCTGGTGCAGATGTGAATCATCTTTGCAAACAAACTGAAGATTATTTCAAGAGTTAGTCTAATGAGTAGTGAATGTGGGCTGATTACTGTATTTGCAAAGAAACTTATTTTTTCCAACATCGTGCTAAAGAACAGACTGGTACTTCCCATAGGCTTATAAAAGTAAGTAATCAACGTGTTTGTGTAAATATTTAATGATGTCCACATTCACATTCATGAATCAATGGGCGATCATAATTGCTTTTGTGGGATGTGATAGACACAAACTTAAACAAGAACCCACCATATCTTAGCAAGCTTTCTTATGGAATGTAGAAAAAAATATGGTGATTAGAGAAACATTTCTACCATGTGAAAAAATCTTGCATAAATAATTTATACTTCGCTGGGCTTGGTGGCTCATGCCTGTAATCCCAGCACTTTGGGAGGCCAAGGTGGGCGGATCACTTGAGGTCAGGAGTTCAAGACCAGCCTGGCCAACATGGCAAAACCGCATCTCTACTAAAAATATCAAAATTAGCAGGGCATGGTGGTGTACACCTGTAACACTAGCACTAAGGAGGCTGAGGCAGGAGAATCACTTGAACTGGGAAGGTGGAGGTTGCAGTGAGCTGAGACTGCACCACTGCCCTCCAGCCTGGGCAACAGAGTGAGACTCTGTCTCAAAAAAGAATTTATATTTGGATACATTAAATTATATATTTATCTTTATTTGTAACATTTTCTTTGTGATTTAGTTTCATAAATCTAAGTTAGATCAACTTGACTTGCTGATTCTTCACCAGGTGCTGAATTTATTTGCTCACAACTTCACACTCATAGAACAGGCACTTCTTGATCCTTGGCTGTGTAATATGGTTCAAAGTTTAGAGTCACAGAGAGACCTGGCTTTGACTTCCAACAGTCCTGAGTTCAAATCAATTTCTCTGCTTGTTAGTTGTTTGACTTTGGACACATCAACTAAGTCTTTGTGCTTCACTTTCTTCACTTATAATATGGGGGTTATAGTCACCTAGCAGAGCTGCTGTGAGGATTAAATGATGCAGCAATTTCCGGTATATAGTAAGTTCTCAATAAGTGGTTGTTTCTTCCCGTTTCCTTTAGTGTACCTGGAAGCTTTTGTAATCCAGATGTGAAAGAGAACCATAACATTCCCTGAGAAACTTCTGGTTTATAGTAGTTTGGGAAAGCCAAACTTTATGTGAATAAGAGAGAGAGGAGGGGATACTGTGATATTTTTGGCCGGTGATTTCTAACATGTTGGCCAATTAATACTCCTTCAACCTGACATACTTTTTCTTGCCTTTAAATAGTCCATGTCCTACCACCTCCTCCACCAAGCTTTTCTTTTATGACTCAGACAGCCAACATTGCATAAAACTCATGCCCCTCC
The DNA here is from genome assembly GCF_000001405.40 of Homo sapiens. NCBI lineage: Eukaryota > Metazoa > Chordata > Mammalia > Primates > Hominidae > Homo > Homo sapiens. The sequence goes on from NC_000002.12 coordinate 12,052,008, forward strand.
AAACTTCCATGCATCACTCTCCAAACATCACCATCTCCTATTACAGCTGTTTTCAGTCTTGGCTTATGGTCTTTACTGAAATTATGCTTCATGAGAACAGAGCTACTTCTGCTTCATCATTGCACCCAGAGGACCTGACGAGGGACCAAACATGGCAATTGTGTGGGGCAGAGGGAAGTGTGGGTTTGGAGTTAGAAGACTTGAGTTGTGATTCCAGTTTTATTGGTTGCTGTGTGATGTCAGGCAAGTCCTATACACTTTCTCAAACTATGTTTCTTCATCTATAAAATGGTTATAATAATCCTACTGGTTATAATTTTTTGTAAACTTCCTCAAATCCTATTCCAAAGGAGGTACAATAGAAATAAAATGAATGAAATGGTTCCTACTGTATCTTCATTATGACACTATTGGACACTATAGGAGATTATGGTTGTGGAAATATATTTGATAAGAAATGCAGTACACATGCTATTTAGGGTTATTAGGAACTCATTAAATATTTCCTGAATCAATGTGTAATGGAAATAAGATTTCTTTTACCTGCTGGGTGCGGTGGCTCACTCCTGTAATCCCAGCACTTTGGGAGGTCGAGGCAGGAGGATCACAAGGTCAAGAGGTCGAGACCATCCTGGCCAACATGGGGAAACCCTGTCTCTACTAAAAATACAAAAATTAGCTGGTTATGGTGGCATGTGCCTGTAATCTCAGCTACTTGGGAGGCTGAGGCAGGAGAATCACTTGAACCCAGAAGGTGGAGGTTGCAGTGAGCCGGGATTGTGCCACTGCACTTCAGCCTGGCGATACAGCGAGACTCTGTTTAAAAAAAAAATAAAATGGATCTTTTTTACCTTTTTATTTTATCAGCCTAAAAAGGAGGGTGATGGATTGACAACACACTTGGAGGGAGAGGAGAGTGACTCTTGGTAGAAGAAGACAGCTGTCAAGGGAAGGTAGCAGTGTCTGACACATGGTGTGTGTTGAGGAAGTATGTATTGAATATGCTGAATGAGTAAACAGCATAGTGATTGGGAAAGTATCCTGCAACACCAACCAATGTTGAGACAGAAAAGGCAGCCAATGCAAATCATTGATGAGGCACTGATGAGGGACTCCTTCCCGACTCTGACATTCCCTATCCTCCTGCATTATTTCTCTAGAGTATACTTTGCATCTACTTATGTGTTCATGTCTTTGTTTATTTATCTGATTAGTTAGTTTGATGTCCATCTCCCTTACTAGGTGATAAGCCCTAGGAGGGCAGTAATTTTTGTCTATTTTGTTCACTCCTGAGTCCACCAGGTGCTCCAAAAATACTTTTAGAATAAATGATTGACTGATTCTTTTGTATTCCTTAGGTAAGGAAGATTTTCAAGAACCTCTTGGGGAACTGTGCAGTTATAGTATATTTCAAATGTCCATCTGCTCATTAAGATGGAAGAATAAATAATCATTGAGAAAGAGACTTACAACCAGATAAAACCTTTTGTTGGAACAAACTTGTGAATTTAGGCTGATAATATTAAAAAGTCCAGAACATAAAACGTTTGGGGCTGTACATTAAACACTCTACACTAAAGTCATATGCAGGTTGACATAAGGTCACAGACAAGAGCAGGGATGTCTTGCAGGTTGTCTATGGAGAGATGGGGAGACCAAGAACCGAGGTGTGAGTCCTGATTCCATCCCTCACTAGTTATGTGCTCTTAGCCAATTTTTAAGTTTCTGAGCCTCAGTTTTCTTATCTGAAAAGGAAGTATAATATCTCCTTTATGGGATTGTGTTAGTCTGTTCTCATGCGGCTAATAAAGACATACCCAAGACCGGGTAATTGATAAAGAAAAGAGGTTTAATTGACTCACAGTTCCACATGGCTGGGGAAGCCTCACAATCATAGCAGAAGGCAAAGGAGGAGCAAAGTCATGTCTTACATGGTGGCAGGCAAGAGAAAGAACATGTGCAGGGTAACTCCCCGTTATAAAACCATCAGATCTCATGAGACTTGTTCACTATCACGAGAACAGCATGGGAAAGACCCACCCTCATGATTCAATTACCTCCCACTTGGTCCCTCCCATGACACACGGGAATTATGAGAGCTACAATTTGAGATTTGGGTGGGGACACAGCCAAACATTATCAAGGAATTTTCATAGTTAAGTAATATTATTTATATTTGTACCTATATGTATCACAGCACATCCTTAAAATATAATAAAGTTATTGTTGTTATTTTATAAAGCAAAGCTTTATAAACATATATCATTATAAAGTCAAATGATATATGTTGAGTCAAAAAACTTGGCTCATTTTCCCAGTTCTGCCACTAAATAGCTGTGTGGCTTGGATCATAATATTCAGAGCTAAGCTTTGTTGAACTCTTACTATGTGCCAGGTTCTGAACTCAGGGCTTTCATGCATTGTCTCATTCAATTGTCATAAATGCTCTGAGTTGGTGGTTATTTCCCTTCTGCAGATAAAGTAAATGAGGCTCAGGGAGAGTAAGAAAATTTCCAAGATCTGTCTACTAAGAGCTGGATGTTGGTCTGGTTCCCAACCTGGAGCTCATAAGCACAGCGCTCTACTCCCTCTAGTTCACCTCTCTTGGCTTCACTTTCTCTTTGTTTAACATGAAAGGAGATGGAATTAGCTTACCAGTAAGACTTTAAAAAAAACACTAGCTCTTCTGTGAACTAATAAGGTATAGACACCAATAACTGAGGCCGACAAAAATTTCTTTCCATCCATATTTTTTTTTTCCAGCACAACTCCAGGTGCAAAGTAGACGCTCAAACATTGCTAATTGAATTAAACTAAACAAATATGTAAAATCATGCAATCCTGCCACAGACACTTACCCATTACTAGCTAGATGTGTGCTTCTCAAATCTGAATTCACGGCCTCAAAATCCCAAGGAGTTATGGATTCCAGTGAGAAACAGTGACCCGGGCCATTCTGGGATGGTTGCCCTTTGAAAATCCCCTCTACAGGCATGCATTGAACACTACTCCATGCCAGGTCCTGGGCTGGGCTTCAGGGATACAGTGATGGGAAAGAGCAATCCCTGCAGCAAGAGCTCCCATGGCGTGTGCTTGACATGTAACTGACACAGTGCACTTGGGTGGGCCTAATGTAAAGGAAAAGAATGGGGCTTGGGGATTACAAGGGAGGGTCGTCTAAGTGAGAGTTGATAATGCAGAGGGTGAGAAAAAGCTTCTCAAAAGCCTAAACACAAACAACCAAGCCAAACCCCAGCATTGGTGAAATGCCAGTTGGAGTCAGGAAAAAGGAAGGAATTATAGGCTATTTTAAAGGGATAGCCCTGATAATTTTGAACCCACAGCTGCAGTGACTGTTCTTGCTTTAACAAGCAGATAAGTCATCTGAATTCAACAGGGACCAGAGTTTTTGAATTTTTTTCTTAATTTGTTTTATGGTTTTAGCTTCTTTTTCTTGAATTCTATTCACACTTTTCATTGGCTGAGCCACACATCCTTTCTTTGTAATTGTTGAAAGGATTCTTTTGGCCTTGAATATAATGATTATAAATTTATAGAACTCAAATTACTTGCATTTTCCCATATGAGAATGATTTCGCTCAGCCATTATCTCCTCTAAGAGGGCTTCCTCCAGCCCTTGCCCCCTGTGGTTAGTTGTGTTCCCTTCTGAATGTGTATTCACCATCACAGTTCTCATGAAGGATTGTAATTGTCTATCTCTCTGTGTTACCCACTACACTGAACTCAAGGAGTATTTGCTGAACCAAAGTAATCCACACTCCTAGGTGTACTAGTTTCCTAGGCACAAACTGGTCGGCTGAGAACAATCTAAGTCCATCTCTCATTTCTGGAGGCTGGACATCCAAAATCAAGGTGCCAGCAGTGCCATGCTCCCGCTGAGACTCTGGGGAGACTCCTCCCTTGCCTCCTTTTAGTTTTTGGTGGTTTGCTGCAATCTTTGGTGCTCCTTGGCATGCCAATGCATCACACATGGCCTTCTGTCTTCCAATGCATCACACATAGCCTTCTGTCTTCACGGGGCCGTCTTCTTCCTGTGTCTCTCCCCATCACTTTCCCTCTGCATGTCTGTGTCTGTGTCCATATTTCCCTTTTTCATGTAAGGACACCAGTCACTTGGATTAGGGCCCACCCTAATTGACTTTATCTTGGTTAAATCTGCAAAGACCCTGTTTCCGAATAACGTCAATTTCTAAGGTACTGGGGGGTTTGGACTTGAACGTATCTTATTTTGGGGGGATATCATTCAACCCATAACAGCAGGCTAGGGATGGATTATGGGATTAGCAAGAAGGTTAGAATTGCAGGGGACTGCAATGGACATGAGGTGGGGGCTTCTTGAGGTCCTCACCTGAGCAGGGAAGGGTCTGGGAAGAGAGACTTTAACTAGAGGCTGAGCCCCACCTTCTGAGGATGTGATGCAGAGGTTCTGCCTCAAATCCTGCCGGAGCATTGCTTTACAATTAATTCTGGAGCCCTGCCTGCAGCTCCAGTTTGTTAAATAGGACTCTGATACCCACTCAGAGGGTTAGAGTCTGTTCCTGCCTTCCATGGTCCATTCTGTACCTGAAAGTCTGAGGCAGCTGCTCTCTGACTTCAAGCATTCATACCAGATCACCTCTTGATAATGCTGGATCAGTTCAGATCAAGCCTGACTTCACACTGATGCTGTGGCCTCCCTATAGCAGTACATATAATAATATGGTTTCCTTAGGTTGAGAACCTAATAGATACATTTCCATTAGATACATCATTTTTGATCCTCACAACAGCCCCATGTGGGGGCTGAACTAGGGTGGGGTAGATACCATCTCCTTGGAATAGGAGAAAGAATGGCAGTCCAGTGAGTTTATATTGCCTTGTACCAGGGCACTGGCTAAGAAGTGGTGAGGCAGGAGCTTGGCCCCTGGTGTAGGTGACTCCACAGGCTTCGTGTTCCATCTGCCCTGGCCTGGGGGACAGCTCTAGGAAGGTTTTGATTCATATTCCTCTTGATACCTGAATAAATTATCCTTTTAAATGGCTACCCACCTCCCTTTAACTTTTGTCTTCTGGCTTCTCAGGCCAAAAGACAGGGGTGACCAGACTGAGACAGCTGGCTGAAGGAACACCGGTCTCTGCCGACACTGCCTATGTCTCTGGGTCTGAACTGTCTGCTGAGTGTGTGGGGGCTCTGAGATGTTCCTGTTCTCCACAGAGGGCCTCTGGCTTTCAAAGCTGTGGGGGATTTATCATGCTTCAAGGTAATTGGAAGATGGACCTTCCAGAACCCCCTCGAGTTAGTCCCTTCTACCTCCTATGAGACCCTCATCATAAATGGTGCCATGAAGGTCTCCTACTGCATGTGACCTCGAAATAAACCAAAGCAGTGGCTTGACAGGTGCATGTCCTTGCAGGCAGAATTCATTCAAGGGGGAGAGCCACAGAGGAGTCACTTTGGAGTCTCTGGGTTTGCAGTGGCCCCTCTGACTTCTTACCACCCACCCTGAGAGGCATGCAGGCTGGTGAAGCATGGACCACGCCAGCTGTTTCTGTCAGCTGAGCCACAGAAGGGAACCACAGGGCCCTGAGGGTGACTTGGCCAACCACAGGGGGCCGGCAGCAGGAGGGGCCGTGGGGACAGCAGGATTTGGGTTTCCGCTTTCTCACAGGCAGACTCAATTGATGGCCTTGGGGTCCTGCCGAGCAGGGGTGACTCAGCTTCCTTTGTGTGCATGGTCGCCTCGCTGAAGAGAGGGGGGCCCTTGACAACCCGGGGCTCCTTCTGCCTCTTCTCACTCCACTTCCTGCTCGAGAAAACCTCTGGTAATTTTTCCAGTCCCTGTTTACCTTAAAACTTGTCGGAAAAAACAAGTTCGCACTTCAGATTTCTACAGCATTTGACACTTTACAAAACGCTTTCTTACACACTGGTTCATCCAATGTTCACACCAACTCTGTGTGATTGTGAGGAGGCTATTGTCATCACAGATGAAACACACAAGGAAAGTGAGACCCAGCCAGGGTAGGAGATTTGTCCAAGGCCACAGGGCTTGTTGGTGGAGGGTTGACTCTGCTGGGAGCTTGAGTCCAGGATCCTAGGATACTCATCCAGGACCTTTGTACACTTTCTTGGGAATGCCTCAATATATTGCTCTTTCCCTGTGCTCATCACATGTTCTAAAAGCACTTTGTTGATTGAGTGACTGATCATAATCTTCATCCATGTCAGATGGATGCTTAGGGATTGAAAAGACATGAGCTTTAGAGACGCAATTCAGTTTCGAGCTATACTAAGACCCTTATTAGCTATGTGACGTTAGATACAGCACACATTCCCTGAGCTGCAGTTTCCTCTGAAGAAGGAGGCTAATAATGCTTAATTTCAAGGCAGTTCTGAGATTTATATGAAATGATACGTGTCAAAGGCCGGCTCAGTACTTGCTACACAGAAGGTGCATGCAATTCAAAGCTCTGTCATCATCCTCACCATCATACTTAGCTTCCAAAATTCAAGAGAGTTGAACTAAATCTCACAGATAGTTTCTTTATACATGGAACAATACCTTTACTTAGTAAGATTTAAAAATTTCTAGACATGAATGCACAAAATAAAGTCAAATATGGTCCTGGTTGATTTAGCCACTATAATTAAAAAAAAGAAGAAGAATAATACCGCATACGTGAATGTCCACATTCAGCTCTCCACATACTCTGTATGAAGGCTTTTCATCATTTCTGTAGACCTGTTTTGTATGGCTAACATTCCTTGCCTTCTTAACAGAGTAGAGCACACATCCACTGCTTTGGGGGATTCTCTGTGTTTCTTACTCTTCATTGGACCATTTGACTTTCTTTATCCCTTCCTCTTGCTTGCAAAGGGTTACAGGGACACTCATCAAGGTGGGGAAGGGACAGTAGGTCTGATTAATTCCAGACTCTAACATGATGCTCATATTTTGGGTAAATGCATAAGCAGTCAGGAAGATCCTTCTTTAAAAAAATACTCTTCCTTTCTTCCACCAACTGGATGTCTTCTGTGTGATAACAAATTATCTTTGAAGTTGAATATATGTCCAGGAAAGATTGAAACTATTGGTGTTGCTATCTTAAATTTCAAACTCCTTGCTGTTAGAAATTATGTTGTAATCATTATCATGTGCCTGTAGCCAGGTTCCCACTAGATTCTCAATGAATGGCTCTTGAACAAGCATGATTCATTCATTCATTCATATAACAAAAATATAGTATGAATGAACCACAGAAGTTCTGCAGATGCTTAAGATTGTATACTACTTTAAGGAGCTCCATTCTGGGGATGAATATCAATGCTTACGGAGGAGAGACTGGATGGAGACCAGGAGGTCAGGCAGGGAGGGGCACTGGCATGAATAAGGAGGCACTGGGTTCAAGGGGGAGACTGTGCATGTGCCAGGTGTATTCAGTGTGTCTTCGCTGGGTGCTGACCATGGGGTATGAGAGGTAGACCTGCCACCTCGAACAGCCCAGAGCAGAAAGCAAGAGGAGTAAGTCCACCTTGGAGGGGCTAGCAGAGTGCTGTGGGAGAGTGAGTGGGGCAGGTGACAAGGACAGTTCTGAGCATTCTAGACAAATTACTGGTTACTCAGGACAATTGCAATCCACACTCACATTTGGGAAACAGATGGACAAGATTAAAAACTGCAGAGAACCAGGGGATATGGAGAGCCTACCCACTAATAGGGACCTTGAATGCATTGCAGTCATTGCTGGGCTGAGTATGAAGGGTGGAAACACTTCTAGGGAGGGGATGTTTACTTTTGTGGTTTGGGAACTTGTCCCAGAGGCCCCTGCCCTGTCTCTTGGTGAAGAGGATTTAAATCATTAAAAATATTGTATGATTTTCTTCACAGAATTCCACTTTCATGAGGAGTGGGAGAATGTGTTTGAAGTCATACCCATTATTTATTATTTAGTGGTTTACTCTTCATTCATTTAATACAGTTCATTGAGCCTCTATCCTATGCTGGTCTTGAGCTGGGGGTTGGAGGTGAAAGATGGACTAAAGTCTGTCCCTGCACTTTAAGGATCTTTCAGTCTAGTGGAAGAGAGTGACTCATAAGTAATTATAAAGCACTGTGGAGAGTATAGAAGGGCAGATACATAAAGAAGGACAGAGAAGGGAGTGGTTAATTAGAATATTGGCTGTCAGGGAAGCTTTACAGAAGATGTACCGGGATATAAAGGATGAATAGGAATTTTCAGGTTGGGAAGGAGAAAGTAGCACTTTAGGTAGTGAAAGTGTCATGAATAATTGCACAAGGGCAGGCAAGTGCATGGCTTGGGAAAGAATGATTAGAGCAGTATAACTGGAGTGCTGTTGCCAGATAACATACAGGAGGCCCAGTGGGATTCGGATCTCAGATAGATGATGAATATGTTTGGCATGTCCCAAGTATTGCATGAAAAATGCTTACATTAAAGACATTATTTTCAGTTTATGCAAATGTAGATTTAAACCTGGTGTTCTGTATTTTTATTTGCTAAATCTGCCAACCATAGACTAGAACATAAAGCAGGTGAGACCACATCATATAGTTCTCCAAAAGTTCTTTAAAAGTGAGAGAGTTTCAACTTCAATCTTGTGGAGTGGCCTTAGGAGGTTTTTAAACAGAGAAGTGATATAGTCAAATTTCTGTTTTATAAATATTACTCTGGCTCCATGGAGGATGATTTAGAAAGGGGGGCCCTGGAGGCAAGATCATTAACTAAAAAGAGAGGAAAGGGATTCTGAATAAGAGCATCAACTGAGGGATTTTCAGGGCACAGGCTTGACATATTTTAGAGGTAGGACCCACGAGGACTTGCTGAGCAGGAGAGCATGAGGGGTGATGTTTGTGCTGCCAATCCTTTCTAATTATGGCTATAATATATTTGTCCTTGAAAGCTTATGACCTTCTGAACGTTCACTGCCAATAAAGATGTTGGAGAGAGAGTCCTCTGGAGACCAGGAATTCTTTGCCATTAAGCACATAGCTCAGCTCTCCATTTCTTTAAAACACATACTCTGGCTAAACTCTGAGCTAGATAATCACATCTTGATTAAGTGGCTGCGTCCATGCTGGGTACAGGTGGAAACACTTAGTGCTATAATGTTAGACGGGTCTATAAAAAAGAATGCCTTCCATACGTTCTTGGGAGAGATTTATTTTTCAAAAGAAAGTGTATATTTTGGAAGGGAAGAGGCGTTGTTTATTTCTGGGATTAAATACATCTCCAGGGTCATAGAATATATTTGGGTTCTTTAGATATGTTGCAAAGAATTCACAGAATCCTGGTAGAGAGACCCCTTGGTTACTCTCATCCTGTTCCAGTGAGGGAAGCTCAGCCCAGAGAATAGTTGTGACCTGCTCCAGGTGGCCGAACTTGGATTAGAGTAGTGGATTCATGATGCCCAGTTAAAGTGCAATGTGAATTGCACAATTCTTAGGCTTTGTCTAAACATTTAGAGTCTGGAAACACAGTGCCATTCTTTTTCTCTGTAACTACCAAGTTACAAAGAATTTCTGTAACTACCAAGTTACAAGGAATTTATCCTTGAGATGTTTCCATTTGAACTGAAGTATTGATACAAGTTGCTTTTAAAAAAGGGATTTCATGAAATTGTGTTATTTGGAAAGCACTACATCTTTATTCCCCTTGACAGTCCTCTTGCAATACATTGACACAGCCTAACTTCTGAAGGTTTTCAAAGTTTTTAGAGCATGGAACAAGAAATGTTTATATAAATAGGAAATAATGGCTATTTGTTGAATGCATTTTCAGTTGTGGGATTTAGACATTTTGGCTAAGGCGAGCTTTCCTTTTAATAGATCAACTTTCAGGGCCAAGTTGTGTTTAAAAGAATAAAGTGAAAAGTATTGTATTTACATTTCAAGAACAAAATGTCTCTCCTTCTTAGAAGTTTTAGGAATACTGCCTGGGGCCACCGCCTGCCTTTGCTGCATTAATTCCAGGGAGAGCAGACCACAGTGACTCCTTCCCTCATTAGGGTTTAAGAGATTTGTTTCCTATAAAAGACTCAGCAAAATCCCTCCCTCCTCTCCTAAACAATGAAATACTACAACCAAACAGCTCCTGAGCTTTGTGTTATCCACTCCACATTCAATCCTCATGGCCAGTTTGATTTTGTTTTTAATATTCTGATTCACTGGGTATCTTTTACATCTTATGCACAGCACCTCCCAGCCCTTTCCAGAAGGAAAGGGTGAAAGAAGAGAGGGGTCAGGTTTCTAGAGGGAGGTGGTCATGGGGCCAATTTTTCACTGGCATCACTTCAAAACCACCCATGTTTTCCTGACATTGCCCTAGTCCCTTCAAAGAGATTTAACGCATCACTCGTCCCTGCTAATGAAGATGGAAAGTATTGTAAACAATAAATGCTAGTCACCAAGTGAGGTCTTGAGACAATAAGGACCCTCAGATGACTCTTAGGGATGGTACAGAACACACTCTAAATAAACCCATCCACGGCATATTAGGCCTTTGCCAGCATCATCCCACACACCTGCCTCTGCCAGGTTCCCCTGTTATAACCCACCCATTTATTCAGCAGTCTTTCCTGAGTACTTGCCATGTACCAAGCAGTGTTCTAGGCACTGGAGATATAGAAATGAATGAGACATTCAAGCAGTAGCCAAATATTTCTCACCCAGGGATCTACGGATACCCAGGGACCCCAAATTCTTAGCTATGAATTCTATGAGAATTTAAAAAATTCTTCTTTTCTTTTGACGGTGATCTAAAAAATTTACATAAAATATGGTCTGGATCGATTGGATGGTTATCGTTACACAGTCCTGCTGCAAGACCTTGATGTCTGGGTTGACCTCTGTGTTCTGGGTCCTATCAGAGCCAATGATTGATAACCTGACTGTTAATCTCCAGTGCACTGTCCATCAGGTTGGGGGTTAGTGGACATATTCTTGAGCTCTGCCGATGTTCCCTTTCTTTGAACAAGTTGCCTATGTCCTCAAATTTAAGAAGCCCTGGTATAGTATTGGCACAGAAGGATTTGTAGTCTCTTGTAGCCACCACATTGTTCCCAAACTGTGGTCATACTGGTCTTGAGGGAGTCAGAAAAATGGTCTCCCAAGGATGCCTGTAACCTAATACCTGGAATCTATGTCACATGACATATTTGCAGGTGGAAATAAGGAGATTAGCCTGGATTATCTGGATGGGCTCAACATAATTATATAAACCCTTAAGAATAGATGAGGGGTATATACCCCAAAGAGTTAGAAACAGATACTCCAATACACGTTCATACCTGCACTAATCACAATAGCCAAAAGGTGAGAACAACCCAAATGTCCATTGACAGATGATTTCATAAATGAAATGCAGTCTACACAAGCAATGGAAAATGATTCAGCCACAAAAAGGTCTGAAGTACTGATACGCACCATGGCCCGGATGAACCTCTCAAACAATACGCTAAGTGAAAGAAACCAGACATAGAAGACCACACATTGTGTAATCCCATTGATATGAAATCTGTAGAACAGGTAAATCCATAGAATCAGAAAGTAGATTGGTGGCTGCTACGGGCTTGGGAGAGGAGGGAATGGTGGTTTTATTGCTTAATGGGTCAGGGGTTTTACTTAGAAGTGATGAAAATGTGATTTGCACAACATCGTGGATGTAGTAAATGTCCCTGAATTGTTCACTTTACAGTGGTTAATTTTATGTTATGTGAATTTCACTTCAATAGAAAAAGAAAGAATGGAAGAGATACAAAGAGGTGTCGGTCAGGGAGATGCAGCAATAGAAGCAGCGGCAGGACACATCCCAAGTGTGAGAGGGACTCACCCCTTTGCTGCTGACTCTGAAGATAGACAAAGGGTCCAAGCCAAGGAATGCAGGTGGCCTCTAGAAACTGGGAAAGGGTCTCAGCTGACAACCGTTAATCAAATGAGGACCTTAGCCCAGAACCAGAGGGAACTGAATTTTACCAACAACCTGAATGAGAGAGAAAACACATTCAAACAGGATGGAATGCAGTCCTCAGACACCTTGCTGTTAGCCCAGTGAGACCTGTACCAGACCTCTGACAAAAGAGTAAGACGATCATACATTTGTGCTGTTGTAAGTCACTAAATCAGCTATCTTTTTTTACAGCAGTGATAGAAAATAAATAAGGACTCCTACCTAGAGTTTTCTTTTCTCTCCCGTTCATCAGGCAAGCCCATTCTCTGCATGCTCTGACCAGGCACCTGCGCTCTGAGGGCTTCAGTGGAGTGGCCAGGCTTGGCTGGGGACCCGCCCTCTGTGCTCCCGAAGCCCTGGTGTTTATTTCTGTAACTACACCTAACACATGGTATGCAGCCTGTTGACTTACTTGCTGTTCTCCCTACATTGCACTGGGAGTTCCTGAGGTTATCACCTCCTCGCTATTACTGTCAACACCCTGTCCACATCCTTTGGTCTTAGTCCAGATGACTTTCTGTCATTGGCAAGCTAGTTGAGGTATAGTTAACAACTCCCCATCTCCCCTCAGCAGTTCTTAGCTGAGGCATGATGGAAGTGGGTGTATAAATACCCCAGCTCTTCATTCCTCAAGTGGGATAGCTCAGAGGCCTGTGTTCTATATCACTTTTCCCAAGCTTCCCTGCTTTATTAAGCATCATTCACTCACCGTATTACCAGGCTTAGTAACACTTCCAGGGCTGGCTACATAATTTGTGAAAATGTAGGGCCACTTTTTAAAAAATCAAGGGAAAAGTGCTATTAAGAATATTAAAATAAAAATTTTTCCCTTTTTCCCATGGCCTCTCCCTCAATTTTTCATGGTATTTAAAAAAATTGTTGTTTAATGTTGTTCTAAGTGAGGAAAATGAAAACTTTAAATTATTAGCAATGTGTTTTATCTTCCATCTTTATAGTGTGCAATGCCAGTTTTAAGTGCAAATATGAGAGCATTTAACTAGCATGTGGAATTACCAAAATTATACAACTTTTATTCTACAGCCCATATACTAAAGTTCAAGGATGAAATCATTGAGAATTTCAAGCAGAGACCCCACAGCATTAAATCAAGCAGGAGGCCTTCTGCACACGGGCACTGTGGAATTGTGCAGGTTGCATGCCATGAAGCTAGGCCCGGACAGGCCCTTTGCTGACTGCCTTCCCACCCCCATATCATTTCTTCATCTCCTTGACAGTGTTCCTTTAAAATTAACTACCTGCATGTGACTCCTGCTCTCAGGGTCTGCTTTTTCCGGGGGAATCCACAGTATATCCCATCACTGTATTCACAGTATTGGCACAGGAAGATGGTAAGCAAAGGCTTCTAGATTTGAGCCTGGTGCTTTTGAAGAGACTATGGTAGCTACAGCTTGGGGTGATTGTCGAAGCCTCCCTGGAGAAGGCAGGGAGGAGATGTGTAGATAGGCGATTAGTTGGAGGAGAGTGGAGGGAAGTCTACGTATTGTGACTGAGTGCTATGAGCGAATCTGTAGGTAGGGACGTGGTAATGGCCCTCGAAGGTGCTCCAAGATAGCTTTCAAAGGCTGTCATGCACGTAATCACATGTGAAGCTCAGCAAACCAATGAGGTAGAAAGATAGATGGAATTATAGTCATTTTGCAGATGAAGGAACTCAACTTCAGATGTCTTAAATGCAAGGGAATACTGAAGCCTGCATGAGAAGCCAGTTCTTTTGATTCCAGAGCCGTTGACTTCTCACCACATCATATCCCTTCAGAACATCCAAAGATCAGAGAGCAGTGGGGCTTTAGGTCAGAAGAGCACGTTGGGGCCCCATGCTCATGCACATGCACAGCAAGAGTGGGTATTGCCTCCCTTGTTCTATATAAAAGATGACCCAAGGTCCTGGATTTAATATCCATTAAGACTCCTTTCTTCAAGAGAAGAAAAAACTGACTCTGGTCATTTTGGGTTAAAAGCATCTTTGCTGGTGCGGTGACTGGATGAATGTGGGAGGCCTCTGCCTTTATTTCTATCTCTGATTTTGCAAGGTGGGGGCCTGCTAGAAAATTATCTCAAGGTTGGAGGTAAGGAAGGTGAATTTAAGACACAGAAACAGGGTCGTAGGGTCATGGCTGTCAGCGATCCAGGGTATCCAAGTGTCTGGCCCATGGGCAGGGTCCCTGGAGGCATGGTGTTACATGGCCTGAAAATTTCATCTTGGAAACCTCTAAGCTTTCCTTACAACACCAATAAGAGAGGAATCAAATATGTTGTAAGCTACTTTGTTCTAAAACTTCTTCTCTTCATATTTTCTTAACTTCTGTAAAAATAAAATAACTGACATGACAGCCATTTGTGAAAATATAAGTCAACAAAATGGAATTTGTAAACTTGAAGTGGAGCAAATGTTTGGATTATCTTGTTTCAATTAAGAAGCTGTGCCTTTTGCCTTTCAAGAATAAGGGGACTCTGTTCTGTTCTGTATTTAGATGTATTATGCCCCAAGATTACCTTTAAAAGAGGCAGAAAATGGAAGGAAAGGGGATGGTAAGGAAGGAAAGGGCTGGGAGGAGAGGAGCAGTGCAGCTGAACAGCACACTTCCGAGTCATGGAGGCCTGAATTTGAATCCTGGTTCTGTATTCAGCAGCTGTGTGATAGTGGCTTTTACTTGACTTCCATGAGCTTCAGTTTCCTCCTCACTAGGATAAATATAATTATACCTACAAATTTGTTTTTGGGAATGATTAATGAATAATGTACATAATTTTTCCTGGTGCAGAAGGGACTGTTGGTAAAAAGTTATTAAATTAATGAATAAAAACTATTGAAATTATTATTTTTGATTTGCTGTGGACCACTCCTCAATTTTCAATGTACCTCTAAGAATCTATGGTTCCCTAAGATAGTTAGTGTCATTGTATGGTGGCCTCCAGGACCTAATTTTTCCAGCAGTTGACTTCATCTTCCTTGATTACGCTGGCCCTTATCACGGGAGTTGAGAGGGATCCCTCTTTCTTGCCTCCCTTTCTTCCCTCATTTATTCAAAAAAATGTACACTAGAATTTGACCATATTCCAGGCACTGAGTTAGGAGTAAAGGTAATGAGATAAGGAAGACTGAGTCTTGGCCATCTGAGAAGGTCACAGTCTTGTGGGACAGATGCAAAGGTGGGAGCCACAAATTCTGTTTGGGGGTGGGGAAGTGAGAGAGGAAGTGTGAGATGAAAGGTTTCCAGAAGAGAGGGTGCTTTCCTTGAAGACTTGAAGGACTTATATAGAGAGTCATGGTAGCACTCCAGGAAGAGGGAGCATGGCCCCAAATGTGACCGGGGACCTGCCTGATTTCACCACTGTGTATTCCAGGCCCTCTATCAATGACTTGCTGGATAAATGGATGCTGGGAATAACATTCCTGCAGGACGCCAAAACAGCACCGACAGACAGGCTGTTTTGAGCCTGTCTTATTGCTCATCACTCCCCAGTTGCATAGACAGAGGGTCTCCATCAGTGTCTCCTCCTGGGGCCTCTTGTCCTGGCCGTGAGCTGAGTGGTGGTGTTTGGGACAAGGCAGCTCTCTGTTCACCTCCTGCCAGCAGGTCTCGTCTGCAGCAGACTTTGGTTTACGTCCTTGTTATTTCAGTATGGAATCTTGGCTGCCCATCAACTCAGCAGACTGGCTGGGCCCCCCAGGCCTGTTTGGATAGAAAACTGGAAGTTGTCTTCCTTGAATGGTAGGATGTGAAGGATCTGAAGCTTCTTTCATAGCCAGATTCAGGGCCAGTTCATAGGCCTGTGGCCCACTGATCTCTGAGCAGAGGGAAGGGGCCCATAGTAGGATTCCAAGTCCAAGTTGGGTTCTTCGGAACTAAATGCACACACCATTACCAGCTCAACGTTACTCTGTGAATTCACAATTTAAAATTTCTGCACTCCAGTCCCTCACCGGCAGCACCTTAGTGCCATGGTGTAAAAAACGCACTATTTCTCAGCCCGGAGAAATCTGGGTTTGAGTTCCAGTTTTGTTGCTTAGTATTAGTGCCGAGGACTTGTATAGATCTCTTAAAATCTCTGTGCTTCAGTGACCATATTGCCAACACAAGGTAGGTGGGTATATTACATGGACAGTGGGACAGTGTGTTACATGCCTTTTTCTGTGTGACATATTGTCCATACTTCATGAGCAAAGGGAGTGTGTATAACAGTCGTCTAACGTCTTTCTGAACCTCAGCTTAATAACAGCAGAAAGTTTAATGATCCACTTTTTAATTTAAAGTTAGCTTCCTTTTTTTTTTTTTTTTTTTTTTTTTGAGACAGAGTCTCGCTCAGTCGCCCAGGCTGGAGTGCAGTGGCGCGATCTCGGCTCACTGCAAGCCCCGCCTCCCGGGTTCACACCATTCTCCTGCCTCAGCCTCCCGAATAGCTGGGACTACAGGCGCCCGCCACCACGCCCGGCTAATTTTTTTGTATTTTTCGTAGAGACGGGGTTTCACCGTGTTAGCCAGGATGATCTCGATCTCCTGACCTCGTGATCCGCCCGCCTCGGCCTCCCAAAGTGCTGGGATTACAGGCGTGAGCCACTGAGCCTGGTCTAAAGTTAGCTTTCTTGAAGCATAATTTATATACAGTAAATTTCTGCCTTTTTAGGCTTAGAGTTATGTGAGTTTTGAAAAAAACTGCATAGAACTTGTAACTACCATCGTAGTCAAGATACAGAACATTGCCATCAGCTAATGCATGCAGGGCTTGATACCTAGGTGATGGATTGATAGGTGCAGCACACCACCATGGCACAGGTTTCCCTGTGGAATAAAACTGTACATCCTGCACATATATCCCCGAACTTAAAAAAAAAAGAAATAAAGGCTGAAGGGAAGGGGGAAAAAAAATAACATCTCCATCATCCCTAACGTTTTCTGCTGCGTTGTGGTTCATACCTTTCCCCCACCCACAGCCCCTGGCAACCAGCAATCTGTTTTTGCCTTTTCTGGAATGTCATTCACATGAAATTACACAATGAGTAGTGGCTTGAGTCTGGCTTCTTTCACATAGTGTAATGCACTTGAGATTCACCCATGTCATTATATTTAGCAGAAGTTTCTTTTTATTATTCCATCGTGGTGGATGCATACTAGTTTGTTTCTCCATTCACCAGCTGATGGGCAGTTGAGTTGTTCCAAGTTCTGGGGACCATGAATAAAGTTGCTATAAATATTTGCAAACAGGTTTTTGTGTGGATATATGTTTTTTTTCTCTTCAACAAATACCTACTCGTGTGATTGCTGGGTCTTACAGTAAGTCTATGCCAAAGTTTATAAGAAACAGATTAACTATTTTGCAAAATGGCTATACCATTTTGCTGACTTGCCTTTTTAAAAAAGTAAACTTTATTTTGAGAAACTTGTAGAGCAACTTGCAGTGCAGTTGCAAAGCATACTACAGAGAAGTACTGTGATCCGATGTACCCTTTACTCAGTTTCCCTCTATGATAACATCCCACAAAACTATAGAGCAATATCACAATCAGGATTGACATTGCTACAGTCAAGATACAAATATTTCCACCACCAAAGAATCTTTTATCTGGCCCTTTACATCCTTCCCACCCCAGCCTCTCTGACAATCAGTAATCAGTTACTCATTTCTATCATTTTCTATAACTTCTATTGTATCTATCGAGATTGTGATATAAATAGAATCATACAGCATGTAACCTTTTGGGGCTGGCTTTTTTCACTCAGCAGAATTCCCTGGAGATCCATTCAAGGTGTTGCACATATCAACAGTTGGTTCCTTTGTGTTGCTAAGTGGTATTCCATGGTGCGTGTGTGCCACAGTGTGTTTAGCCCATTCACCAGGTGAAGGAGACCTGGGTTGTTTCCAGGTTTGGATTATTACAAAGAGAGTTGTTATAAACATTTGTGCACAGGCTTTTATGCAAACATGTTTTCATTTTCTGGGATAAATATTTGAGACGCAGTTGATAGGTTGCACGGTAGATGCACATTTGTTTTTGTAAGAAATAGCAAACTGTTTTCCAGCCTGGTTGCAATATTTTACATTCCCACCAGCAATGCATGAATAATCCAGTTTCTCCACATCCACACCAGCTTTCTATTTCTTCAGTTTTTCATGGGTATTTACTTGCCCCAAAGGGATCAGAAACATGCCCTTGAATTTTGTCATTTCTACAATTTAAAACTATTATTTCTGTTATGTTCTTCATTGTGTAACTCAGTGTCTCTTAGGTAAAGTATTGTCAAAAGCAGGACCAGACAAGGATAAACGTTTGTATTCCCTGTAAACTGGTGTGTTTGATTTGACACTCAGAGCTCTACAAGGCACTCTGTTTCCGTTTTCTCCTGGGGGCTGTATTAACCAAGTATTGTATTAACTGTCAGTGCTTCCTGTTAGCCTCCTTTCATGGCTTGCTCATGTCCTTTTTATTATTATGCTTGCTATAAAGAATTCATTTGCCCAAGTCTTTTGAGCACTTCTCCATGCTCCTACAGTTACTGAGTCTATCATGATGTTTGTAAATCTGAACTATAATCATGCTCCTGTATCTGTCTCACCCACTATATGAGGAACTCCTTCAGAGAGAAGTCCCTCTCTCACTGCCCTATTCCCACCCCCAAGATGTCTTCTAAATACTTTTTATTCATTTCCTGGATATTTAAGAATCACTTGTACAGATTTTATATGGGTTTTGCCTCAAGAAAGTCATGGTTTAGATTAGAGGGACCGCACAACTATGAATCTGAATAACTATGAAACCATGCAAGATGTGATGAGTAATTTAAAAGAATTAAGATGCTTGAGGAGCCCAGAGATGGGAGAGATTGTATCTATAGTGGAGATACGAAAGGCTTATTTTAATGTTTTATGACTTTTTAAAAAGCAGTGTCTTCAGCCGCAACTGTTTAAATCCTTTCAGGGATTAGAAAGAGTTATATATAAACTGCAGTTACCCACAGGGAAGGTGCCACGGGAAAAAAGTCTGTGGGTTATGGGGAAGGCTGGTGATGGGGCTGTGCCTGTTGGTAATGGTGGAGCTTGGGAGAGACCCAGGAGTGAAGACAGCTGTAGAAAGGAGAAGTTTTGCCTCTCTCAAGAAAAACCAACTAGAGTTGAATACTAAGAGAATTATGATTTTGAGATAAATGAAGGTGCATCTTATCCATCTGAAGCCACTCTAATGAGCCCAGTATTTTTAGAGATTCTGAAAGTTGGAATATAAAGAGGATTAATGGCCCTGAGACATCACAATGCGACTGTGGAGAACCGAGTGTTCCTCTGGGGTCCTGAGACACGTGGGGAACTGGACTGATGGGGTCTGCCTGATTGCAAAGTCTCTTCTCTTTCTTATGTTCCATGGATCTCTCAAGATCAATGAAGACAATACACTGATGACCTCTAAGAAGCCCTGGGGACCTCAAACCATACTCAACTAGTGTCCAATACCTTATCCAGTTATTGGCATCATCATTATTATTATTTACAGCCCAACCTCTAAACCAAAAAAAAAAAAAAAAAAAAAGCAGAAGTGAAAGAAAGGGCTTCTTGAGGGCTAGGGAGGCCCAGAACTCTGGTGGAAAAAAACAAAAAAGAGCATCACCACAATGCTGATGATCCACCATGGCTGCTTTCTTGTGGAATCTTTTGGGCCAGTGACTTCTAAAAAGATTGCCACTTGTTGACCAGGCTGGGTTTGACAATGGGGGCATTTGTGAACATATTGTTCATTGTTCATTGAATTATGAACAATGAGAGAAGTTCCTCTCCAAACTCATCTTAAAGACTAGTTGAGCCTCAACTGAATATTTCTTTTATCTTTTGTATTCTGTAATCATATTTTCTTCTTTGCATTGACTGATAGAAATTCTAAGGTGAATTTGTGGCCCTAATATTATAAAGGAAAATAATTACTAAGCTTGGTTTATTGCTGACTGATGTCCAAAGTTTGATCTCCACTTTTGGAGAAAATGGGTTCTATGGTAATCATAATTATAGCCATGGCAATACCTAATATTAACCAAGAGCCTACAGACTTTTGAGGTCTTTGCTAAGCTTTTTACAAATTTTAATTAATTTTCATTATAAGGCATTGTGTCATATGCCATTATTATCACAATTTATAAGTATGGAAGTAGAGACACAGTTAAATAACTTGCCCAAAGCTCCACAGCTATTAAGAGACAGAGCCGGGATTTGAACCCATGAAGACTGGTCTGTCTTGAAGAAACTTGTATTATCATCTAAACATTATTATAATAAAATCCAAAAAAAGTACAAAAATATAACACGGATTTAGATTCAGTTATCCCAAATTTGTCAAATGCCCATGTGATCTTATACAAATTCCTCTACATCATTTGAAAACAGAGCTGATGGCATCTGTCTCCTTGGTTGATTGGAGGATTAAATAACGTAATGTGGGTTAAGTAGGTAACAGTTCCTACCAGTTGGTGCTAATCAAGTGATAGCAAAGAGTGTTCTGGACAAAGAGAAGACATGGGTCTAGTCCCAACTCCAGTTTCCTATAAATAAAATAGGGATGGTAATCTTTTCACAAGCTCAAATAGGATCAGAGACATGAAAACACTTTGTAAAGGACAAATGGCTGAACATTGTCAAGGGCTGTTGATCTTAGGAGACGCTGGACCTGCAGACCTCCAAAAGGCCTCACAGGCAGGTGGCAGGGGACAAGTACATCTATTGATTGTCTTTAGTGTTTTTGAATACTGAGTATGAGTTGTTGTGGACAAAGCAAAACGGTTCACATGGTTGTCGGACAGCACCTTGGCCAGGATTCTGTGCAGGTCTTGCTTGGATAAGAGGGTTTCTTTTGCCTTGAAGT
Organism: Homo sapiens; assembly: GCF_000001405.40. Taxonomy (NCBI): domain Eukaryota; kingdom Metazoa; phylum Chordata; class Mammalia; order Primates; family Hominidae; genus Homo; species Homo sapiens. The sequence goes on from NC_000002.12 coordinate 12,072,835, forward strand.
GTCTTGTAGGAACCGCAAACTCAACATATCCAAACATGAACCCATTTTCTTTCATCTCAAATCTGATGCTTCCTGGAGTTTCCATTCAAATAAAGCTACCACCATCTACAGTGCTGCCCAGACAGAAGTCTAGAGTCCTCTTCTGTGTCTGCCTTCTGCTTACCTCCATCCCCAAGCAGAAGCATTCTCAGTGACTGGGTCTGCTGAAATGACCTTGGTGCTTTTTCTCTGACAGGTTCCTATTTCCCCATCTCCACTGCCAACACATGCCAGACACAGGAACTGGCTTCTAAAGCTTCATCTCTAGTCCTAAAAAAGGGATTTTTGTGGCGATGATCATCATGTCCAACATTTATTGAACCTGTGTTGCGCCAGCACTTTCATATGTATATATATGTACACACAAATATATGTGTATTTCACTTATTTTATTTCACTTATGAAACACTTACATAGTATTTACTCTATGCCGAATACCACTTTAAGGACATGATACATATTCATCCATTTAATTCACACAACCACCCAATGAGGTAAATGATATTATTATCCCCATTTTACAGATAACGAAACTGAGGCAGAGAAGTTAAGCAATTTATTCAAGGTTACACAAATAGAAACTGGCAGAGCTTGAATTTGAACCTAAGAAGTCTGGCTCCAGAGTCAGTGCCCAAGTACACAGGAGCTTGAGGAATAGTCATAATAATAGCTAATGTTCTAAGTCAGCCATCTTAGCTGGCTTTATAGAAAACGCAACAACTCTGAGATGTAAGCGTTATTACCCACATTTTACAGAGAAGGAAGCAGGTTTAAGCGTCTTACAGAGAGAGCCCAAGGTCACACATCCAGTAAGTGAAAGCAGAGGTGAGCTTCAGCTGGCAGTGTGAGGTTGAAAATGCTGGCATCTGCCATGCCTGCAAAGTGCTGCTCTGTTTCAAGTTTACGAGATTTGATCTTGGTATATTTTAATCTGGAAATAAAAAAGCAAAACCTTATAGAATTCTAGAATGTCAAAGATGAGAGGGACCTATGGGAGCCTCTTGTTGAGAACCTTCTTATACAGATGAAATATTCTAGATCCATGGAATTTAAGAGACTGCCCTGAAGTTTCATATTCAGGAAATATTAGAGTCAGTTCTTACCCCTGTGTCTTCCAAAGTCAAACTCAGGAGATATGATGGGGTTTTCTCGCTTTTCCTGGCAAAATCCAAAAACATAAAAGCATAAAAAGATACATACAATAGCAGCAATCAGCAATCATTCTCTTCTCTCTCTCTCTCTCTCTCTCCATTTGTAGGTCAAAAATTCCTATAATCAGCTACAAATTATCACATCACCTCTGCATTCTTATCAGCTTTTGCAGCTGGGAGATAAAGACACACAGTATCTTTGACTCAAGCAGGCAGTTGCAGTGATGAATCTGTCCTTTCTAAATAGGCTGAAACCACAAGGTGGGCCCTCATGTTATAGCCAGTGATGGGAAGGCACCAGACCAGCGGGGAAAATGTCCGTGTCATGGAGATGACGTGATGGTGCATGCGAGGCACGGCCCCACTTCTGCCTCTGTGGCTTACCCAGGCCTCCCCCTCTGACCTACTTCTCTGGCCACCAAAAGGTGAGAGATGTTACACAGAGATGTTATAAAGCCAGACCTGATAGCATCAAGTCTGTTCCCATGAGATAAGTATTCCTAAGCCTGCCCCAGTCAGTCACTGCTTAGGAGGCCAAGGTGCTGCTTTAGTTAATTGAAACAACAGCCTACTATTAGCTGAGGAATGCCTGTCCCCTGCACATTTCAGGGCTTCTTGGTCTGGGTTGAAAGGCTGACATTCATGGTAATGAATAGGACACTTTTAGTCACTAGTCTATATCCCACAGGCATTCTGCCCAGGCATAATTGAGGAGGACAAGAAGAATGATAATAAGGGGACCCAAGACTTTATTCTTACAAACGAAGAATGCGGCTGATGGTTATAGAGAAAACAATTTGACTTGTGTTTTTATTAATCCTCTGCCCGTGCATCTGGGATGAGGATGTAGATGCTAAAATTCAAGCCAGACTGGCATCCTTTGGTAACTGCTGGATTCCATCTTCAGGAAGAACAGAGCACCCGTTTCTTTGTTTATTTTCCAGAGTGAAAAACTAATTCATGTAAATGAATCATTGAAGTAGGCCTTTTAGATGACTTTGCATTTTCATGATTCCTATTTTTCTGGAAATCCAAGAGCAAGTTTCTCAAGTTGTTAATAATCTAGAATATTTCACATGTATTTCCTGTTGGTTCCATACTGATTATAATACTCAATGGTTCTTATTTTGTCTTGCTTCCCAGTCTTTGAAACTTGATTTTCTTTCTTACCTGATCAATTTTTACCAGTCTTTCAAGATGCACCCTGAATTGTTTTTTAAACCTCCCAGTTTCAAGATTATTTTTGAAATGGGAAAATTAGTTTTCTCATGGGAGTGGGCAAAGTTTCCATTTTTTTGGTGAAATAAGAAGCATAAATGTGTTTCACACAGACTAAGCACATGAAGAACGATCACCTTATGTAGAGCTTGATAAAATTTTATATACATCTGTGTAATCACCATACAGATTAAGACAGAGAATATTTTCAGGACCCATGAAGGTTCTTTTCTGCGCCTTCGTCATCAATACTCCACCTCAGAATAATCACATTTTGACTTCAATCACTGTCAATTAGATTTTCTTACTCTTGAACTGCATATAGATGTGGTATGCACTTTTTATTTTGGTTTATTTTGCACATACTATGTTTTAAAGATTCATCCAAATTATGTGTGTATCAATGTTTTTTTTTTTTAATTTGTATATAAGTAGTCCATTATTTGACTATACCACAATTTATGTATTCATTCTTCTGTTGATGGTCAGTGGGGTTGTTTTCAGCTTTTGGCAATTATGAATAAGCCTGCTGTAAATAATCTTGTTTATTTCTTTTTGTGGGAAAACGTACTCATTTCTCTTGGGTATGAAACTATGATTGGGCAGGGTGGTTCGTACAGTAGGTCTATATTTAGGTTTAGTAGATACAACCAACTAGTTCCTTTAACTGTGTTTGTAATAATTTATATTCTCAATATTTAAGATTTTCAGTTGCAGTACATCCTCACGAAAACTTTATATTATAGTAATTTTGTTGTTTATTTTAGTTAATTTTTTAAAGATAAGTGTTGGTATCTTTTCATTTGTCCATTAGACACTTGGGCATGCACTTTTGCAAAGTCCCTGATCAAATCACTTGCCCCTTTTAAAAATTAGAGTTATTTGACTTTTTTCTTATTGGACAAATTGCTTGAACATGCACTTTAGAAGAAAGTTATGCAAAGAGCCAATAAACCCACTAAAAGATGCTTTCTTCTTTTACCAACCTCACAAACAAAACAAAGATGAGATACATCTTGAATAGGTCTTTGCCAACAGAGTGCCCTGGGCCCTGCTCTCTATTCATGGGTTTTATTGGAATCCTTTTTGAGCTAGAGCTAGAGCTGAAGGTAGATGGGCATGAGTGGGTCTAAACCCAATGCCCAGCTTCTAGAAAGCTTTCTCTTGGCACTCCTCTGCCCTTCCAAAATGGCAACTTCTCCCTAAGCCTACTGTGGCTTTTCTGGTATTTGGAATTGGCACAAATTATGATGCAAAATTGCCATTTTCAGCATTCAGGGTTCTTTTTTTTACCACTCCTACTTAGAATTTTCTCATGTAATCAGACAGAGGGAACATTATTATAATTTTCTCATGTAATCAGACAGAGGAAACATTATTTTAGCAATTGACACCAACATTCCTTGCTTGAACAAAATTCTGAGATAAGGGGTTGGGGTAGAGGGTTTGTGTATTGACAACAGATAAAATTTAAGGAGTTTTGCATGAGACAAGGGGAAGAATTGTATTGCTCTGGAGGGTGGGAAAGAGGCAGTAGAGAGGTGAGGACTACTGAGCCTCCTAGGGTCTTGCCAAAGTATTTTAAGATGATGATATCTACTCCTGCATTTTAAAATGCTAATGTGGTAGATTGTATTACTGTTCATCTATATTTGGTGCCACCGTCTGTGGGAGGATTATACATCTCCACACTCTTAGTACTCAGTTTCAGCCATGTGACTTGCTTTGGTCAATCAGTCATGAGTGAAATTGATGTGCGTGGTTTTCCAAGCAAAAGCTTTAAGCGTTTGTGAGTGAGTGATTCCCTCTTCTGTGATGACTGGCCCTCTTCCAGGTAACAAATGCTCTGCTGGCTTTGGTCCATGAAGAAGAAAATGGGAACAGAGCCAGGGCCGACTGTGATGTGCATGTAGGGTGAATGAACGTACAACTTTATTATTGGAAATCAGTAAGATTTGGGGGTCATTTGTTAGCTTAGTGTTACCTGGTTGATTCAGTATAGTTCTGCTATGCAAACCCTCCTTTGTTCTCTGTGCCTCCAACCAGGTCATCTCGAGCAAATTCTGCTGTATTCACTGGTCCTTTGAAAGAATAATTTTTGTTGGTGAATCAAGGAAGATGAGGCATTTTGGATCTGAGTTGAAGCACTGCTAAGATATCACCTGCTGAGCCAGGAGAAAAAGGATGCTCTTGAGAATATGAGTACCCTTACGATGCACTGAAATAGAATGGGAGGTTGAATCAATTTTAACCAGATATTCAAAAAGCAAGGGACTCCTGCCTAACAACTGGGCAGGAGTTGTCTTTGATGGGACTAACCTCTGAGATAACATGCGCCAGCACTACTCTATATAACTTGCATGTCCAGTTGTTTTTTATTTTCTAGATTTGGTGTGGAGATTGAAGATGGTCATAGCCTTGATTGAGGAAAGAGATCAATACTCAGATTACCACATGATAGGTTAATATGACAGATGGCTATACATGGTGAGGATGGGCCTGGGGTCCCTGGGCCAGTGGATGATATTGGGGATTTATGAAAGGGCACCGTTATTTAGAGAAATGGGAGTCTACTACTTGCTTAACCCTGGCTATTTTTTTTTTTTCTTAAAAATCTGTTCTTTTTAGGAGAAAATTCCAGATTGTAACTTTTAGCTGCCTGTCAGGCTTGTTGTTTGGTGTGCTTTGAGTTTTCACCTTTTTTTCTGTATTTGCAAGCTTTTTTTTTTTTTTTTTGTGGGGTGGGGTGGCATTGGGTAATTGAGAGAAGGTACATTAGAAGCTGCTATCTAGGTGTCATGTAAGCTATGTTTCTGCAAAGAAAAATTTTGTACTAGAAAATTGTGCAAGAAGTGAGAGCTGATTTTTTCATGACCTTTTCAAGCCCATGTCTCTAAATCTTGATGGGTGACCAGGCTCCTTCATGGAGGACTGGACCTTTATAGCAAGTGGCTCTTATTCCTTTGCTCAGTGGAATACAGCAGTGTTTTGGGGTGGCAACCTTTGGCTGGGGATTCTATTGGCCCAGTGGCAGGAATGGTGATTTTTTTCTTCCTCTGCATAATCTGCCTTTTTATTTATTTAAGGTGCAGGGCTTAATGCCCTTCTGAGTGAGCACGGTGGTGACTAGAGAGTTGCTGTCTCAGCTGCAGCTGATGGTTGCCGAGAGGAAATGTGGGCTCTGGATTATTATGCCTTTTCATAATTTTCAAGAGGAAGAAAACCCTCTAAAGTTTAATATATTGGCAAATAATTAAATATTTTTAAAGTGGTCTGGGACAAACACACCCAGGCTGCTGCTGATGCCTGCCCTCAAGGACACCAGAGTGTAGTTTCTCCTTTAGACTGTGGCATCTTTTCCTGGTGGCTCCTTCCTTGGTGAGCCCCCATTCCCACACAGGGACTTGGGATGGGCCAGAGATCAGTGGAATCTCATTCAGGCTGAAATTGGCTTTGTGGATTCCAGGACATGGATAACTCTCTGTGCCCAGGGTCTGCTACTCCTCTTTCCTAGAGTCCATCCATCTTTACAGCATCCGGGTCTCAGAGAACTGACCACATTGGTGGTAGCAGCAGAGTGCCTGGAAAGAAGGTCACCCACAGAAGATGGTGTGGGTGTCTCTGTATCTCTGATGACTCCTCATTTATGTTTCTCTCCCTGGCCATTCCTCTGAGCTTCAGACTCAGATCTCCAACTGTGGATCTGAATCTCCTCTTCCAAGTTTAGTAGCCATCAGACTTAACTTATCCCAAATGGAACTCCACTTCTGCTGCCCCCACCAATCTTTGTAATCCATTTGAGTTGCTGTTTTCCCATTCTTCCTAAGCAAATCTACGTATCTTCTTGAGAAAAAAGCATGTGTTTTCCTTGAGTCTTTTTTTTTTGCATCTTCATCCATCAGAAGGATAAAAAATATTCAAAAATATATCCTGAGACCAATATATATACAAATATATATTATATAACTTCCATTACACTATAAACTACCATTATCTCTTGCCTAGATTACTGAACTTATCTTCAAACCCATATCCCTGCTTCCCAAAAAGTCCATTCTCCATAAGATAACCAAAGAGTTCATTTAGCAATTTAGATTAGGTCACTTAAAAACAATACAAAACAAAACAAAAAACAAAAAAACACCTCTCTTGGCATTGCATTGCTCCCAGGACAAAGCCAAAGTCCTCTACCACGCCTACAAAGGCTTTCTGCTATCTGGCCTCAACCGGTATCGCCACTCTCCATCTAGCTCCACTCTCCCCTGACTTCCCTACCCGCGGCCACACTGGCCTTCCCCAGTGTGCAAAGTGCACTCCTACCCACGGCCTTTGCTCCCTCTTGTCTGGAGGGCTCCTCGGGCTCTCTTCCTAGCTGCTTCCGCACCTGTCTAGGTCTCAGCTCCAACCTGCCTCCTCAGAAAGGTCTCCCGTGGCCAGCACCTCCCCAGTCACACGCCGTATCACTCTTCTCTATTTCTTCAGAGGACTTGTCAATATTTAAATTATATTGGTTACATTTTGCGTAATTACTGCCAGTTTCCCCCAAATGAGAAATACAGGTTTTTTGGAGGGCAGGAACATTATCTTGCCTGTTGATCACTAAGCCCAGCTCTGCGAATAATGCTGGCACTCAATAGGTGTGTAATAAACCCTTGTTAAAAGAAAAAAATTAGCCGAATTAAATTATAAAAAGTTTAATTGTGCAAAGAATTGTGAATCTGGCAGCCTCTGAGCCAGAGTAGGCTCAGAGACTCCAGCACAGCCACGTGGTGGAAGAGGATTTATGGACAGAGAAAGGAAAATGATTTATAGAAATTGGAAGTGAGGTACAGAAACAGCCCGATTGGTTACTGTTTGGCATCAGTCTTATTTGAACACAGTTTGAACAACTTGCCACCTTTGGCCAAAACTCGGTGACTGGCACAAGCGTAGGCTACAGTCTATTTACAACTCTATGTACGTTATAGCTCATGATGTACAGAGAAATCTTTAGGCCGAACTGAAAATATGTAAGGAAGCAGCTTTAGGCTAAACTTGATTTAACATACTTTTAAAAGAATAAAGAAACTGTGAAAGCATATTTTTTTTTCCAGTGACATAAAATGATACTATTATCTTGTGCACTGGGGCTCCCAGTAGCATTTGTCAGCAGCTTTGGCAGTGACAGGAATTGTGGCAAGACAGAATAAAGGCTCCTCAAAGATGGCCATAACCTGATCCCAGAACTGACACAGATGTCACCTTACATGCGAAAGGGACTTCACAGCAGTGATTAAGCTAATGATCTTGAGATGGCGAGTTTACCCTGGATCATCTGGTGGGCCCGAGGTAATCCCAAGGGTCCTTATAAGAGAGAAGTGACAGGGCCGGATTCAGGGAAGGAGTGTGCTGATGAAGGCAAAGTTTTGAGTGATTTGCTTCTAGAAGAGGGAAAAGGCTAGGAATGAGTTCTCAGCTGGAGCCTCCAAAAGGAAAGCAGTTCTGCTGACACCTTGGTGTTAGCTCCATAAGACTCATTCCAAATATCTGCACACAACCTACACAACCGTAATTTGACAAATTTGTGTTGTTTTAAGCCACAGAGGTTGTAGTAATATGTTTCAGCAGCCGTAGGAACCGGGTACAATAATGATTTCATTTTTCATGATCATCAGCAATGTCTGAGATTTCCAGAGAATCCGATGCCTAGTCCATCTGGGGATCGGAATAGGAGGGAAATAAATGATGATTTTATAGGAGCATTCCATACTAGCAGAGGCCACTTCTATTTCAATACAATACCATTTAGGCGGGCGGATCACGAGGTCAGGATATCGAGACCATCTTGGCTAACACGGTGAAACCGTCTCTACTAAAAATACAAAAAATTAGCTGGGCATGGTGGCGGGTGCCTGTAGTCCTAGCTACTCGGGGGGAAGAGGCAGGAGAATGGCGTGAACCCGGGAGGCGGAGCTTGCAGTGAGCCGAGATCGCGCCACTGAACTCCAGCCTGGGAGACAGCGAGACTCCATCTCAAAAAAAAACAAAAACAAAAAAAACAAAAACAAAAAACCATTGTATTCCCATTGTTAGACACAGTGTACAGCAGTTGGGGCACAATAATTAGTTATTGAATAAACATATGTGGTATCTCCTGTAGGCTCCCTGAAATAGTTAAACTTTGAAGAGGGCCTGGAATTCCCAAAAGGGCAGGTGGGAATTGAGGCAGGCAAATACAGCAGGTCCTCAGCAGTTACAGGGGGCCAGGCCTGAGAACTTCTGTAAATCTCAAAATTCACCAATTAAAAAAAAAGGTAGAATAGATTGAAGACGTCATCCCCAAATCACATTTCAATCAACAGGCAGGTATTTCCTGTGCATACCTTTCTAAGAAAAATCTTTTAAATTTTATTCATGCATTTTTTTTTTTCATGTGAGAGCTGTTTTTTACTCAGAAGCATTTTATCTTTCACAAAATCTGTCGTGTACCCAGTAACGGTGGCAAATCACAGAGCCATGCAGACACGTGCTAGGCTCACTCACTACTCAAGCACCTTGGTGGATGCAGCGTCTGGGTGATGTTTTGCAAAGTGCAAATGAATACCCATTATGGGTGTTTGGACTTTTTGGGGTGTTACATTATGAATCCATGTTTGTAATTATAATTGCGAGCCTAGTTCTAACCCCAGAAGAATCTGGCTCTGGGAAACATGGATGAAAGTTTGGGAACTCCCCCAAAGACCCATAAATCATGTGGGGCACTTGTCTGACCTCAGAGTGACAACTAATGTCTGGGATAGTGCTGGGCTGGCGCTGCCTATAGACTCGTGTGAAGGGACAGATGACACACTCATGGATCATCATTGCTGGTTTTCGAACATACCAGTTCTCAGTAGCAATTTTTAGGGGCTCATTAAAAAATAAAAAAACACGTGGGTTGTGGTGGCTCATGCCTGTAATCCTAGCACTTTGGGTGGCCGAGGCAGGCGGATCGCTTGAGCCCAGGAGTTTGAGACCAGCCTGGGCAACATGGCGATACCCCGTCTCTACAAAAAAATTGGCCTGTCCTGGGGGTGGATGCCTATAGTCCCAACTACCCTGGCTGCTCAGGTGGGAGGATCACCTGAGCCTGGGAGGTTGAGGCTGCAGTGAGCTGAGATGACACCACTGCACTCCAGTCTGGGTGACAGAGCGAGACCTTGACCTGAATAAATAAATAAGTAAATAAATAAATAAATAACTTTCCGTTTTTTTCTCCTACTGATTGTTTTTCTGAGTTTAACTGCTCATTATTCCCTTCCTTTATAGAATCAGAATTTTAGAACCCTTTCAGCTTTTAACCAGTGGCTTTACTTCTGCCTTTCCTATCGAAAAGAAGTTCACTAAAGATTTAAGAATGGCTTTTTGGGCCGGGAGCAGTGGCTCACGCCTGTAATCCCAGCACTTTGGGAGGCTGAGGCTGGTGGATCACCTGAGGTTGGGAGTTCGCCTGCCCAACAAGGTGAAACCCCGTCTCTACTAAAAATACAAAAATTAGCTGGGCGTGGTGGTGCACATCTGTAATCTCAGCTACTCAAGAAGCTGAGGCAGAATTGCTTGAACCCGGGAGGTGGAGGTTGCAGTGAGCCGAGATCGTGCCACTGCACTCCAGCCTGGGCAACAGAGCGCGACTCTGTCTCAAAAATAAGTAAGTAAATAAAGAAATAAATAAATAAAAATGAATAAGTAAATCAATAAAAAGAATGGCTTTTTGGTTTCTGTTATTGTTTTGCAACTTTTGTCTCATATCCTCTAGAGGAAATTCTCTTCTCTGGCTCTTGAATCAGCTCTGACAGCTCCGAGTGCCAGGACCCTGGGTAATTAGTGGCACTCAGAAGGAAAGTGGCATTTACATCTGATTACCTTTGGAAACTTGCATCTGGGGTTTCCTGCAGAGAAAGCTAGGTTGGGTTTCAAAGTCAGCCACTGCCTCATCTTCCAGGATCACTGATTAGGAACAGGCTGTTCCCCAAGGCCATTTCCATTTCTATGGCAGGCTTTGAATAGAACTAATACATTTTAGAAATGCAAATGGGTTTAATTCGAGCAAAGTGAATGACAGGCTAAGCTAGAATCTTACTTTTTACCAGTTGCTTCCTGCAGCAATCTTTCAGGCAGATGTTTTTGGCAAGAGGATAATGCCAAGTTCACATAATGATGATAAGGGGTCACAATGCTTGCTTTGCAGCTTCGGAAGTCCCATTTAACAACTGCTCCCAGTACAGCATGAGAAGTGACCCAGAGCACAGCGATCGCACGCGCAGCGTGCTCTACAGAAGGTGCATCCACAGATGGCGGGCCAGCCGGCTCCCAATATAGTTTTTAACATAAATGATGAAAATAAAAACCCTGAAGAAACGCCAACATCAGTACTAGCTCTTTTTGCATTACAAAGTGCTTCACATACATCATTTTATTTTATTAGACTCCTTGTTCTTTTAAAAGGTAAAAATAAGGCACGAAGTAAGGACACAGACTGTGTGCACTGGGGACAAGCATCCTGGCTCTGCCCAGTGTCAGGGCCCAATCCCCTCACAGTGCAGGATGCCATCAGTGAGACAGAAATGTCAGGGGGAGTGAGAGAGAGGCTCTTTTGTGCCGGCCAAAATGTCAGAGGCCTTTGAACCATAGTGACTCCATCTTGAATAGGGACTGGGTAAAATAAGGCTGAGACCTGCTGGGCTGCATTGCCAGGAGGTTTGGCATTCTAAGTCACAGGATGAGATAGGAGATTGGCACAAGAGACAGGTCATAAAGACCTTGCTGACAAAATAGCATGTGGTAAAGAAGCCGGCCAAATCCCACCAAAACCAAGATGGTGAGGAAAGTGACCTCTTGTCGTCCTCACTGTTCATTATATGCTAATCATAATGCATTAGCATGCTAACAGACACTCCCACCAGCACCATCACAGTTTACAAATGCCTTGGCAACATCAGGAAGTTACCCAATGTGGTCTAAAAGGGGGAGGAACCCTCAGTTCTGGGAGTTGTCCACCCCTTTCCGGGAAAACTCATGAATAGTCCATCCCCTGTCCAGCATATAATCAAGAAATAACTACAGGTATTTTTAGTTCAGCAGCCCAAGCTGCTGCTCTGCCTATGGAGTAGCCATTCTTTATTCTTTACTTTCTTAAGAAACTTGCTTTCACTTTATGGAATCCCCCGAAATTCTTTCTTGTGCGAGATCCAAGACCGTCTCTTGGGGTCTGAATCAGGACCCCTTTCCGGTTACAAACACACTCCAGCCAGGTGAGCATTTATCACTCCTGTATACAGGACCTTCCAAGGCACTGCATTTCCTAGAAAAACCTGGACCCACCAAGGCACCTGATAAAAGTTCAGATAATATGTAGGCTTCAGATATCAAAGTATATTTTTTGAGACCCTTGACTCTAAAGCTTGGTAGGTTATTATGCCATGATTCTAAGTTCCATTATCACCCTATAATTCTTATAAATAGCACTAATTGATATTATTAATGTAATATGAAAAGAATCAGCAATTAATATATATTGTCAGTATCCATGATATTAATGCTAGCTTTAATCCATAAGACACATAATAGTTTATGAAGCATTTTTATATCCATTGTCTAATTTGAGTTGCACAACCATGCCGTGAAGCAGGGATTAGAAATTTCACTTTTCAGGTGAGGGTGCAAACTATGTTGGCTTGTCTGTGGACATTGAGAAAGTAAGTTGTGGAGGTAAGATTTGAATCCAAATTTTTCTCGAACTCTCCAAACCTTTCATCCCTCCTACATGGACTCAAACAATGAGACCTTTTTTAAAATTTTATTTTATTATTATTATTTTTTGAGGTGGAGTTTCACTCTTGTTGCCCAGGCTGTAGTGCAATGGCGTGATCTCAGCTCACTGCAACCTCCGCCTCCCGGGTTCAAGCGATTCTCCTGTCTCAGCCTTCCAAATAGCTGGGATTACAGGCATGCGCCACCACACCTGGCTAATTTTTGTACTTTTAGTAGAGATGGGGTTTTGCCAAGTTGGCCAGGCTGGTCTTAAACTCCTGACCTCAGGTGATCCACCCGCCTCGGCCTCCCAAAGTGCTGGGATTACAGGTGTGAGCCACTGTGCCTGGTGGAGACTTTTTATTAAAAAAAAAAAAATCCTGAGAACTAGCAACCAGGGTGGCCTCTGGAAATTTTGAAGGAATGCTGACAAAAAAGGGATAATAATTTTGAAAATACTTTTCCCTTAGGAGGAATTCTGTGAGGGAACACCTCCTATTGTTCTACAAATGAAGAAACCTAGTCTCAGGAATCAGTGACAAAGCCATGATCATAAAGTTAATATGTAACATGTAGCTTGGCTCTCGGAATCTTAGAAATTGTGTTCTATTAAACCATGTTTGTCTCAAAATAAAGCCCGTTACCTTTGATTAGATTAGAAGGATGAGCAAAGGTTTTGATAAATTTAAAAAACAATAAACTGAAACTAAAAATACAATAGTCTAATCTGAATATGGTGTTACTCGGAAACACTCCCTCAAATTCTTCCAACCTAGCCATTTCTCTGTTATATCCGCTCCCAGATACACAAGCATCTTTGATTCCAGGGTTTAATCTTTACACACATTCTTATATTGGATTTTAAAATCCATTTGTTTTAATCTACAATATCATAAGATGAATGTATTAAAAATACATTGATTTTTCTAACGGTCTATATTTGTATCTATTTCAAAGCAAACACGAGGGTAAATCTCAATACATGGTATACACATGTTCCTAAACAACTGGATAGTTTGTGGGGCCAGACACAGTAGCTCATGTCTGTAATCCCAGCACTGTGAGAGGCCAAGGTGGATGGACAATCTGAGGTTAGGAGTTTGAGAGCAGCCTGGCCAACATGGTGAAACCCCGTCTGTAGTAAAAATACAAAAATTAGCTGGGCATGGTGACATGCGCCTGTAATCCCAGCTACATGGGAGGCTGAGGCAGGACGACCGTTTGAACCTGGGAGGTGGAGGTTGCAGTGAGCTGAGACAGCACCACTACACTCTAGCCTGGGCCACAGAGCAAGACTCTGTGTAAAAAAAAAAAACCCAAAACTGGATAGATTGCAAGCATGAACACAGAATATCTTCATATTTTCGTGGGTACATTTTACAAAATAAAGACAGAACTATAATAAGTATATACCATAAAGAACAAAAAGTAGCACATGAAAGTTATTTTTTCGCAGACAGAAATCTCTTTAAAATTCATCTTATTGTTAAAGTATATCAGTTAACCTTTAACACATCAAACAATACAGAAATATATAGAAAACAAAATAAAAACTCTACCATCTACTTTTTTGAGAGAACTGTTGGTAACTGGCAAATATACTTTTAGCTTTTAAACTTTTTAATGTGGTTAATAAGTACATATATGTGAATACTATATTATTTTCAATAAAAGTGGAGCTATATATACTAGTCTGTGACCTTTCACATTTAACAATATGTGAGAAAAATCTTCTCATCTTTATTTATATATCTTTCTATATATCCATATACTTATATATACTTCTTTTTTTTTTTTTGGAGACGGAGTCTTGCTTTGTTGCCCAGGCTGGAGTTCAGTGGTGTGATCTTGGCTCGCTGTAACCTCTGTCTCCCGGGTTCAAGCAATTCTCATGCCTCAGCCTCCTGAGTAGCTGGGACTACAGGTGCACATCACCACGCTCAGCTAATTTTTTGTAATTTAGCAGAGATGGGATTTCACTGTGTTGCCCAGGTTGGTCTCCAACTCCTGAGCTCAGGCAATTGGCTCACCTTGTCTTCCCAAAGTGTTAAGATTACAGGCGTGAGCCACCGCACCTGGCTGATATATATAATTCTAGATTTATGATGTTAAACTAAGTTTAGCCTACAGCTGCCTCCTTACATATTTTAAGTAATGGCTAAAGGTTTCTCCATACATAGTCGAACCTATGTATGTTCCACTGTAACCTAACTAGGCATGTAAACAGTCTGTAACCTACTGTTGTACCAATCACTGTGTTTTGGCTGCTCAAAGGTGGCTAACAGTTCAAACAGTGCTCAAATAAGCCAGATACCAAGCTGTAACCAATCCAGCTGTGGCTATACCTCACTTCTGTTTTCTGTATGTCTCTTGCCTTTTCCTGCCCATAAATTTTCTTCAACCCCACTGCAGCACCTGAGTCTCGCTGAACCTATTCTGGTTCAGTGGGCTGTGTGATTCATGAATCATACTCCACTCACTTAAACTCTGTTACATTTAATTTGGCTGAAGTTTTTCTTTAACAATATCTATAACTCTTTATCCATATATGTGTATGTTTCAATATATCTTATCTTTTTACTGTATAATATATTCCTTAAATGTGCTATAACTTATTTATATCACATGATAGCCAATTTGGATGTTTCTAGTTTTTCACTATTGAAGATCATGATACAATGAATGTGCCTTATATATTCATTTGAATAATTTTTCAGTTACTTTCTGCATTAGTCAGTGTTGGCCAGAGAAACAGAAACAATAGGATAGATAGATAGAAAGAGGTTTATTGTGAGACACTGGCTTATGCAACTTTGGAGGCTGAGAAGTCCCGTGATCTGCCATCCACAAGCTGGAAAACTAGGGAAGCTTGTAGTGTAGTTCAGTTCAAGTCCAAATGCCAGAGAGTGAGAAGTGCTGATATCTGAAGGCAGGAGAAGGTGGATGTCCTGGCTCAAAGCAAATCTGCCTTTCCTCCTCCTTTTCATTCTATGCAGGTTCTCAACAGATTAGAGGGTGTCCACTCACATGGGTGAAGGTGGATCTTTTTTACTCTGTTTATTGATTCAAATGCTAATCTCTTCTGGAAACACCCTCACAGATACACCCAGAAATAATGTTTTACCAGCTCTCTGGGCATCCCTTAGCCCAGTCAAGTTGAGTCATAAAGCTAACCATTACATTGCCTTAGGCAAAAATTCCTCTAAGTGTAATTGCTAGATTATTTCAGGTTTTGACACATATTGCTCAATTGCCCTCTAGTAAGACTTTAGAGAAGGCAATTGAGCATCAGTAGCATATATGGATTCCCTTTGTAATGCCCCCCTCATGACAATTTTTGAGAACTTTTGCTGCAGATTTTTAAACTTAATGTCATTCTACTCAAACTCTAGTATTTTCTCCTTCAGAAAATAATACAATTAAGAATGTAAAAAGATAAAATCAGTCATGAAGATAAATTTAAATATAATGTAAATTAGAGCCATGCAGAGCAAGTCCAAGATGGTCAATAATGAGCTGTAATTGCAATTGTCCAGGTGAGCGATAATAAACACCTGAGACAGAGCTGTGGCAAGGACCCTAGGGAGGGGGCACACATTTAGGTAGGAGGATCAACAGACCACTGATGTAAGAAAATGGGGAGATGGAGAGTCTTCAAAAAGAAAAAAGAATTTCCTATCTCTTTGAGACATTTCACATACAGGGCTGAGCCTCCAGTATCACCAAAGCCTTAACGTTCTTCTCCCCAAGGAGTTTCTCCCTAACCCTTTCTTTCCAGTTAAGACCTCTCTCTTCCCAGGCAAGGCTGCTGTGAAATCATGGTCATTTCTTGGCCTGGGTTTCAACTTCCTCCTTGTCCCTAGCCTCAGATGTGTGCATCCCCATCCTGGGCCCTTGCATTTTTTGCTTTGTTCTTGAATGAACAATTTCATTCTCATTTTCTCTAACACAAAGAACTCCCATTCTCCTTTACTGTGCTTGCACAATACAGTGAGGACCTGTTATGATAACAAGACAATCAGGGTGTCCATAAATCCTGTGTGTAGGATCATGGTATGTTTGAATCAGTACAAGAATCTTGTCCTTCCCTTTCATTCTTTCAATATCCACTTGAGGCCAGGCACTTAGTTCTCACTACCTATCATATCTCATTTAATCATCACATGGACTTGGAGTCATTTGTTTATTCAGAGACAGGCAACAAATAATATGTTGATCACTCATTATGTGCTGGCACTGGTCTATGTACTAAAGATAATGTAATGAACACAGCGTCAAGATCCTGCCCCTAGGAAGATTACATTATGGTGGGAAAAACACCCTAAATAAATACACAGATATGTGAAATAGTTATGGGCAATGGTGACTGTTAGGAATGAAAGTTAAATAAGGTGAGAGCAAAGTGGGTGATGAGGAGATGGAGAGAATAAGAGTGGCTGTTTTAGATGGAAAGGTGAGAGAAAGTCTCTCTGAGAGGTGGCATTGGAGGAATGGCCTTACTAAGGGGAGGGATCAAATGCTTCATAGTTCAAAGGAAAAGGCACAGAAAACAGCACATGCAGAAGTCCTGGGTAGAAAAGAGCTCAGCACGTTTGAAGAAGGGACGGCCAGTGTGTCTGGAGCCACCGAGCAGAGGGGACAGTAAGCAGATAGATATGTGGTGGGAAAGTGGGCAGGGCAGGCCCCAGGGCCTCGGGGCCATGCCCAGAGCTTCACAGATTTGGCTCTGCTTGTGTTAGGAGGCCACGGATGAGGGCTGAGCAAGGGAGTGTGCTGATCTGCAATTTACATATTTTAGCAGATTGCGTTGATTTTGTGGGGAGAAAAGATGGGCAGTGGGGCAGGGGGAGGAACAGGACAAGAGCGAGAACAGAACAGTTAAAGGTTTATTGTTGTCAGGCAAGAGTTGATGCTGGCTTTTATTGTACTCATTTACCAGATGAGGAAATGGTAACTCTTAGAGGTTATACTGTTATCACAGCATCTCTAGCCTTTAAAACAGTCCTAGGATCTCAATGGATACTTTTCTGAATCAAGCTGAAAAAAAGAGCCTAACTGACTTGCCCAAGTGCAAAACAACAATTAAGGGATAGTCTCGTCATTCAAATCTGCCTGGTTCCAAGTCCGGGACTCTTTCCTCTGAGCTTGAATGCTGTTTCTAATACAATACAAGCTGATCTGCATGCCATTTTCCACTAATGATATAATTATGATTGATAGTATTAATCAAAAAGGAAATGAGAGAATATGCTGACTGTTTTTTTTTTTTAACCATTGGCTAACTTATTACTTCATTTTCAGATGCTGGAGTTATGACACTTATAGACAAAATTAAGTGTAATAACCAAGAATAGGCACTTATAAGAATAACCGAAACAATAACTAATGTCCTTAATCAAGGAGGACTGACTCTCTAATTTCTAATATTAAAAAACCCAGAGTTAATAGTTAACAGTTACTTAATGCATTATGTTCCAGACACTATATGCTTTGCATATGTTACAGCTAGTTTTTAATAGGAGACTTTAGCTGACATTGCTGTCTTCAACTTATTGATTAGAAAAAAATAGACTCATGGAGTTTAAGTAACTTGCCTATGATTAGAAAGCTGCTAAATGGCAAAACAGGAATGAAAACTCTGAAATGTGTCTCTGTGGGGAAGAGAGGGAATCAGTGGTTTCCAGCAGTCTGGTCCTTTTGGGCTCCTGCCCTGGCTGCCTCAGGATCAAGCCCAGGATCAAAGCCACAGGGAGGTGGGCGGCTCAGTGTGGCCAGAGCTGAACAGTCTCATGGAGCCAGCATGGTTGGTGAAAGTCCGGATGGATTGAGTTGTGTGCTGTTTGCTTTGATTAAGAAATAGTCACAATTCCATCATGACGTTGGTTGAATTAAAATGAACACAATGGAAAATAAAGTAGACCCAATTTTTAAAATACCATGCAGTAGGCAAAGAAGATAGATTTGAGTAGGACAGGTGAGGGGCGTCTATGTAAACAATTTTTATTTTCAGATTGCCTTGTTGTAGACAAAAGCATTGAAACATGAAAGGAAAAAAATTATACCTTTTGCAACATAAATTACTTACCTCTCTTTCTAATTCTCCTCTTTTATTTTTATTTCCTTCCTCTGCCCCATGAAAATAATTTTGTTTTCCATACAAGTGTTGTTGTTGTTTTTTATGTTATTATATTCCTGCAAATAATCGGAATCTCCTTTTGTCTGAGAAATTGGGAGCATTGTCTGAAATCCTCCAGTTTATTAGTTAGAAAGGATAGAATTTTTCTTCTCATCTATCATTCATGGTTTGCTACTGTGAGTTCACAAAGCCAGGAGCTTTCAAAAACTGGAAAGTAATATTGGGGAAGTAGGCAGAAAAAGAATGTTAACATTCTGAGACAGAATTCTAACACCCTGCTGGCCATCTATATGACACTGGTGTAATCATTCTTCTGGTGAGTAAGAAGCAGAAATAAATCAGTAATTTTACTTTGAAAATTTTATATTACATAGTGAGGGTGGTGAGCACAGAGCAGACTGACATATTTACTTTTCTTAGCAATGGAAGGTCTTCACATTTGTGAAGAAAAGAAAACAATCTAAAGAATGCTACGGGTTGGAACATCTCCAAAAGCTTGGCACAGTCATAGTGGGTATATGGAACTAATCATACCGACTCTCTTCTCCCCACAAGTTGGTTTCAAATAAGTGATATGCCAGTAAAGAATATGCATGGAAAATTATAAATTACTATATACACAGAGTAGATTAGCTGCATGTGATACCGACAACTAAATTGTTAGCCTTATGAGAAAGCCACTGGGCCTATGCCCATTTCCCTGATACCCTTACATCTGGAATGGCACCCCCTCTTCTCCCAAACTGCAGGGTCTGGTTACCCCCAGTGCAGTGTGTTACTGGCCAGCTTGACCAATACTCTAGACCTGGGCTCTATTATCCTTGTCACCCTTATGTTTTTACTTTTTATCTGTCCGATCTTGACTTTATTTTTGGATTTATTTTATTTGAATTTGGTGATGTAGATTCCAAACTAAACCACTCAGTTCTCAATTTGTTCTGTGTTGAGACTGGGCTTTCATTCTGAAAGTCCTTCAGCTTGGGTAGCCATGTCTTGCTCCGCAGCTGGGAATAAGCTATACTCTGGTCTTGGCTCCCTTTCATCCCTAAATGTAGCCAAAGTGGAGAGATAAGACCCAACACTCAGAAACGTCCTACCTAAGTGAGAGTCTCCATCTCTGTCTCATTCATAGTTTTTTTATCCATACCTTTTTCTCCATATCTTCACGACCTTGAGATTTGCATGCTATATTTTCCCATGTTGTCTTGTTTTACCCCCAGGCCTGATGTTTGACACTGACTCTGACTAGAATGTTTTCCCATATCAACCATTCTTTTTTTGTATGTGTGTGACGGAGTCTCACTCATTTGCCCAGGCTGGAGTGCAGTGGCGCGATCTCGGCTCACTGCAAGCTCCGCCTCCCGGGTTCACGCCATTCTCCTGCCTCAGCCTCCCGAGTAGCTGGGACTACAGGCGCCCGCCACCACGCCCGGCTAATTTTTTTGTATTTTTAGTAGAGACAGGGTTTCACCATGTTAGCCAGGGTGATCTCGATCTCTTGACCTCGTGATCTGCCCGTCTCGGCCTCCCAAAGTGCTGGGATTACAGGTGTGAGCCACTGTGCCTGGCCTGTATCAACCATTCTTACCACATGTGATTTGGTTTTTTTATGCTTTGGGAATCCACCTTCCCAGTTTAGCTGAACTTTCTAGACCCCATTCCTGACATTCTCTCCAGGGCTAGCACTGGATTTGTCCAGGAGCTCAAAGAAAACATTGTCTTCTGTCCTTTGTGGGACCTGGAAACACAATGTGTAAATAGAAAGTGGACAAAAACCACAGGCTAAATGAGAAACAGTATTATTACATGCTGCTCCTGCTGGAGCTTACCAAGTCCGCACAAAAAGTTTGCTCTGTGTAAGTAGACAAATCTTGACTGATTATTTGATACGGGCGTTGACTTGATATTGGTTCTGTTATTGCAAGTTGGCTTTACACTGAACTATTTATAGCTGGTGAAGTTTATTCTCATTCTTCTAGTTCAACTGAAATATAACTATTCTATTACATCCCGGGTTTATCCTCCCCCCCTGGAATTGTTTCTCCTTTCCTTAACTACATTATTTATATATATCTTTCGTCCTTATTTTTTTTCCTGCCTTGTATTACCATTAACTGGATACATGTCAATCATTAGACTGAAATCAACATCTGGAGAGTGGAGATAATAATAGTATCTACTTCATAAAGTTGGTGTAAGCAATGAAAACACTACTGTGTATTCAACATTTTAGTCTGTATAATGACCATTATTGTTATTTAAGGTGTAAAATAAATTTTATCCATATCTCTATAAATCACCCTGTCCCTAGTGGCATTCACAGTTCTTTATATGAATAACTATTTGCCAAAATGAATTTACTGCAATATTCATTATCAGAACTACCAAAGGGTTGAAAAGCTTTTTTGAGATTATTTTCTTGTACTCATTGAGTTACAATTAATTTTACTATACCTATATTAGGGGTAAGTAAATTAGGGAAGTAGTTAGAGTTAGGTTTAAGAAAGATTTTCTCCTGTTAAATGACAAGTCCCTTATGGACATCAACTTTTAATTCTTATGTCTTTAGCATACAACATAATAAAAATCAGCACATCATGCTTTGTTGAATAAATGTAAAAAAAAACTTGCTCCACTAATCTGGGGTGCAAAAGGAAGGCACATTTATTTTAATATAAAAATCAAATCTCCAAGCCCCCACCTTGCCAACCATGAGTATCTTTCTCTTGTCCCAGAGTACCCCGATCTAACTCTCTTTGGACAGTTCCATTTCATGCACCCCAGACATTCTTACTCCATTCAGGGAATTAGTCTTGGCTGGCTGAGTGACGAGAGAGAATATCGGGAAAAGGTCCTCGAAGAAGCCCATTCTCTTTAACTGTTGTTGCTTCTCTGAAGCCAGTGCCTGCCTTGTCTGTTATCTTTGATTGCCTGGACACACCTCCACACAAATCTGGTGGCCCAAATACTGAGTGTTTCAATGGCAGGGGCAACTGCCACCCTCAATGGTTTAGCAGAAGGTGCAGGGGGAGAAGACAGTATCTCTGCGTCCCGGGAACTTGCTTTAGTAATGGTTGCTCCCATCTGACATCTCCATCTCACCTCTATAGCTCCACAGCTCTTCCGGTTTACATGCTCACAAATGATCACATGGCACTGGTGGCCACACACAGTGCAAGTGTGGCTGAGTCAGGAGGGCTTCCAGCCCTTTTGCACAGAGCCCTTTCCCAACATCTTTTTGTCTTGGCAGTGAATGAGGAAGTTCTTCCATCTTTTGATCCTAAGGCCAGTCTCATTTCTTGACCAGGGTAATTGACATGTCTTTTAGGGTGAAAACTCCTCCTTGTCAAAAATGAACAAATAAATGAAGCCTATCAGCATAATTAAGGAGTTACCTAATAATCTGTCACTAAAATCACAGCATCATGAATACGCATTCATTAGGTTATGAATTCATATGTTTAACCAATAAACCCTACACTATGACTTTAAAGAACAAATTGAACAAAACCAAATATTTTTATGCATTGGTAACTTGGCACACCATTGAGTAATTGTGTATACTTTTGCCTATCTTCGAGCTCTCATTATGTTTCTCATGTTCTTTTCAATTATTTGTGAATCTTTACATGCTTTCATTGGGAACATTCATTTTGGTTTATTTTTCTAAGCCTATGGTTTGTCTTAAATCTGCATGGAACATAACTTTTACGAGGGCTTTAATTCAGACTTCAGAATTTCTATCAAATGATGGCAATATAATGCCATGAGGTGGCAAAAATTATGCTTACATTACATAAGAGTAATTTAAAATAAAATAAATTCAGAGTCTAACATGGTGAAAACAAAATCAAAAGAAGTAAAATAGGAATAGCTATCTGAAATGAATGTAAAATTAAAACACATTTTAGTAAAAGAACTTAGAAAATGGACAAACTAACATAGATTAAAAAAATCAATGTAGAGTTGCCAAGAAATCATCATGATTGGAAGTTGTGATTCTCAGCTTTTATTTTTGAAATTTTTTTCTTTTACATGAAAATTAGATATGTCACAACATTTTTAGAAAAGTGGAAGCTAGCATAATTGAAGTTGAAGGTAAATTAGAATTAGAAAAGAAAAAGTATGAAAAACAAATCCTATAGCAACATAAAAGATACGCACAATTGTTTTAAAAGTAAAAATAAATTCTGAGGCACAGATGCCAATGCTTAAAAAGATTCATACAAAGCTTGAATACTGGATCATTGTGTTCAAAAATTAACATTATGTGAAGAAAGTTTTGACTGAGAACACTTGTCATTTTGGTCAATTTATTTTTGACAAATTTACTCTTTAATTATCATCAGCTTTCAGAAAAACATGTCGATCTTACCACAGAATCAGTCTGGTAATAATCACAAACAGCATAGACAGCTTCCAAGGGGTATTAGGCCAGTATAGACACTGGTTTCTTACAGACCCTGGGAGGCCACAGGCCTATTACCCAGGGAAAGTTCCGTAATCTCTCAGAGCTCTGTTTCTTCTCAGAAAATGGGGGAAATTACACAAGATGACCTATTTTAAAATAATGCATAAATATAAAGCTTTATTGGAACAAATGTACAGGATGATTACAATATGGTATTATTTTTACCATTATTACCGTAATGGTTGAATCCTATTGCAGTCTTACTTTAAAATACAAAATATTTTGACTGGGCGCAGTGGCTCATGCCTGTAATCCCAGCACTTTGGGAGGCTGAGGCAGGTGGATCACGAGGTCAGGAGATCAAGACCATCCTCGCCAACATGGTGAAACCCCATCTCTACTAAAAATATAAAAATTAGCTGGGCATGGTGGTGCATAGTCCCAGCTACTTGGGAGGCTGAGGCAGGAAAATTGCTTGAACCCAGGAGGTGAAGGTTGCAGTGAGCCGAGATTGCACCACGGCACTCCAGCCTGGTGATAGAGTGAGACTCGGTCTCACAAAAAAAAAAAAAAAAAAAAAAAAAATTAAGGCAAGAAGTACATTCTTGTAGCTGCCAATACAAACATGACAGGCATATAGTACTCAACATAATCTCAATAGAATTTCTAAGCTCTCTGTAGTCGAGCATCGCCTCCTAGTTAGCTCTCTGTTCAATGCCACCAGTTCTATAAATGACTACTGTGTACCTAGCACTGCAATGCTTTATTAAAGGGGCCCTTCCACTCATTCTTTGATTCATTCATTGACTCGTCCATTTATTCATTTGCTTAACAAAGTTTGGTGAATGTCCACATCGACCAGGCAGCGAGCTAGGTGCTGTGGATTCTGGGATAAAATGAATAGTTCCCACACTCATGGAGCTCACAATTACCAACCAGGGCGGCAAATGAAGAAATAGAGAGCTGGGATGCAATGCAGCAATCGGGGTGGGGACAGCCAGCCCAGAGCCCCATAGCTGAGACAGCAGCAGCATTTAACCCAGCTGTGAGGATCAGTGAAGATTCTTGAAGGAGAAGAGAACTAGATATCTGAATAATAAAGACATGTTAGCTTGGGAGAGAAGGAGGGGCGAGGACAGGAACGAGTGCATTTTCTAATTAGTAACATGCAAAGTATCTTCTGCTAGTTTAGTCTCATTGTTAGTTAAATTACCTCTAAGGCAAAAGTATTTTGTTCAGTGTTTGCAAGGTGATGGGTGGCACTGGAGACATAGAAAACAGCTCTTCCGTTAATCAATTCTCTTGCGTGCTGCCCAGTTAATAATTTGCGTTCATTCTCAAAGCAGCTCATAAATATATTACCACTTCAGGCACACTACTCCACAATGCATAAATGAAAAATGATCTGAACTTCCTTCCTCACTGTGAATATTTTAAATCACAACATTAATATACTCATTTCTCTTTCATAAGCTCCAAAATGAGCATTGAAAATAATAGGTTTTGCCTTATTGATTTCAGAGAAACTACAGAAGTGTAGAAACATAGAGATTTTAAAACACACGCACAACTAAATAAAATGAATTTTTGCCTCTTGTGAAATGCTGTATTTTAATCTGAAATTGCATATGTAATGACGTTGTATTTGCTTGTATTAGAAAGATAAATGCATACATCTGCCCAACTGTAGTCAGGTTGAAATTGGATCTCGAAGTGTGCACAGTGTCATTGATGAGAAAAGCAGCACAAAAGAGCTACAGCCATTTTGGAAAGAACATTGGAATTAGAGACAAAGGTATTAAAGCTTTCAAGGTTTTGAAAATAAAAGAGAAAGGGAGAGAATGGAAGCGAATATTTATTGAGCACTTACTATGTACCTGAAGCTTCATGGGAGGTGCTGTTACTGACATTTTACAGATGAGAGAGCCAAGCCTCAAAAATGAGAAAGAACTTGCCCTGGGTCACACATTTTATAATTGCCAGGGCTGGAATTCAGTCTCCAATGTGTCAGACACTAGAGCTTAGGCAGTTTTTGTTATCCCATTTCATCATGTTTAAAAGAAGATGGAGTTGGGTAGAGACATATTTTGAAGAGGAGGGGAGAACAGGCATTTATACCAAAGAGCCGCAATCATTTCTGCTAACTAGGAGGCGAGTGCTGTTGAGAGTGAGAGGAGGGAGAGTGGGGAGGCAGAAATCACTGTTCCTCTGGGCATCGGGTGCAAGAAGATGATGAGCCTCTGATGTTATTAGCATATTCATTTTGCTGAAGAAAAATAAAAGGAAAAAGCCATTTCTTTTAGAACATGAGTTTTGATTTGGGTTTGACAAATGTGTTCACCATAGGACAGCTTTCTCTGTTAGAAAGTCATCGACAGACGGGTTAGTCATCCAGCCCCTTCCTCCCAGCAGTGCTTTGTGTGTGCATGTATGTGCGTGAGCGGGAATGTGCGTGTATATATGCTTCTGCATACATGAGACAGCATATCTTTTTTCAAACAGCGCCACCTCAACAGTGCTTGAAAACTTAACCAGTAACTCCTTTCTTTGCATAAGTTCTGCCCCTTTGTCACCTTTGAAGCCTGCGGATCAGTTCAATGTTCTATTTCCTTTTAACCAACTGAATCCTTACAAAGCAGTTTAATCATTACTCTTTTCTAATAGTGGATAATGACTGCATGAATTTATCTCTCAAGGAGAATTATATTTTACTTGCAAACCTCTAGAGGCCCTAATACAAAGACAGGAACTTCTAAGCTAGGAGAAGGAAAAACTGTGCTCATGAAAATAAACGGGGCCTGTCCTGGAAGCCCTCGAATTCCACCATGGAGGTGGAAATGAACACAAGCCAGAAGAGAATGCACGGCCAAGGCTCCCCAGCATGGCCCCAGATCTCCCCAATATCTCTTCAAACTCCAGGATTTCCACTGTGAAGATACATTCTCTTGGACCAGAGTATTCAAACATTCTTCATGACAGTACATCTTGGAGAAATGACATTTTAAGCCACTAACCCTGAAAATGCTATCATTTGGACAGGGAGGAAGGAAGCAAGAAGGCCAAACTGCTCACTTTCTCTGATTTTGCCATGAGCCAGCCTGGCTCAGAATACTGTTGATACTGAGCCTGATCAATGTAATGCTGCCTTACTACTGTCTAAATAAATATACAGAGAGATAGTAGAGTGTGTGGATATTGTGTGTGTGTTTATTAATGTATACATATTAGTGTGTAACTCTGCTTTATTACTATATATATTAGTGTGTGTATATATTTATTAGTGTGTATATATATCTTATTGTGTGTACATATGTATAGATGTGTGTATATTAGTGTGTATATACATATTAGTGTGTAACTCAGCCTTATTACTATATATACTATATACATACACTAGTATACATACATACTAATATACACATACTATATATAGTATGTATAAAGTATATATAGTATATATTATAGTGTGTGTATATTAGTGTATATATAATTGTGTGTGTATATATACATGTGTATATGTACGTATATATATTGTGCCTTATTACTATATGTATGTGTGTTATATATTAGTGTGCATATATATTAGTGTATATATATTGTGTGTACATATATGTGTATATATGTATGTGTGTATGTTAGTGTGTGTATATAAATGTGTAACTCTGCCTTATTACTATATATATTAGAGTGTATATATTATTGTGTGTACATATATGTGTATATATGTGTATATGTGTGTGTGTGTGTGTATGTATATGTATATACATATATAGTAAGCAATACATTCAACTTCCATTTCCAATGGAGGGGGCTCATCATTCTTGGGTGCTACCCTCTTGGTTTCTTTGTGCTTATAGAGATAGTTTCTAAAGCCTGTCTTTAAAGATAGTGTGGTATGGTATGCAGAGCATGGCATTTGGTTCAATAAAGGGTTCTGCCACTTCCTGCAGCCTGATTTACATCCCCACTGTTGCTGCCCCGTGGCCAAGGTCAAGCCTTCGTCACTGCTTTCCTGAACTTCTACCTGGTCTGCTTGCCTCTGGGTACCTACTCTCTGATTTAGTCATTCCTTGTTGCTCAACAACTTATCTGGCCCACATGTCTTGTCACCTTAGTGCCCTACTTAAAATCTTTTTGGCAATGCTTTTTCACCTGAAAAATAAAACATGAATCCAGCACACAGCCCTCTGTGATCTGGTCCAGGCTTCCGTCTCCAAGCAGCCCTCCCACCTCACTGCTGCAGCATAGCAGGCCCTGAGTAGGTCACGATGCTCTACACCCCTGCACTATATTTGCTAGTTGTGCTTAGCATTCAGCTTCTCTGTTTTCCTTTGGGAGAGTGAGAACTTCCTAAACTTTCTAATACCCTCCTTCTGGCTTCCTGTTACCATTTTGATGAGCTCATTTTGGTTTTATGCTGTGCCTTGCACAGACCTCCACGGTGGTCATTTTTGTCCCTCGCTATACGGCAATGATCTATTTACTTGAGTGCCTCTCTGCACAGATTATGAGCTCCCAGGTGGCAAGGACTTGAATGTGTGCCCTCCAGATGCAAGAACTGGGCACAGGACCTGGAGCAGGACAGTCATGCAGACTGTGTCTATTAAATGAACGATATTACCTAGGCTTTCTTACTCTAAAACCTCAAATTTGTAAAGTAGAAACGATAGTAATAGTCATCTCATGGGGTTGCTGTGAGGATAGAATAGAAACGTATGAGGAAAAGAACTTTTCCAACTATGATGATCGTCACACATCCTAGTTATTATTATGATGCTAACCTAAGTCGTGGGAACCAAACTTTATCTAATGGGATTAAAGACTCCACAGATTCCACTCAAAGCCAGAAATTGGACTTGTTCTAAGGATTCCTGTAATATACAATGCTTAGTGTAATTATTGGAATCTCTACCTGCTGATTAGGCCCACACTGCTTTTTAGTTATGTTAGCTTCAGGGGGAAAAAAAAAGCTACATTAAGAAATAAAAGCCTCCTAACAGCTTGTTATGGCATTATTTGTTCACAACTACTAGCAAATGTATTTTGCCGAATGCTTCAAATCCAGTTTTTACAGAGTAAGCCGAAGCTAGTAATCATTTCATAAATATTAATGGAGAATATGCAAGTGGAAAGTTAAATTAAAATGCTACCAAATGGCTAGCAGGCAGCAGAAAATGAGCAGGAATCTCTAATCAGTGGAATTCATGGTTGTATAACTTTTATCCTCCCATTAGAGTGCAAAACAGAAGTTGATTTTTCTCCCACTTAAAATCAGTTCATGTTGAAGGGATAATGCAAATCAGCTCAATAGCTGAAGGATTCCAGAAACAGCATTTCTATATGGCAAGTCAGGTTTCCTTGGTCTCAGTTGAATGCAAATGACTGGACACAGAGAGAGACTTTATGACCTTGGTCTTCTCATTGGGTTGCTTGGCAGGACTTCACAAGGGTTTGGGGAAAGGAGAGAACAAATGGTATCTCACATTCACTCACCATCAGTTTATCATTTTTCTCTTCCAGAGTATGTTTGTACCTGCAACCAGCATGTTGAAAATACGATTGATTTTAGAGATTTTAAATTGGGAGAGAGGAAGAGTATGGAGTTCTTATTAGTTGAGCCCAGTGTTGCTGGAACAGCTAACTTTAGATTATTTTTATTATTAGCATTAGATGTCTTTATCCCTTATTGTATCCATCCATCCATCCCTACATCCCCCATCCATCCAACAAGTGGTTCACTGAGTATGTACCTATGATGATCCAGGCTCTATGCTGGGCATTGGGAATAAATAGTTGTTTAAGACGTGGTCACATTGGTTCTTCTCTCACAGATTTCACATCTAATATAGTAACCCCATCATAGCTGTGTTATGAGATTGAAGGAGTTAATAGATGTAAGACAGTTAGAAAGATTCTTTTTCCTTTTTTTTTTTTAGAGACAGTGTCTCACTCTGTCACCCAGGCTGGTACGCAGTGGGATGATCATAGCCCGTTTCTGCCTCAAACTCTGGGGCCCAAGTGATCCTCCCACCTCAGCCTCCCAAGTATCTGGGACTACAGGTTTCCACCACCACGCTGGGCTAACTTTTTATTATTAGTTTTTTGTAGACATGGGGCCTCACTGTGAGGCCCAGGCTGGTCTTGAACTCCTGGCTTCAAGTGACCCTCCTGCCTTGGCCTCCTAAAGTGTTGGGATTAAGGTCTGAGCACTTTGTAAGCTCTGAGTGATGGTGGGGGCAGAGCAATGGTAGGGGATGAAGATGGACAAATTGCAAAGACTCAAACACTGATGGGCTTCATATGCCAGGCATGGTTTTCTCATGAGAAAAGAGGAGTGGCTGAAGAGTGGAAAGCTGGAGGGTGAGGTGTCATTCACGTGTTCTCTAATGACTCTTGTGCCTTGTGCCTGTTTATAAGGATGGGTTTGAGATGACAGAGGCTGGAGGGCTCTACCCCACGGAAGACTGTTGAGTTAGACAAGATCATAGAAGACAGTGGGCTGCACCAGGGGACTAGTATGAAGGACTGAGGATGGTGGGAAATCTGTGAGATTTTTAGGAAGGGGAACTGGGCTTCTTGGTAATTTTTAGGAATACAGGCAATGGGGGAAAACATGGAGCCTCAGTTGCTGCCTAGGTTTCTAGAATGAGTGACTGGTAGAGAGTTGAGCTTTAAGTGAGAAAACTGAAAGTAAAAGAGAGGCACATTTTGGTGGAAAGACTTTACGTTCCCAGCCCTCATAAGAGCTGGGTCATTAAATGAGGAATGCAATCACTGGATTCAGACTCTGGCAAACCAGCAGGATAACTCTTGGATAAGACAGGAACCTTCCTGGATTTCCATTTCCAAACTCATAAAATGGTCGCAACACCATCCTAATCCAAAGGGTTGTTGAGAAAGTAAACAAGGATGAAGCATATGGGAGCCCAGGGCTTGGCACGAGAGGACTTCGTATGTGCTGGTGAGTCTGAATCTGAAGAATCATAAAGATTTCCCAGTGCCTGGTTTGTTCAGTTTGGGAAACTCATGTGAAAGGAGAAGAGTTGTTCATATCCTTCCTCATGCATGCACTCACTTGTTCATTTATTCATTCATTCATCCACTTGGTAAGAATTTATTGAAGGCTTTCTGTGTCAGGTGGCCTGACAGTGAAGATTCACTTTGGTCAGACAAGGATTCCTTTGGGTGCTTTTTGGATGCTGTGTCCAACCCCTTGTCAAAATTACTTGGATCATATCTGTAATCTTGCTCCAGAGAAAGGGTGCAACTGAGATGTCCCTCAGAATCCTGCAGGCCGTACATGACCCTTCCCTTCCTGTGGCCGTGATGACACAGCACACTGTGTGGTGACTGGTGAGCTAGCATTTCTTCTCATGTTGAATAAAATTCATGGGTAGACAAATTATAATTAATGGTAATAAAAGTAATGCTAAAATTGACTGAGTATTTTCTAATGAATTGCACTTCACATCAATGATCTCAATTAATTTCATAAGGTAAGTTTATTTTTTCCCCAGCTTTATTAAGGTATAATTGACCAGTCAGAATGGTATATATTGTTCAGTGCGATGTTTTAATACATAGATACCCTGTGGACTGATTAAACCAAGCTGATTAACATATCCATCACCTCACATACTTCTCACTGTGTGTGTGTGTGTGTGTGTGTGTGTGTGTGCATAAGAACATTTAAGATCTACTCTCTTAGGAGGTACGTCTAGTTTTTCTTAGTTTATAGTTGAGGAAACTGAGGCTAAAATAGGTTAACTATTTTGGTTAAAACCGTACAGGAGCTGTGACGGGAACCCAAGTCTGTGTGAGTGCAACTTCTATTATATTATCTGACAGTGTATTGTAATTCAGTAAAATACTAAGTTAGCAGGTTGTCCGTGTTTCCATGTGTTTAGAAGGAAACTGTATCTTGATCTCCTTGGTTGGCGTCCGTTTCCTTCTCTGTATCTGCATTCTGTCCATGCATCTTTCCCAGGGTACTTCACTCTGTTCTCTTGTTCAATTGGCTTAATTCTCTGTATCCCTCCTTAGAATAGGAGCTTATGGAAGGCAGGGGCCACATTGTACAGTGTCGTATGTCTCAGTGACACTGCTAATGATGTGCCAAATGTACGTATGTATATATGAACTGCAGACTATAAACTTTTCTAGCAACACAGCAAAATCTTTCTGCTTTTGGTACAACTAAGAACTTTTATATATGACTATATTTTAATTGATATCAAGTTACCTATTCAGGTTTCAAAAATCTCAAAAGCTGTCTCGTCTGAAAAGGCTTCTGATGCATGATTATGAATTCCTTTATGCTTCTACATCGGGGCCTGTACTGCTCCACTATTTACTTTAAACAATTGTAATTCTGTATCCACCTCTTTCCACATGTCTTGAGTCCAGAGCCCTTTAAATTGTATTTGTGTCATTTTATTTTCTTGCTTAGCACCCTTGGCCAAATATATTGGACTCTGTTACAGCTTCTCCATCACTTTCTAGAAATGGAATGATAAGAACTCTACCGGGTCATGGTGTCCAGTGGCCAAAACTTGATTCTCAAGCACCTGATACATTTAAGCCTGTAAAGTCGAGAGAGAAACCATCTAGAGTGTTGTCTGGAAAGTCAGACAAGGTCAGTAAGCAGAGAAACAAACCATTTCTAGCCAGCCTGCCAAGGCCAGGAGTTTGAAGCGTAGTCCTTGTGTTCTGAACAAGAGAGCGGGAGAGGATAGAGAATCCAGGGCTTCGAACAGAGGAGGCTCGTGTGGATGCCCCAGCTCCTGACCCTGACAACAGTAATTTTAGGCACACCATGTAACCTCTCTGCTCTGTGCATTTGTTTCAATTTGCTTGCCATTTCTTTTTTTTTTTTTTTTAAACATGGCTTGATATTTTTTCTTAAAATTTTTTTTGAAACAATTTCAATGTTACAGAAAAGTTTCAGATAAAATACAAAACAATTTTTCTCTAAAACGTTGTCAAATAATTTGCCAATATTTGAAAGAGCCAAATAATGATGCCCAATGCTATTGGAATATTTTACTGTGTTTTCTACAAACCAAGGCATTCTCTTATAAAAATACAATCTAGCCATCAAAAAAATTAGCATTAATGAATTGGTATCATCTAAACTTCAGACACCATTCAAGTTTTGCCAATTTTTCCCAATGTATGATTTATTGCAAATGGATTCAGTTCGGAAATACCTGTTGTGTCTAGCTCTGTCTTCTTCAACTGGGAACAGTTCTGAAGTCGTTCCTTCACCTCCCACACTTTGAGACTTGGAAGTTCGCAGGAGAGAGATTTGATTGAAGGTCCTTCAGCTGGGTTTGTCTGATCTTTTCTCATGATTGGATTCATGTTATGCAGTCTTCGGCAGGCCCAATGACTACCTAGTTTGCAGGGCTTGTTGCAAATGTGGGGAATCCTTGTTCAAAAACGAGGGAAAAATGTGCTGGTAAAGGCACTGGAATATAAAGCTTTTTGTTTTTTTCCACTGTCTCTGTCTGTCATGGTGTTTATTATTTGTTATTTAACATCACATTCCCTCTGACTCCTGGATACTTGTGGTGTGAGAGGAGATACTACAGTCTCCTAGAGGTACCACCGTGCAACTTAGGGCACTGCCATGCCTATCTCCAGCTACCAGCCACACCTCTTGCCTTCCCACCAGCCCGGCATCCCGTTCCACAGTGTACAGATGAGCCCCCAAGGGTGATTCTGCACTGGGTACCTGAATCAGGGATGGGCGAGAGGCTTCGTGTCCACTGAATTGTCGCCAAATGCCCCATAGCATTGCCCGGGTTTGAGCGCATAGTAGGCATTCAATAAATACTGGCTTTCTTCCATAGAGCACGTAGAGCTGGAAGGTATCTAAGATCTTCACAAGCCCAAACTTCCCCCTGTAGAAAGTGGGAGTTGAGGCCCAAGGAGGTGAAATGAGTTGCAGATCTGGAGCTCCCGACTCCAGGTCGGTAATGCTGAGTTCTATTCTCTGCCTTTCTCAGGTGCTGGTTCTCTGGTGCTGGGAGTGAAAATAAAAATGGTGTACCACAGGCCATAGATGAGACACTTGAGCCTCCTACATAGACATTCCTGCAACACAACTATTCATCACTTGTTCAGCTAACACCCCTGCTGTGTTAGGACACGGAGCATCCAAACACGTGAGCGTGTGTCCTGCTCACAATCTATCAGTGAGAGAGAAAGGAACTCATAATGACTTCGGCTAGGCATTTATGATTTTACTTTTAGTTTTTCTGGCAGTCACGGAAGTGTTTCTATATTTATTATCATTACAACTCTACAGGGCAGGTTTTGCTAACCGGTTTTACAGTGGGAAACCTATAGCTTTAGAGATTTAGGCAAGGTACACGTAGAAAATGTCAGAGCTGGTGGGGTGGAGGGTGGAAGTCTGCCTGGTTCTGCCTCGAGGGCTTGTACCGGCTACATCCCGGCTTCCTCCCTGGAAGAGCCAGCAAGACTGGGATAGAAAAATGTTGTCTCCGGCTCGGCGCGGTAGCTCATGCCTGTAATCCCAGCGCTTTGGGAGGCCGAGGTGGGTGAATCACTTGAGATCAGGAGTTTGAGACTAGCCTGACCAACATGGCAAAACCCCATCTCTTCTAAAAATATAAAAATTAGCCAGGTGTGTTGGCGCATGCCTGTAATCCCAGCTACTCGGGAGGCTGAGGCAGGAGAATGGCTTGAGCTCAGGAGGCCGAGGTTGCAGTGAGCCAAGATTGCGCCATTGCACTCCAGCCTGGGCCACAAGAGCAAAACTCCATCTCAAAAAATAAAAAAGAAAGAAAAGAAAAATGTTGTCTCCGATGACTTGTTCCCAGGGAGGCAGCCCAGGAGGTCTGACTAAACTTGCTTCCCTCGGGCTTCCCCAGCACCCCAAGGGGCCGTCCTTCCTACCCCCAGCCCTGTGAGTCATCTTCATTGAGTTCCAAGAATCCCCGCGCAGCTGTGCAGCTGTACATTGCATGCTGACACTGAATGAGCAGTGACTGGACGCTGCCTTCCATGTGGGACACGAGCCTTCAATGCCTGATAAAGCCTGAAAGCCACAATCTGCCCTGGAAACCCAGCTCCACCCTGCTTCCACTACATCAGGAGGTGGTAGGTTCAAAACTGCATTCAGGGCTGATGAATGAAATACGTTATTAAAGATAATTCTTCCGAAAGCAGAGGTAATAATCCCAGCATTAACATTTCTAATTTAATTCAACCCTGATTAAACTTTTTCTTTCAGAAGGAGGAAATTGAAAGTGTGAAACACCAGTGGGAGGAAAAGGTTCCTGTAACAAATGTGGTTATCAATGGGAAAGAAGCTTTCTAGAGCTTATATACGGGGCCGAGTCATGCACACTTCATCATACTCACCAGGTGGGACTTGGAGAACAACCTATGTCTTATATAGTCAGCTGAACTCCAGCGTTCTTTCCAGAGAGGAATTTTAAGAGGTTAATTTTGATTTTAGTTATCATGTAACATTTCCCTTGGCCCTCCATGCTATGCTTGTCTTTGCTGGGAACCTCGCTGTTTCCTCTGTCCTTTGAAATCATAATTGTTTGGTTACCTCGTCTTCTTCCTCACTAGTCAGAGCCCCTCAAAGGCAGCGATAATGATGTAAGTACCTTTATATCCTCTAACTGAGAATAGTGCCTGGCATGGAGAAAAAACCCAATACATGTTTGACCAACCAATGACCGATGGGGCTGATCAACTTAAAAAGCTTTTGTGTTTTCATTTACCAACATCCCTATATGCTCCAAAACAACTTATTCATTTCTTGGTGTGAGAGCAAAATGCTTTAGCAAAGTACTTTGAGGGGAAGTGGAAATGGAGGTTAAGAAAAAAAGACCAACCCACTGGGAATAATAAAATGCAAACTTATATCTCCTGGATTTCAGAATGAAAGGTGGAGTTTCAGATCCCATTTCCCATATGAAATTCTTCGCTTGCTTTTTCTAATAGTCAGGCTAAAAAGGAACTTTTCACAAAGGAGGTATTTTTCTTCTTGGCCTGGAAAATCGATTCCAATGTTAATCTCGCTCCTTGGAATGTCCTCCCCCACCCTTTTCCACCTAGCAAAATACTCGTCTTTCACAGCCCAGCTCAGATGTCAGCTCTTCAAATAATAATAATCATTGCTAATATCTGTCATGCATTAACTCTAGGATAGGGGCTGTGCTAAGTGTTTTATAGAAATTATTTTACTTGCTGTTCACAAATCCCCATCAAATCAGGACTATGATTTATCATAAACTTACAGATGAGGAAGCTGAGGCCTGTAAGGTGGTGTAATTGCCCAAACTCGAGCTTGGATTTGAATGTGGGAACCTTAACTTCAGTTGTGCTTTAACCATGAGGACACTGCTCCCTCTGAAGCCTTCTGCAACTTTCTCTAGCCCTGCCCTTTGTGGAGATCCAGCACTGGCCCTGGCCGACACGTAATCCACACACTCTCAGGGGACCACCACAGCCTCTTTTCCCCCTGGCTCCAAGCTCAGCACTAGTGAACATACCTTAAGCACCAATGCCAGGTCGATCTTCTTTGCATGCTGAACTCCCCAGCCTTGAGGTTGCTGCCCTTATAGTTTCCTTTGCTCCATTCTCTGCTGGGCCTCTGCCCATCTGACATCGTACACATTCTGGTATTTACTTTTCTCAGCCTGGCTCTGCATCAAGAAAGCAGCCTCCTGTCTCGTGTTCTCTTCCTAACATAGCATCAAGGGTGGAACACACACATACTCAGCACTGCATTAAGAGCAGAGATGGGTGGACTTTACTTTTCCTCAATTCTTTGGAAGTCATATTCCAACACAGTATTTTCATGCATTCTGTCAAAACACTGATGTAGAACTGCAGGGAGTTAGAGCTCATGGTAGCATTCAAGGGTAATTCTTCTGCCCAACCCTAACTTTTCTGACAAATAATTGCTTATTAGTCCAGATAAGGGTTGAGGGTTCATTTTCCTTTTCTTAAACCACATTTTCTTCGTAAGAGACTCTTCTTCTAGATGGTCTCACAATAGATATATTTGAGATTCTCAGGAATAAATGCATCAGCACATTAATCGTATTTGACCAAAATGCTCCTCAGGACACCATCATGAGACATAGACAGGCAAAGCAAGAGAAAAGTCACCCTGGGCTCTGTTTTGCTGTCTCCATTGAAGACAAATATTAAGCATCCCTGAAATTCATGTCAAATTTTACCATATTGAGAAATAAATGGATAAAAGGGTACTCTTTTCAATAAATATAACCGTATAACTTGCACAATCACACGTACTTGAATTTTCCCATCTCAAATGCATTATATAAGCCGATCTTTTTTTCCTGTACATACTCATGCCACAGAAGACAACACAGAAGAACCATAAGACAGTGACAATGGTTAAGAAAACTGATACTTGGCCAGGTGCGGTGGGTCACATCTGTAATCCCAGCACTTTGAGAGGCCGAGGCCGGTGGATCACCTGAGATCAGGAGTTCAAGACCAGCCTGGCCAACATGGTGAAACCCCGTGTCTACTAATAACTCACAAAAAGTTAGCTGGACATGGTGACACATGCCTGTAGTCCCAGCTACTCAGGAGGCTGAGGCAGGAGAATCGCTTGAACCCGGGGAGCGGAGGTTGCAGTGAACCGAGATCGCACCATTGCTCTCCAGCCTGGGCAAAAAAGAGCGAAACTTCCGTCTCAAAAAAAAAAAAAAAAGAAAAAGAAAACTGATACTCACTTACCAGCTGTGTGTCTTTGAGCAATACTTAAACTTCCCATTTAAGTCTCAGAGTTTTTATTGGAAAAGTGGAATTAGTAATAATAATATCTATTTTATTGGGTGCTTGTAAAGATTGAATGATTTAACGTGCTCAGTATCTTATTATCACTACTAATACATGTTAGCCATTATTATGACTTAGTAGAGTTAGCACTGGATTGGGAGAAAGAAGACCTAAGTCTTATCTCTGCTACTCACCAGCCAGGTGGTCTTAAATCAATCAAGCTGGACCTAAAAGCTCTCCACAATCTGGGGCCTGCTGGCGGGTCCGGTTTCATGCTGAGCTCTTGTCTACAGCACACTTGGTTTTCCAGCAACTCAAGCTGTTTCTAGTTTATCACTCTTGCCCCTGGTCCACGTCTACCCTCCTCTGGGGCCCCAGCCATGCTCACACCAGTGTGGGCTTGTTTGCATGCATCAACTTCATGCTTTGCATGTCTGTGTCCAAATTCCACCTTTGTATAAGGACACCAGTCCCATAGATGGGATGAGGACCCACCCTAATGACCTTGCTTTTGCTTGTTTACCTCTGTAAAGACTCTGTTTCCAAATATGGTCACATTCTGATGTGCTGAGCTTTAGGACCTCAGCATATGGATTTTGCTAGGGGTTGGGGTGGGTGGGGATGGACACAATTCAACTCATGACATTTGGGGACTACACAGACTTGGGGTTTGTAGCCTTTGTCTGGGATAGTGTTGGTGTTTTTATTATTTATACTGTTCCCCACCCCACCAGTGAGATTTCATTCCTCATGAATTTACAGAGAGGCACATGGCTTACATTTCCTGAATTCTAACTCTCTTTTTTGCTGCTGCAAAGCTGTTATTCTCTTTGGTTTCTCCTTTCATCAACCTGGCTGCCAACCAATGTCTAAAAAAAAAAAAACATCCCCACACTGCAAGCTGAGTTCCTGCCTCGGGTCGATGTGGGTTTATTGATATTCCAGCATGGTTTGCTTCACGATTTATGCTCTGCAGTTTGTGAACCACAGACCCAAGAGGAAAAGAGATAGTGAAAGAGGGGATTTTTCGATCACTTTATATGCAGTAAGTGAATCTCAATTTCCTGCCATGTTATTTCAGAGTCCTTAAATATCCTTTTCTCTGCCTGGACATTAGAAACTACAAAAGCTCTACATTCTTTAGGATGAAATATGAGTTCTGTAAGATCTATAATCAGAGCGACCTCTTAACAGTGCCATGGTACCTGGGAGCATATACATCCCTGTGACGTGGAGTGAAGGGAGGATGCCTGTTCTGGGATCTGAAATGATATGAACATCTGCAGGTCTATGAGAGATCTCATTATCCCTGTATCTCAAGGGCAGGAACCATACTATCACCTGCTTCCTCACTTCCCTTAGTGTATGTGCAAACTGAAAAACAGTGAAAGAATTGAACACGGTCAATGAGAATGCTGCTATCTGTTTAGAGCAGGACTCTTAAAACAGTGCAAACCATGGCAGGGGTAATGAACTCCGTACGCATGTTTAGAATAGGAAAAAGCACACAGTGTCAGAGCCAGAGGAAGCCTTAGGAATTATTTGATATGAGAGAAAACGAAGGCCCACCACACTGTTTTTAAGTGCATGCTGGTTTCATAGTAAAAAAAAAAAAAAAAAAAAGCAAAAACAAACAAACCACAAAAAACACAAAGCAAAACCAAAAAACAGGCTATTATTGGTAATGAATAAAATAGTGTTTAACATTCTATTTCTGGTAAAGCATAGAAATCATTTTAGGTGGTTTGCACAAACAGGGAGAGCAACAGAGAGGAAAAGGGAAAAGGAGGGTAGAGGATGACACTAGAGTCTCTGGGCCCACTAAATACAGCCCATTTGCTACATGAGCCTCTCAAGGGGTTGATTTAAATATTGAGAACACATGAGAAGGAAAATGTGACGTTGCCAAAGGGTTCTGCTCTGGGAGCTACAGGTAGTTCATTTCTAAGCCTTGAGGTTTGTACAGAAATACTTATGTGATGCATAGCTCTTTAGAGATTTTTCTGGCTCTCACACAGTCCTATGAGGTGGGTGATGGGGGAGGATCAGGGAGGCTGATTTATTCCTGTTGTAAAGAGCACAGGTTTGGAGTCTGAGGTTCAGGTTCAGCTGGCTTTGTGGCTTTCCACTGGTAAACCCCAGGCAGGTTATGAAGGAGTCCCAGGCACGACTGGAACTCAGGGCTCTTCGGCACCAGGGTAGGGCTGTGTTTCCCTTGCCTTCTCCTTTTCCTCCTGACTGGGCCACGGGTTTTCTTAGGTCAGCTCTGTCCTGTGAATTCCTTGATGTTGGGAGCTCCGTCTTATTTTTCTCTGGTTTTGCCTGGTGACGTGCTAAGTAGGTTAACAGAGAAATTGTACAACCTGAAGAACATCCTCCAAATTATTAATTTTTAATCTGCCTCATTTAGGATGCTCTTATATTTGTAACCAGAAATCAAAGACCATGTTCTTCAGCTGATTACTCATCATCACTCAGCTGACTTCTTCCAAGGGCAATTCCTTCTCTGTTTTCTTCCTTTCACAGTGATTTATTATATACCTGTAAGTGCTGTGCACCCGTGATGGTGGCCCAGGCTATGAGTTCCAATCTAGTCTGCAGTATTCCACCTAAATTCACCTGATCAAACCATGCCACATCCCGAAATAAAACTCCTCAGTAGCTTCTCCACTGGGAAAGTTAAAGCCCAAGCTTCATGACAAAACAAAGTCAACAGGCCATTGACACCAGGACTGCTAGGGGAGCTGAAGTGGGGAAAAAGTTGGAGATGGGGCAAGGGCAGGTCGTGGAGACCCGGGTGTGCCAGGCTAAGCAAGGATATGGTCTTGAGAGCAAACGAGTCTGTAAAGAAAGGAGTTGGCCTAATAATCTTGAAATACTCCATATGCTGCACACTATGGGATTTGATCCATGTTAAAAGCTTAACATCATTATACTCAGGACAACTGCCATGGGTCGAGTTGTTACTACAGTCCCACTTTCTGCAAACTTCAATTCAGTTGTTCCATTGCAGCATTGTGATGGGTGCTGGAAAACACCAAAGGGATACGTGACATGATTCCAGTCTTCTAGCAACATACAATCATGGCAATTATAAGGTCTGCCATTATTGCTTTAAATATTGATTTATTTGAAATGTATTTATTGCATACTGTATGGCTTTGGGTTGTAATCATATTATCATTGATGCTGAAGTCAGACAATAGGGATTCAAATCCTAAGTATGACACTTACTGTGTGACTTTAAGCAAGTCACTGATGCCCTGTTTTCGCATTTGTAAAGTGGGGATGGTAAATATCCCCCAAGAGGCAATGCCTGTAAAGAGCACAGGAGAGTTCTGGGCCCTTGACAAGCACTCAGAAATTGCTTTCTTGCATTATTCTGTTATGATGTATGGTGTTGGAGGTGACAGAATGTCAGGCAGACATGGTTGACATCATCAAAGGACAGCAAGTAATGAATGAATGACTATACAGAACAATTCCTATTGAAATTGGCGCTGCAAAAGAATTGGCAATGTTCTAGACATCGCTCTAGAGAACAATGAGGCAGATTCTACTTCAGTAAGAATGGGGTGGCATGGGGGAAGCCCTTTCAGGAAAGGTGATATTTAATCTCCCATTTGACCGATGAGAAGAGTTGGCCACTGGAAATGCCAGGGAGAGAGATTCCCAGCTGAGGGACCAGCAAGCAACAAGCCTTTGAGGCAGGAGGAAGCTTGGCATGTTCTAGGAACCAGCAGAGGCTAAATGTGCCTGGGGCTTCGTGAGCAGAAGGCCAAGGTAGCAGGAGATGAAGCTGGGAAGGACGCAGGGACAGATCGTGCTGGGCCTTGTGGGCCCCAGTCAGGAGTTTGGATGTTATTTCAAGTGGGAGAGTCAAAGAAGCAAAGTGACATGATGTGATTTGCATGGCTTTGCTTAATGTGTGCAAATGGTCAAGCTGATGTCTTCCAGGCCCTCTGAATGAAGTAGTGGGTGTGCAGTTTTCAAAAGGAGAAGGCAAAACTGCAAGCCCTGGCAGTCAATGGGGATATACTTATTGGGAATGAAAATTTCTTCATTTGTGGAAATATTACAAAGAAATAAGAACCTGCCCTTGGGAGCACCTGGCAAACATTCTCACTTCTGAAGGGCAGACACACAGCCATGGTTGGCTGCTTTTGGCAGGGCATAAATTAATTCTAAGTGCATGCACAGGGAGAATCTAGTTTGCTATTTAGTATGCCAGGCCCTGAGCTGGGCTAAGGACACAAAGATAAACCAGACACAGAGAGTGCCCTGCACTTAAGGAGCTCACTCCTCTGCTGTAGGAGACTGACTTATGGCAGATCATTAGCATGTGGCAGGAAAGGTGGCCGCATGGAGGGGAGTAGCTGAAAGATAATATGTTGGCACAGAGAAGGGAGAAGCCTGTTCTCTGGGGAACACAGGAAAGGCATGACAAAGAGGTAATGAAGGAAGGTCACCTCCTCTGGGCATCTCTCACCTCCATTTATCTGGGCAAATGGCTTTGCCCTCTGTTCCATTTCCTCAGAGTCTAGTTTTCTTCCCAGGTGAGAAAGTGCTAATTTGAGACACTGACCCATGTTGTGAAGGAAAATGGGCTCTGAGAATATCATGTCTTCTCCCTCCCAAATGGAAAATTTCAGTCTGAATTGGGGCTACTTATAGGGGAAGTTCTTAGCTGAAAGATGAAAAAATTTTACTATTGAGAATTTTTTATGTATAGTCAAAAAATAGTCATGAAAGGTAAGATGAAAAGATGTTATCAGACATAAATGCTTCTTACAAATGTTGCTTTTACATTCACATAGCATAATTTATCAGGAATACATTTATTAATCTCATGTATCATTTGCATACCATTAATTAGCCAACATTTATTGAGTGCTTGTTATAGATTAGGCATTGTGCTGATTGTGGGGGTTCCAACACAAATCAGACATCATCTCCACCCTTGAGGACCTCACAGTTCTAGGGTTAATCAGATAAATAAACATGTCGTGTTGAAGAGGAAGTCAGCACATTCTGTATGTCCCTTAAAACTAAGACCAACAAATCCAGATTGCCAGCAGATGGATTTCAACTCAGCATTAAGAACAATCGTCCAACAGTTGAGCTGGTCAAGAGTCGAGAGAATGTTGCTACCTCCATACAGGCTCCCTTCTCCCAAGATGGGAAGCATAAGGCAAATGTCAGCTCCTGGTAGAGCTGGACCTTGTGGAGGAGCCTCTAGGAGGAAACCATCAGCAGCACATGAAGGGAAGCCCAGTGGCCACTGGCCTTGCAGTCCTGTGATTCTCAGATTTGATGACATCTATTCTGAATAGCTGCTGTGCTGGAGAAATTTCACCTGCAAACCCAGCCAAGCCAAGACCAAGCCTTGGTATAGGCAAGAAGAAGACTCCTTGACATTCAGAAGATGAGGTTGGGTGACCCTTAAATGAAAGATGGGCAGGTACTTACAGCCCTGGGACGCTTTGGGGCTTGCTGGACACCTTTGCCCCATGAA
The DNA here is from genome assembly GCF_000001405.40 of Homo sapiens. Lineage (NCBI taxonomy): Eukaryota > Metazoa > Chordata > Mammalia > Primates > Hominidae > Homo > Homo sapiens. The sequence goes on from NC_000002.12 coordinate 12,114,873, forward strand.
GATCTTCATGCATGGGTGAGATACACCCATAAATTTGGGGAATCCTTTAAGGATCTGATGAAACATGAACCCAGCTAGAAGCCACATGGCTCATACATATCATTCATATATGTATGAGAGTACAATGAATGCAGAATAGAGACATGCCTAGGGAGGTCTTGGCAGAAAGCCCTACTGTAGCTTCTGAATATGCCTTGGGGATCAAGCTCAGGACTTTGCTATCAATCAGAAGGTTTCCCATGATTAGCTTCTACTTCTCTACCCTGTTTTGCACTTTCCCTCTGCTCCCACCCACCCTTTATGCTCTGCCCATAAGGAAGTGCTGCCTGTGTCCTACCTCCACCCAATCCACTAAGAAGGAGCTCCTTCAGGGCAGGGAGCAAGTTCATGCATCTTTGCCACTCTCACAGTACCTGGAATAGCAATGGACAGAATGAGCATCAAAAAATGTTTACATTTTTTGCAAAGACAGGTCTCATCTTGTCTTTTAGCTATGGGTAGGGTTGTGGATGGGAAATGCATTTTTTGAGGTGGTTCATTTCACTATTTTACCACTGAGGATCACACTGTCTGTTGAAATCAGAGATGACCTACATTTCCTCTTAATGGACTGGGGGCTGTGTAGTAGCACTGGGCCTTTCCTCTAATGGGGAGAGTAACCACTGCTATTTACTGCAGTCGTGGTGCCATGAACCCAAGTACCTAAGCCATTCCCATAACGGCTGTGTTGCTCACAAGCTCCTTGGGAAAAGGGTTCCCAGGATGGAAATCCTTAGGAGTTCAGAGGTGCCTGGAATTCAGGGAAGATCCTTCCCTGGACTGAATGGAGCAACAGTTTTCTGGGGTTCTTTTGCTGGAAGTAAATGCTGAAATCACTTTTTTTTTTTTTTTTTTTTTTTGAGACAGAATCTCGCTCTGTCGCCCAGGCTGGAGTGCAGTGGTGCGATCTCGGCTCACTGCAAGCTCCGCCTCCCGGGTTGATGCCATTCTCCTGCCTCAGCCTCCTGAGTAGCTGGGACTACAGGCGTCTGCCACCACGCCCGGCTAATTTTTTGGATTTTTAGTAGAGACTGGGTTTCACCGTGTTAGCCAGGATGGTCTCGATCTCCTGACCTCGTGATCCGCCCACCTTGGCCTCCCAAAGTGCTGGGATTACAGGCATGAGCCACTGCACCAGGCCTGAAATCACATTTTAATGGATGCAATGGCCACACGTATGAACTGATTAAGATTTTGCTCTCTCAAAACAACACCAAGGAAGCCATTGCTTTACAAAGTCTCGTGTTGAATGAATCCAGTGGATGTTTCAAGAGGGCTTTAGAGACCCCATTACCTGATGGCAAACTTCAGCCACAAGTTGGTTTAGGACCCAACTCTGCCACTTAGTAGTTGTGTGGTTTGGGACAATGCCTGTGCTTTGTGAACTGCAAAGTGGCCTCACCCCCAGCTTCTGCATCAGGTGGTGGTGAGGCCTCCAGGAGGTGCTATGCAAAGTGCCCAGACCTGGAGGTGGTCACGGATGGGCACAGGTGCTGTGCTGTCTCCCTCCTCCACCCCCTCCCCCCTCACTTCACCACACAGGTCTAAAAGAGAGTTTCATTGAAACTCTGGGTTAAGAAAGGGATTCTTACGTATTGAAGGTTTAACGAGGATTCTTTGTGATAATGTAAGTCCTTTTTCAGCATGTGAGAAGTCATTTCAATATTAATAGCAGTTCACTTTTGCGTGTGTGTTTCACAGTTTACAAGGTGCTTTCCTAATTCTCAATTAATTTACTCTTCAGGGTAATTCGCTGAGAAACAGATGGAAGAAGGTGGGGCCGGGGGAGGCACGTGGGGACTAAGGGACTCTCTTACATGTTGCAGGGAGCTGGCACTCAGCCTTAGGAAGGTCTCTGCCATCAGACAGTGTTTTGGAATCGGGGCATCTCTAGTTCAAGACCTTAGCCCACTTTTGCTTATTTGTGTGTTCCTTAGAATTCAAATCCTCCCAATCACCTTTCCTCATTTGTAAAATTGCTGTATTATGAGGATTTAAAAAGTATGTCAATTCATTTCTTTAGTTCCAGAGAAATTTAAGTTGTTGATTAACCAAATAATGCATATAAAGCATCCAGTACCTAGGAGCACTCAATAAATGAGAGCTGGTTTTACTTTTTGCTTTATTGAGCCCCTAGAAGTTTCAGACACTCTGCTTTATATCTGAGCTCTGCTCAGTAAATGGTTACCTCCCCATTTTCCAAAAAAAAAAAAAAAAAAAAGAGGCTGAGACTTAATCAACATCACCAGCTAGTGATAGCTGTGATTGCAATCAAGTAAAGTACTTTTCCTCCATAGTCAAAAGTTTTTCATTGATAAAAATGTAATTTAGAATTGGAAAAAGGTTTTTGAGACTATCAAATCTAACTCAATAGGGAAACTGAGGTCCAGGAAAGGGAATGGCTTGTGCAAGGTCACAGGTGCGTTAACATATGCCAGAGGCTAGAATCATATGACTCCTTCCCCAGTTCTCATCAAAGATACGTGATTCTGTTCTGCTGGGGTGCTTTTGGTTACATGCTTTTCTTCTAGGTTCTGGGTCATTGAAGGCCTTAACCAAACAAGGAAAGTCACGTTTGTTAGCTATGTAAGCGGTGTCTTCCATGGATATGGCTATCCTATATCCATAGCAATGAGATATTTATAGCATTTAAAAAGTATATCTCAAAGGTGCTGCAGATCACATCTGAGGCAGGAAAAGCAAAAGCTCCAATACATATTGAAGGTTTTCACAAGGTATGTCATCATCTCATTGCAATTTTAATCAATGTCAAAAGTAAAAGTGTCAGAAAAATTCTATCCTCTAAAACATTTCAATGGTAGATTAGTAAATGGTAGGTAGAGGCCAAGGTCCCAGCTGGCCTTTCCTCATTAGGGGATGGTTCATGTGAGTTTTTGGGATGGGCACAGGATACAGTTGAGTGATCCAGGGCATCTATCCAGACAGAGGGGCAGGAGGAGCACAGCTTTATACATTGCTGCTTGGATTTGCTTTGTGTGAACAAAAGCTAAGGGGAGTGTGAACTTAAATCAAATGCTAGGATTGCTGAGGAGGAACCTACTAAAGTCAAATGTTTTAGGTTTCTTTTTTTTTGAGGTGGAATCTCACCCTGTCGCCTAGGCTAGAGAGGAGTAGTGCCATCTCGGCTCACTGCAACCTCTGCCTCTTGGGTTCACGCAATTCTCCTGCTTTAGCCTCTCGAGTAGCTGGGACTACAGTCACGTGTGCCATCATGCCTGGCTAATTTTTGTCTATTTTTTTTAGCAGAGAGAAGGTTTCACCATGTTGGCCAGGCTGGTCTCGATCAAATGACCCACCGGCCTTAGCTTCCCAAAGTGTTGGGATTACACATGTGAACCACCGCACCTGGCCAAATGTTTTAGGTTTCTTCTAATGTTTTTCAAATGTGCTTCTTGAATAGTGCAGTTGCTTTGGCTCTATGACCATTAAGAATCTTACAGAGACAACCTCACAGCTGGAGACTAGTTGGTGGCCATTTCCACCATGGACATGTGAAAGTGAATATAAAGCATTACTTCTCATCCCTGGCTGCACCTTGTAATTACCTAGAGAGCTTTTAAAAAGAACACTGATGCCTGGGATCTAGAAAAAATATTTGAATATAATTGGTCTGGGATGGAACCAAGCTATCATTATTACTATTGTTTTTCCTCAAGTTCCTAGGAGTTTATTATGTACATCTATCGTTGGGAACTATGCCCTATAACAAATAAGAATCAACTAGATATAAGGTAAAGGGGTGCCCTAGAGGAGATATTGTTTATAAGAAGACAGTAGTATCCTCCCAGCCAGTGGCTGGAATTAGGAAATTAAGTAATGTCTGACCAGGGTTGGTATGGCATTCAAAGCCTTCCACAGCCTGATTGTCACCCGCATTTTCAGGCTCACTTACTGCCAGTCACCCCTACATCTTGCGATGCAATTACATAGGAGTATTCAATGCACTCCAAACATGATCCACATTTGTGTCATATCAACTCTATGCTCCCAACCTAAGACCTCTGGCTACACAGCTTTGCACAGTGAGCACTTATTCACTTTATGAAGCAGATGTCAACAATCCTAGAAGCCCAAATTGCTAAGAGAGTAAATTTCAAATGTTTTCACCACAAAAAATGTGAAGTATTTGGGGTAATGGGTATGTTAACTAGCTTGATTTAATGATTCCACATTTATTTCATGAATCCTGACAGTGCTGTGTACCCTAGAAATTGATAAAATTATAAACTGCCAATCTGTGATTTTTTTTAAAAAAGAAAAACGAAATCTCAGGCCAGCGTCAACCTCTCTCTGAGACACTCTCCTGGTAACTGGCTTACACTTCAGAGAATGTGGTTGATGTTGAGTTGGTACCCTGGTCTCTTGTCCCTTGATTCAGTATTCCAAGTCTCATCTGCCCTGTGGCCTATTCCACAGTAGGCGCTTAATAAATGCACATTAAAGGAATGAATGCAAACAACATAGCTGTCATCTCTGAGGATGAACTATTTTTTTTCCTAATATGTTTTCCCATACTCCAATTACACACGCTATGAGCCTTTCAGTCCTTGAATGTTCTGGCTCGGAGGGCTCTTTGTCTCCTCTCACAGATGGGAAACTGAGCTTCTGAGAGGAGATATGCTTCTTCAACAACATCTCGATGGAATTGGAAAGAGGAATGTTAGACGTTTTCCTAGTTTTCATCGTTTTTCTTCCATTCCATGAAGTGTCCTCCTCCAGTGGAGCTCCTGACCATCACCTGTCCACAGGAGCGTGGTGCGCAATGTGCTCTTGCAGTGTGGATGCTGCAAGTGATCTAGGATGTTAATGAGCCCAGCTCACTTCTGTCCACCCCCAGGGCTTCAACTTCTACCCCACACCCAGACCTGCTGCATTCAGAGGTCTAGCATTGTCTTTGTTCACATAGCCAACTGCCTACAGGGCACCTTCCCTGCCATTTTCCATAGAGCCCTTAAATGCCAGAAAGGGACTCATCATCTTCTTTTTAAATTCTTTCTCCTCATTCCCTATCTCAGGAAATGAGACAGAAACATAGGAGTCATTCTAAGGCCTTCCATTTCCCTCACTGCCAACATCTAATTACTCACCAGGTCTTGCTGCTGCCACTTCAGAACCACTTTTTTTTTTTTTTTTTTTTCCCCAATTAGGGACCTGGTGCCATCATCTGGCTTCTTACAGCCTGGATCAATCTTTCTATTTGGGGATGCTTGTTATTTTTCCAATAAAGAGACTTTCAAAAAGTCAAAAAAGTGTGCCTCTTGCCTGGATTCACAGATGATTTTGAAAAGGATAATTACCTCTTCCATCTTCAGCTATGATTCTATTTTGGAATCCTCTTCCTCTAATTAAAAAAAACAACAACAACTCCTAATGCTATTTGAGTCTGAGTCATTTGTGCAGTGAAATCACCAAAGCTGCACAAATAAACGTGAAATGCAGGACTCAGGCTCCCCTGGCCTCCCCCTGGGATTGGACATCCCCACAAGATGCAGATAGTAGTTCTTGTGGCACACTTTCCAGATCCAGACCCAAGGCAAACAAAGTATGCTGCATTTTGGGGCAATTTTTCCCCCAAGCTTCTCTTTCAAATGCTTAGAATAGCTTCTGGCATTCAATAAATGTATATTTTTCCTCCCTGCATGTATTCTCCAGGGATTTAAAAATATGCATAAATACTGCTTACGATATGACTAATGCCCTAAGGCCATGAGCAGTGCCCAACTTTCACTCTAGTGAGCATGCAGAGATGTCACCTCATCTTCTTCAATTTCATTAGTCATCAAGGCGTCATAAAAGCTAGAGTTGGGAAGCCCGTAGGGACCACCAAGCATGACCCCTATTTATGCATGGGGAAATGGAGGTCACACACCTCATCAACATCAGTTATAAAGGGCACTGACTTTCAGAAACACACAACACATTAAATCTAGACCTTCCCCCTGGAAGAGCTAACCACAGACTGTTACATGTGGCATCAGTGAAGTCGCAGTTACTTTGGAAGCACCTAAATGCGTTCTGAATTGCCAGTCATGCTGCATATATGAGAGAGAGAAAGAACTGGTCTTGTTAGTTCAAAAGGAGGGGTCGGATCTCCATCAGATCCACATGAAGGGCAGAGAAGAATGAGTCAGAGGCAGGCCCAGGTTCAGCAAAGGCCCAGAGTTTAGGAAGAAAAAAATTGTTGGGAGGAGACTGCATTGTAATGCTTCTATGCTCTTTTCGTATTCAGTTGACTTCAACAACATATTTTTTGATACCCAAAACCATCAGGTGCTGTGCAGGGCATGAAATGGATCATATGTAATCACAAACGGTTGCAGCTTTGAGGGGCTCATAGATGATCAAGTAATCCTAGCACAAAATGGCCATCTTATAATGGAACTCACTGTGCGGTGCTGTAGAGGCAGAGGAGGGGCACTACTCCAGTCGGGGATATTCTGGAAGACGTCACAGTGGGTGACACTTGACTTGGGCACTGAAGGATGAGTAGAGTTTACCAGATGCCCAAGAAGGGAGAGGGTAGTTCAGGAAAAGGAAAGGTTTGTCCAAGGGCACAGGAGGGCAATGTGGTCCAGCATATCCCTGGAGTGTAAACAGTAGGTTTGAGGCAGGAGTGGGCGGTGCTAAGAGGTGAGACTGGGATGAGATGGTGCAGGAACTTAGACACTGGACATTGTCATGAACTAATTAAGAGGCAACACCAACACTGCCTCAGCAGAGGATGCTCCCCCTGTGTCTTATTGGAGTCGCCATGTTTGCTTGTCTCTTCTGCCCACAGCCTTCCTCCATGGGCATTATCATTCAGTTGCTTCCCAGAAAGCTGGGGATCATTTGGATTCATGTTTTCTCATCTTCTTTCATCCAACTCATCCCTAGGTCCTGTCCATCTCCCTCCCAAGTCTACCCCTATTTATCCACCTCTCTCAGGCACTGCTACCCCTTCATAGTCAGAACCACTACCACCTCTTGCTTAGCTGCAATCATCCCCCAGTGAATTTTCTTGCTTCCATTTATAGCTCTCCTGGTTTTGTCTGCTTGCACAGCAGACAGTGGTATCTTCAAAAATGCACTTCTGATCAGGTCACCATGCCACTTTTATTAAGGTAACTTAGTGGCTTCTGGGTAAATAACTTTCAAACCCCTTCCTGTAGTCTGCAAGGTCTTGCCTTACTGACTGCTTTGGGTCATTCCACCACCCCAGCCTCCTCCCACCACTGAATGCCCCTCATCCTCGCTCATTCTTCACTCTGACAGTCCTTCCCCACCTTAGGATAGTCACACATGTTATTTTCTCTGCCATGCATGGTCTTCTCATGCTCTCATGTGGATCTCAGACCTCAGAACATGTTACCACTCAGAAAGTCCTGCCTGACACCACCCTTCTGTCCTACCAGTCTATTTTGCAGTGTCCATTTCTTGACAGCACTTATCACATTGTACACTAGTGTTTTTTAAACAATTTATTCTCAATTCCTAGTACAATGCTTGATGCCCAATAGTTGCTCAATAAGTATTTCTGGAATGTGTGAATTGATCATATACCTTGCTGTGTCAGGCAGGGTTCTTTAGAGAGACAGAGCTAATAGGATATATATATATACCCATATATATATATACCCATATATATACACCCATATATATATACACCCATATATATATACACCCATATATATACACCCATATATACACCCATATATATATGCCCATATATATATACCCATATATATATTCCCATATATATATACCCATATATATATTCCCATATATATACCCATATATATATTCCCATATATATACCCATATGTATATTCCCATATATATATACCCATATGTATATTCCCATATATATACCCATACGTATATTCCCATATATATACCCATACGTATATTCCCATATATATATACCCATACGTATATTCCCATATATATATACCCATACGTATATTCCCATATATATATACCCATATGTATATTCCCATATATATATACCCATATGTATATTCCCATATATATACCCATATGTATATTCCCATATATATACCCATATGTATATTCCCATATATATATATACCCATATGTATATTCCCATATATATATACCCATATATATATTCCCATATATATATACCCATATATATATTCCCATATATATATACCCATATATATATTCCCATATATATATTCCCATATATATATTCCCATATATATATATTCCCATATATATATTCCCATATATATATATTCCCATATATATATTCCCATATATATATATTCCCATATATATATTCCCATATATATATATTCCCATATATATATATTCCCATATATATATTCCATATATATATTCCTATATATATATATTCCCATATATATCTATATATATTCCCATATATATCTATATATATATATTCCCATATATATCTATATATTCCCATATATATCTATATATATATTCCCATATATATCTATATATATATATTCCCATATATATACACGGGAGTTAATTATTAACTTACATGATCACAAGGTCCTGCAATAGGCTGTTTGCAAGCTGAGGAGCAAGGAAAGCCAGGCCGAGTCCCAAAATTGAAGAACTTGAGGGCAGGAAGCATCCAGAATGGGGGAGAAAGACGTAGGCTGGGAGGCTAGTCCAGTCTCTCGTTTTCACGTTTTTCTGCCTGTCTTATATTCGATGGCAGCTGATTAGATTGAGCCCACCAGATTAAGGGTGGATCTGCCTTCCCAAGCACACTGACTCACATGTTAATCTCTTTTGGCAACACCCTCACAGACACACCCAGGATCAATATTTTGTATCTGTCAATCCAGTCAAGTTGACACTCGGTATTAACCATCACACTTTCTAAAGGCAGATTTTGGTGGTCATGATTTATGGCATGCAACCTACGTGACAAGGTCTGAGCTAAGAGAAGTAGAGGTAGCTGGAAGGAATAGATTTGAAAGATATTCCATTGGCAGAATTGACATGGTGCCAATAGATGTGAATGATGAAGAGAAGGGAGTTGAAGATGGTGCTGTTTTCTGCTTGAACCACCAAATGATGGGCCTTTCTATAAGTTGAGCTCTTGAATGAGGGATGAGTGTTATTGGAGTGGAGAGAATTGACCTGCATGTTCCACAACTCCCCCATACACGCCATTCCCCTCACCCAGGCAGGCTGCCCGTCCAGCTCTCACTCTCCCTCCAACAATTCAGCAATGCCCACCTCTAAAGCTCAGGCTATTCTCCAATTCAGATCGTCCCTGCACATTTTGACTGATTGACAGCTGCTTCATCTCTCAAGATTTATTTGATGTTCTCTTTTCTGCAGGAATTTCCCTTAAGCCCAGCCCTCTGACCAAGTGTTGCCCCAGGACTCTCATGTCATTTAGAAACAGGGACCATGGAGACATGTAGGTACATTCTATATACCATGCATGGTGTATAGAATTTCAAGACTTGGCCAGGTGTGGTGGTGCATGCCTGTAATCCCAGCTACTTGGAAGGCTGAGGTGGGAGAATTGCTCAAACCTGGGAGCGGAGGTTGCAGTGAACCAAGATGTCACCACTGCACGCCAGTCTGGGTGACTGAGTGAGAATGTCTTAAAAAAAAAAAAAAGAATTTCAAGACTTGATCAATCATTTGTATATTTGTGTGTTGTAATAGAGACAAACTGTTTTGAGAAAACTCTTGGATTTTCCTTTTGGATAGACATTTGACCCCATTTTGCACAAAACACATGATCCTCTATTCTCCTAAATGTCTTGGATAGAGTTATGAGTTTTCACAAATGAATGGAAACCCTACTATTTGCTTGTTTGGGCTTCTCCTTCAATCCATGACATAAAGCAATGGCATTTGAGGCAGTGAATTGAACCTTAATCCTTGACTGCTTTATCAAAAGCCTGGATAATGGAAGTGATATTTATGAGGACTTGTTTGAAGGGCATGCTGTTTATCCCTTCCTCTAGTTGTGCTAATTTTTATTCCTGCATCAAGCTGTGCACTTGGACCATATGTTCTTAGTCCCCAGCAGAATTTTCATGCATTTTAATGTTATTTCCTTGGCTTACATCCAGAGATATTATACATAATGGCTTTATGAAAACTATTACTGTGTGGGATGTCTTTGAGGTAGTGTGCGTTAGGTCCTTGCTCCAGCTTCCTTCTAGATGAAGCCTAGAGCAAGGGCCAGGAAAGACTTTGCTTCCTCTGAGGAGCTGGGACACTTTTTACTTTGTGGTAACAAGACTGACTGTATCTTGGTTTTTGGATTGATCATAGGAAGCGCAGAGCCAAATGTACAGGTGAGTTGTAGCAACCATGAAAGCCTCTATGGTTTGCACAAAGGGAATGAGTAGAGTTAACAGAGTGGAAGCACCTGTGGACATTGCTAGCCCCACAGAAAGGGAGTGGGGAGAATAGCAGAGACATCAATCATTTAATAGGCTGAGAGTTCTTGCTGCTGGCATTCTCCAATCCCCCAACCTGGACAGCTTTCTATTTTGATTCTCACCTGCTTTATGACTGTGGCAAGTAATCAACCTTTTCCTGACTTTGGCTTCTTGTAAAGTGAGGGCTTACATGAGAGGCTGTCCAATTGGAGGTTAATTAGAGGCCATCTCAGAGCGTGTCTTGATGATGCCTTCCTTCCCAGGTCCTTGGCCCCTACCCTTCCTTATTCTCACTCCCACCTCTGCCTATTCTGAGATAACACCAGGTGCTTCTCCACACAGGTGAGTCCTGTCTACTGCAGGCGTTCTGAAACTTAGCTACACAGTAGAATGATCTGGGGAGATTTAAAACAGTCCAATGTCCCAGCTGGCATCCTTTACAGAATAAATTAGTCTCTGAAGTGGGACCCTGGCACCTTTATTTTTTACGGTTCCCCGGATGAGGCCATTGTGAAGCTGCATTGGAGAACCTGTACTTTTGCAACTTTACTGTCCCTTTGAATTGCCTGGGGATCTTTTAAGTGCAGATTCTGACTCAGTGGGTTTGAAGAGAGGCCTGAGAGTTTACATTTTTAAAAAACTTTTAGATGATGTGATGTTGTTGGTTCCTGTGTCACACTCTGAGTGGCAAGGTGAAGACACATATTTGGTGGATAATGCAAAAAAGGAAGGACACCTGACTCAGTCCCGCTGGAGCCCAGGGGAGGGGGAACCAGCATGCTGAAATGAGCACAGCCATGATCTGCATTCTGCTTCACTGAGCTATTGACAAAGTTAAGTTCAGTGTGAGGCCCGGAGTTTTGGGGGAACCATGAAGCCAAGCATATTCTGTAACCAATGAGGCTGAGAGCACCTTAGAAACACATTCACTTTTCCAACTTCAGAATCTAAATCATCATAGGTGTTTGCTAAATGAGTAAAGAGATGCGGAACAGGCACTCTCTTCTTTGAGGGCAGAAAAGGACCCACTTTATTGCTATAGTGTGACTTGAGACAAGGATTCTGTCTCAGGGTGTTTCATGAAGAAAAGATAAGGCGTGGTATTAGATTCAGGGTCAGGCTCCAGCCCAAGCTGAGGTCCAAAGGGAGTGGGTGACTGAATGGCAGATAGCTGAAAGAACACTTGGGGGTGCCGTAGGTAGGTGAAATACAGCTTTATTCAGCAGCTCTCTCATCAGCAGTTCTCTTACCCTGTCTGCTCTGTCTCGGCTACTTGCTCTGGTCACTCCCATGCACAGTTGTGCAGCTGGCTCTCCCTTTAGGGTCAGCAGCTTAACTCTCTCTCTGGACATTAGTGCTCATGACTGATACTCTATCTTACAGGAAAATGACATTTGCTATTATGTGATTCAAAGCATACTTGTTAATTATCATATTTTTAGCAGATACATAACATCCATTTTTAGAACATTCAGGAAAAAAAGTCATGTCTTTGAAGACATGTCTAGGTTACAAAACTCTGGGTAGTCATATAAGAGCTTTCTTTTCTCTTTCTTCTCCCCCTTTACTTTTGGTCAATTATAAGCCAGAATGAAAAGACGTAGTTGACTTCAGAATGGTGACTTACTCCAACCAAGAGAGAGTGTTGCTGTATAACACTGCATTTTCAGTGTGTGCAGGAAGTATGATGGTTGGGGGACTCTTTGCCATGGTTATGTGATCTCATGTCAAGGACAGGCTGTTATGAACTGTTACCCCCTAAAATTCATATTTTGAAATTGATTCCCCAATGTGATAGTATTTGGAGGTGGAGCCTTTGGGAAGTGATTAGGTCATGAGGGTGGAGCCCTCATGAATGGGATTAGTGCCCTTATAGGAAAAGGCCAGAGAGCTAGTACCTCTCTTTTCATCATGTGGGGACACAGCAAGAAGTCAGAAGCCTACAATCCGGAAAAGGACCCTTGCCTGAACCTGACCATGCTGGCACCTGATCTGGGGCTTCCAGCCTTGGAACTGTAAGAAATGAATTTTAGTGGTTCATAAGCCACTCAGTTCACAGTACTTAGTTATAGCAGTATAACTTAATAGTAGCCCGAATGAAGATGGAGATTGTGTTTGAAAGCAGGTGGATGTAGCCAACTGTATAGTTCCAATAAAAGGAGTGGTAGTTTGATAATAGAGGGGGGAAAATGAAGACTGATTTCATGCATTGAGGTTTGATTTACATTTTTGCTATCAGAGTTTATTTCCTGCTTTAAATGGAATCATTCATGGTGAAGAATAAATCAAATTCTGCTTGAATTTTCACAGTCAGGATTGGGTGTTTTCTCTTTTTAAGACTTAAAAAGGAGCCAGGCTCACTGTTACTTCCTGTGCTGTCACCTGAAGCAAAGCAGAGTCTGAAATTCACCCTTAAAGAGACAGAGCAGGGGAACAGAAGATCTTGCTTGCAATCATAGACTCACTTTTTCCCTTTTCTCTTTCTTAAAAAAAAACCCCGCATTTCTCATTTTCCTTCTTTCTAATTTCCCCCTTTCTCTTAGGTGGAGTAAAACATGAGCTTCCAGAACTAGGTAGTGCAGTGAGCAAAGTGGCTGTATTTCTTTCTACAAATGTGCACTTCCTGTTCATGTTTTGCAGGTCACAGGAACGCCTGTGTGGCTTCAATCTGCCTATGTCCCTTCACTGTGGGGTAAACTCACATCAGGCTTGGAGGTTGGCTGATGGCATGCTGCTGACCTTTATTAAAACTTTTGTGTGTCATATTTTTTGGACCTCTTTCCCTCCAAGAGCTTCTACTGCAATCCAGAATGGAACCCTTGAGGATGAACGCTGGTGTCTTGGCACTTGTGCGACTATGTTCTACTCCCATCAGGGGTCCTGTCCCTCGGGACTTTGATACAATTTCTTACTCACTTCAAAGGAGGGTATTCTGGATAGTGCCTTATAAAGCATGTAATACGTGAATAAATTCTCGTTGGGAAGGGAGCCCTGTTTAGGGACTTCATCTGGAATGTGCTAAAAAGCAAAACAAAGTAATTTAAAAAAAGTCAGTCAAGCCTTCCTATTTAGAAGAGTAGACCACAAAGTTAGGGCTAGAATCTGGAATAGGGTTGGAGTTGAGAGTGGAAACTGATCTGCGTAATTAAGTAACAGGAATTTGTAGGGATTTGGAGTCTTCCTGATGCATTGCATAGGGAAGGTGGAAATTACGTGTGTGTGTGTGTGTGTGTGTGTGTGTACACGTATAGATAATGAAGAGGAGTGCAAAGGAAATAGTTAAAGAAGAGAAAAAAAGTCTTGGTAATGAAAGGAAGTCCATCAATTTAAAACTAGAAACTGTGCAATTCTTGGCAAGGATGGCGGAAGAAAGGGTTAATGAAGAAAATAGGTGAATGAATTGTGTGTGTACCATGCACATGGTGCCATGGTTCACTATCAATATTCAGTAAGTGTCTGGTTTCCAGGAAAGCCTGGTATCAGGGTTGCTCTGAGGAATAAAAGAGAGAGTTTGAGTTGCACACCAAAGGGGTTGAGGTGATGGAAGAAAGCCAGCAGCCTTAGGAAGTGAGAAAACTAGCAACTCCTGGGAGTCATAGGAAGCAGGAATGTGGAGCCAGGGTGGGGAGGAGAAAGTAAGCCCTTGGAAATCTGGAAGAGACTGGGTTTTCCAGTATATGTGGAATGGGGACTTAGGTCATTTAAAGTGGATTTACTAGGAAAGGTTGAGCTCAGAATGCTGGAAGACTTGGGGACATGTGGGTTAAAAGCTTTAGATATGAAGACATTGAGCAGGACTCATAGTTAATAATCATAGCTAACACATGAAGAGTGTTTACTAAATGCTAGGCACAGTTTTAAGACTTCATTAACCCAGTTTCTTCAATAACTGATGAAGCAGATGCTTTTAATATCTACTTGTTAAAATTTTTTAAAATTACAAATTAGAAAACCGAGGTTCCTGGGTGAGGAAATTGCTTAAGGTGACAGGGCTGGTTAGTTTGAGTGTTACCATTCAACCCAAATTCAACCCAAATTCAACCCAAGGGATGTGTCTTCTCCTACCTTGTGTCCTGGAACAAGGGACTCCACCCCTTCAGAGTCGAGGTTGTTCTCTTCATTAGAATGAAAGTGTTGGGCTCATTGATTGATTGATTCATTCATTCACTCATTCATTTAAAGCATTAAATGAGAGTTTAGCATGCCTCAATAAGAGGATTTTCTGCCTGCTTTGGGGTTTCTGGCAGAATGCTGGTGGGAGCCTGGAACTCTGAGAGCTCCTGACAAACCTTCAACCCTTTATTTCCACAGCATCTGCTACCCCTCACCACTTCCAACACTCCTTTTGCCCTGCTTGGATCAGTCACCCCAACTGCCTCAGGTCAGCTCTCAGCCCCAGACTCTGACCCCCACAAATATCTGTAATACAACTTTCTGTTTTTCATCAAATCTTTTCCAATTCCTGTAACTCTTTCCCTGTGATCTCTTCATATGGTTGGACATCAATACAAAACACCTCTAGCATCATTCTTTCCTGATGGTTCCCTTTACCTTTGATTCCCTGAAACTTAGCCCTCCCAGAAGGACACTGCCTCTCTCCCAAAATGGGCTTACATGTGGTGAGGGGGGTGTCCCTGCCTCTTCTGGGAGACTCCCGACCATTTTTTCTTTCCTTCCAATATTCTAACTGTCCCCCCAGTTCTGTATCCATGGTCCCAGTTTGTACCACCCACCACTACTTCTTGAAGTCATGTGCCAACTCCTAGGTCACTCCCCGCACTGTTTGAAGTTTTTAGTTCCAGACTCACTATTAATAGGTGACACATTACCAGGGTGAGTGGTCTCAGCATCCATTTAGGAGACCCTTTTATCCCTGGGGCCTCCAAATCCCTTGGCCTCCTCTTCTTTTTCTCATCCACCTAAGTACTCATTCCCACAATCATATGTATGATTTCATTACTATCAGTGATAACAGCAACTTCTCCATGGTCTCCCATTTTAAGCATCCTTCTCTCTGTCCTTTGCCATCTTTTTGGCTTCTTTCTCTTAGTACCCTTGACTCCAACAATCGTTTAACCTCACAGCATCCTGCAATCTATTAATTCTATTATTTTTTTCCCACTATCTGTCTTTCATATGTCATCACTGCTCTATTTACCCAACTGAAATTCCATAGCCTTTCATTTCAACCAGCTAGAATCTGGACTCTGCTGGACAAAAACATTCTGGTCTTGCTGTAAATTCATGATCATTAATTTCAAGTGGACCCTTACAGCAATGCAGCAAACATTTGATAATCTCCTAGTGCATTCTTGGTCCCATGCTCCTATGCAACAGTTTTATTATTCACCTTCATCTCTTTCCTCAAATCTCTGACACCTTCTCCCCCATGTGCAATCTCCACTGGTGATCTTGCTGAGAAAATTGAAGTTTTCAGAGGGAAACCTCTGTAAATTAACACCAACCCATCTACTCACCAGCCTGAACCTGTGTCCTTATGCATTGCTTCCTCTCCTGCCGTGTAGATGAATTGTCTGTGCTCCCAGCAAGTGCTGTTCCTGAGCGGCATGTATTACATTCCATGTCCTCTTCCTACCAACGGATGTTGCTCCTGCCATTGGTTGATTGGTTGCTCTCTGACCTCACCATCACTTTTCCTTCTGTACCTGCTCTTTCCCATGAGGATGCAAACATACATCTTTTCAACACACACACACACACATACACACACACACACTCTTTTCTTCTCCCTTTATTGTTCCATTTGTCTCCCTCATTTATACCAAATATCCTCACAAAATCAATTGTCCTCACTCACTGCCTCCATTTCCCCCAGTATATATATATTTTGAATACACATGTACTTGCAGGATAGTTTCTGCAACAATTGTTTGAGTGGTATAAACAAGAGTCATTTATTTTTCTTTCCACCTGCATCTGCTGTGAGCTGACTGGCTCTTCTTCTTGTTTCTCCTCCAGGGGACGACCCAGACCATCATTCTTCTCTGGTCTGCCACCTTCATCCTCCACTTGCAGCCTCCTTTGCAGTGACCATACAGGTGCAGAGCATGAGCAGGATGCACAGGGGTTTATGTGGTCAGGCCTGCCTGGAGTTGGCACATAGCATTTCTGCTTCCATTCTTAGGTCTGAAATCCAGGTCACAGAGCCCTAACATAACTACAAAGGATCCTGAAAAGTGTTGTATTCCAGTGTGCCTCGGAAAAGAAAATAGGATTAATAAACTTTGATTAGACTAAATCATTGAGATTTAAAAGTTTTTTGTTGTAGCTGCTAGCATTATTTATCTTGACTAATACAGAAATTGCTATTAGTTTTTGCTGTAAAAAAACTAAAATACATGACATTGGGGAGTTTGAGAGGTGAGAAAAAAAATAGATACCACACTCTGGAGAGCTAGAGATCCATGTTATGTAGCAGCAATATATTTGGTAAATGTCCCTGTTTACTCAGATCGTAGCTCAAAGGTAAAGTGGAAAACAGAATATGTGGACTGTGGTGTGTGGAGGCCCTTATTGTCTGCATGTGCAAGACATTAGATATAAAAGATGTGCTCAATATTAACTGGACAATTTGTCAACAAATATAAAAGCAAATAGAGTCTAGAGATGTGTGATAGGCTTGGCAAAGCCTGCTTCAGTCTTTAAATAAGATAGAAAATTTAATAAGGCTTTGGGTGAAAACTTCACAGAGCACTTCTCAGTTGAATAGAGTGACTCAGAGCAAAGATCAGATGAAGAATGTAGCTTTCCCATTCAAGCCTGATAACCTGACTGTATCTGTCATAAAGGGGAGAGGAAGACGGAACGAGGGAGAAATGGAAGGAGGGAGGGAAGGAGTGGGAGGAGAGAGAGAGTTGAGGATTGTGCAAAGAGGTCACATAAGAACTATGTGTCCAGGAATAAACTCTGGGTGTGTTCCTGACTTATGAAACTGACTGGGTGAAGTAAATATGGGCCTCCTTTGTGCTCAGGAAGAAGACATAAGACAAACATCTCTTCCCTGGCACGTTGCTTGAATCAGGCTTTCCTCCACCCCTACTCCCCTGAAGCTACTCTTGTCCAGGCACCTGACATGGATATGCTGCTACATCAGAAGGTCCGCTCTCAGCCTTCATCCCACTTGGCCTCCCAGCAGCTTTGAGCAATTGATCACTTTCCTGTTCTTTGAAATAATTTCTGCACTTGGGTTTGTTCTCTGCTCACTTCCTGCTGTAAGACTCCCCTGGCTTTCTTAGTCTTCCTTACTGGTTTCCCGCCATCTCCCTGATCTTTTCATGTTGGGATCCCAGGGCCCAATCCTTGGACCTCTTCTCTTGCTCTCTACACTCAGTCCCAAGATGTTCTCATTAAGTCTCATGGAATTAGATACCATGTAGGCACTGGTACTTCCCAAATTCATGTGTCTAGTGTAGATCTCTCTCCTGGCCTTTGGATTCAGATTCATCTATCCATTGCCTTGTTATTTCACTTGTGTTGGCCATCTCAAGCCTAATGTGCATGCAACAGAATGCCTGATTGTCTCCCCTAATCTTTCATGATTTTCCCCACCCTAGGAAATGGCCATTCCCTCCTTTGGGATACTTAGGTTAATACACTTGTAGTCAACTTTACGTCCAGTTCATAACTCATATTCTTCATGCAACCTACTGGCTAATCTTGCTGTCTCTACCTTTAAGATACTCCCAGTACCTGAGCAGTTCTCTATACCATCGTGGCTACAGCCAGGCCAAGTTGTCCTCATCTCTTACTTGATCACTGCAGGAAACTGATGGCCCTGCTTCTGCGGTGCTGCCTTTTCATCCACTCTCCACGCGGTTGCCATAGTGATAAAAAATAAGTCAGATTATGTCTCTTCCCCGCTCAGACTTTGTGATGACCCCCTTGCCAAGGCCACACCCAGAGCCCTTTCAATGCTCCATGGCCCTGAGGGCCCTGACTGTCTCCTACCTCTCTGGCCTCTTCTGTTTCCCCCTTTCACTGATTCCTGTTTGGCTACTCCGGCCCTCTTGCCAGGCCTTGACTGTCCTACACATGCTCCCACTGCAAGACCTGACCTGCTGTCACCCTTCCAGATCTTTGCTCCCACGCCCATTTCACAGGGAGGCCTTTCCTCGGACTCTTGGGTAAGCTGCTTCCCCAGGTCCCCGCACTCCCTATGTGCCTTCCTGTGTTACTTTCCTCCAGAACGCTTCCCAGTTTCTACCTTAGCAATAGCTTGCCCACTTACTGTACTTGTTGCCTGTCTCTCTCCAGGAAAATAGAGGCTTAAAGAGTTAGAGATGTTTGCTTGGTTTATTTCATGCCCTGCCCAAGTGCCCAGAAGAATGCCTGGCACAGGCTAGATATTCAACACATATGTGTAGAATATTGAATGAAGGAATAAATTCACGCATTTATGTAAACAGTGAAATACGTTGAAGGGACAGGTGATCCAGGCTGGCAGGAGAAAGAACGCCAAGCTGCCGGGGCAGGCCTGGGCTCTGGGAAGTCAGAGGGGCTCAGGCTGCCAGGCTGCCCCCATGTGCCTTGTCCTGTTTTGAAATTCTCTTCCACGACTGGACGGCCTCGACCCTGATGCTGAGGCTTCCTGCTCTCTGCAGACCCCACAGCACGGCGTCCTCTGGCTGCTTGGCCTGGGGGAAATGAGGAAATACATTGGTTCCCTTGGGGACATGGGCTCATGGTGGAGGGAGGCCATCCTCCTTCCCTCTCTCCATCTTCCCTTATCACTGTCCATCATTGTCCCCTCTTTTTTTTTTTTTTTTTTTCATACTTTAAGTTCTGAGTTACATGTGCAGGATGTGCAGTTTTGTTACATACGTATACACATGCCATGGTGGTTTGCTGCACCCATCAACCCATCACCTACATTAGGCATTTCTCCTAATGTTATCCCTCCCCTAGCCCCCCCACCCCCCATAGGCCCTGGTGTGTGATGTTCCCCTCCCCATGTCCATGTGTTCTCATTGATCAACTCCCACTTATGAGTGATAACATGCAGTGTTTGGTTTTCTGATCTTATAATAGTTTGCTGAAAATGATGGTTTCCAGCTACATCCATGTCCCTGTAAAGGACATGAACTCATCCTTTTTTATGGCTACATAGTATTCCATGGTGTACATGTGCCACATTTTCTTAATCCAGTCTACCATTGATGGACATTTGGGTTGGTTCCAAGTCTTTGCTATTGTGGATAGTGCTGCAATAAACATACTTCTGCATGTGTATTGTAGAATGATTTATAATCCTTTGGGTATATACCCAGTAATGGGATTGCTGGGTCAAATGGTATTTTTGTTCTAGATCCTTGAGAAATTGCCACACTGTCTTCCACAATGGTTAAACTAATTTACATTCCCACCAACAGTGTAAAAGCATTCCTATTTTTCCGCAACCTCTCCAGCATCTGTTGTTTCCTGACTTTTTAATGATCACCATTCTAACTGGCAAGAGATGGTATCTCATTGTGGTTTTGATTTGCATTTCTCTAATGACCAGTGATGATGAGCATTTTTTATATGTCTGTTGGCTGCATAAATGTCTTCTTTTGAGAAGTTGTCTGCTCATATCCTTTGCCCATTTTTGATGGGGTTGTTTGCTTTTTTCTTGTAAATTTGTTTTATTTCTTGGTAGATTCTTGATATTAGCCCTTTGTCAGATGGATAGATTGCAAAATCTCCCACTCTGTAGGTTGCCTGTTCACTCTGATGATAGTTTCTTTTGCTGTGCAGAAGCTCTTTAGTTTAACTAGATCCCATTTGTCAATTTTGGCTTTTGTTGACATTGCTTTTGGTGTTTTAGACATGAAGTCTTTGCTCATCATTATGCCCTGAATGGTATTGCCCAGGTTTTCTTCTAGGATTTTTATGGTCCTAGGTCTTATGTATAAGTCTTTGATCCATCTTGAGTTGATTTTTGTATAAGGTGTAAGGAAGGGGTCCAGTTTCAGTTTTCTGCATATGGCTAGCTAGTTTTCCCAACACCATTTATTAATAAATTATTAATTTATTAAACAGGAAATCTTTTCCCTATTGGTTGTGCATGTCAGGTTTGTCAAAGATCAGATGGTGGTAGATGTATGGTGTTATTTCTGAGGCCACTGTTCTGTACCATTTGTCTATATATCTGTTTTGGTACCAGTACTATGCTGTTTTGGTTACTGTAGCCTTGTAGTAAAGTTTGAAGTCGGGTAGCGTGATGCCTCCAGATTTGTTCTTCTTGCCCAGGATTGTCTTGGCTATGTGGGCTCTTTTTTGGTTCCATATGAAATTTAAAGTAGTTTTTCCAGTTCTGTGAAGGAAGTGAGTGGTAGCTTGATGAGGATAGCATTGAATCTATAAATTACTTTAGGCAGTAAGGCCATTTTCACGATATTGATCCTTCCTATCCATGAGCATGGAGTGTTTTTCCATTTGTTTGTGTTCTCTCTTATTGCCTTAAGCAGTGGTTTGTCATTCTCCTCAAAGAGGTCTTTCACATCCCTTGTAAGTTATATTCCTAGGTATTTTATTGAGGAATTTTGCATTGATGTTCATCAGGGATATTGGCCTAAAATTCTCCTTTTCTTGTTGTGTCTCTGCCAGGCTTTGGTATCAGGATGATGCTGGCCTCATAAAATGAGTTAGGGAGGCTTCCCTCTTTATCTATGATTGGAATAGTTTCAGAACGAATGGTACCAGCTCCTCTTTGTACCTCTGGTAGAATTCGGCTGTGAATCCATCTGGTCCTGGGCGGTTTTTTTTTTTTTTGGTAGGCTATTAATTATTGTCTCAGTTTCAGAACCTGTAATTGGTCTATTCAGAGATTCAACTTCTTCCTGGTTTAGTCTTGGGAGCGTGTATGTGTCCAGGAATTTATCCATTTCTTCTAGATTTTCTAGTTTATTTGCATAGAGGTGTTTATAGTATTCTTGATGGTAGTTTGTATTTCTGTGGGATCGGTGGTGATATCCCCTTTATCATTTTTTATTGCGTCTATTTGGTTCTTCTCTCTTTTCTTCCGTATTAGTCTTGCTAGCAGTCTATCTATTTTTCTGGTCTTTTCAAAAAACCAGCTCCTGGATTCATTGATTTTTTTGAAGGTTTTTTTTTTTGTATCTCTATCTCTTTCAGTTCTGCTCTGATCTTAGTTATTTCTTGTCTTCTGCTAGCTTTTGAATGTGTTTGCTCTTGCTTCTCAAGTTCTTTTAATTGTGATGTTAGGATGTCGATTTTAGATCTCTCCTGCCTTCTCTTGTGGGCATTTAGTGCTATAAATTTCCCTCTACACACTGCTTTAAATGTGTCCCAGAGATTCTGGTATGTTGTGTTTTTGTTCTCATTGGTTTCAAATAAAATCTTTATTTCTGCCTTCATTTTGTTATTTACCCAGTAGTCATTCAGGAGCAGATTGTTCAGTTTCCATGTAGTTGTGCAGTTTTGAGTGAGTTTCTTAATCCTGAGTTCTAATTTGATTGCACTGTGGTCTGAGAGACAGTTTGTTGTGATTTATGTTCTTTTACATTTGCTGAGGAGTGTTTTACTTCCAATTAAGTGGTCAATTTTGGAATAAGTGCGATGTGGTGCTGAGAAGAATGTATATTCTGTTGATTTGGGGTGGAGAGTTCTGTAAATGTCTATTAGGTCTGCTTGGTCCAGAGCTAAGTTGAAGTCCTGGATATCCTTGTTAATTTTCTGTCTCATTGATCTGTCTAATATTGACAGTGGGGTGTTAAAGTCTCCCATTATTATTGTGTGGGAGTCTAAGTCTCTTTGTAGATCTCTAAGGATTTGCTTTATGAATCTGGGTGCTCACTTATTGGCTGCATATATGTTTAGGATAGTTAGCTCTTCTCATTGAATTGATTACCATTATGTAATGGCCTTCTTTGTCTCTTTTGATCTTTGTTGGTTTAAAGTCTGTTTTATCAGAGACCAGGATTGCAACCCCTGCATTTTTTTGCTTTCCATTTGCTTGGTAGATCTTCCTCCATCCCTTTATTTTGAGCCTATGTATGTCTTTGCACGTGAGGTGAGTCTTGAACACAGCACACTGATGGGTCTTGACTCTTTATCCAATTTGCCAATCTGTGTCTTTTAATTGGGGCATTTAACCCATTTACTTTTAAGGTTAATATTGTTATGTGTGAATTTGATCCTGTCATTATGATGTTAGCTGGTTATTTCACCCGTTAATTAATGCAGTTTCTTCAAAGCATCAGTGGTCTTTACAATTTGGCATGTTTCTGCAGTGGCTGGTACCGGCTGTTCCTTTCCAAGTTTAGTGCTTCCTTCAGGAGCTCTTGTAAGGCAGGCCTGGTGGTGACAAAATCTCTCAGCATTTGCTTGTCTGTAAAGGATTTTATTTCTCCTTCACTTATGAAGCTTAGTTTGGTTGGATATGAAATTCTGGGTTGAAAATTCTTTTCTTTAAGAATGTTGAATATTGGCCCCCACTCTCTTCTGGCTTGTAGGGTTTCTGCTGAGAGATCCTCTGTTAGTCTGATGGGCTTTCCTTTGTGTGTAACCCAACCTTTCTCTCTGGCTGCCCTTAACACTTTTTCCTTCACTTCAACCTTGGTGAATCTGACAATTATGTGTCTTGGGGTTGGTCTTCTCGAGGAGCTTCTTTGTGGTGTTCTCTGTATTTCCTGAATTTGAATGTTGGCCTGCCTTGCTAGGTTGGGGAAGTTCTCCTGGATAATATCCTGAAGAGTGTTTTCCAACTTGGTTCCAGTCTCCCCGTCACTTTAAGGTATACCGCTCAAATGCAGATTTGGTCTTTTCTCATAGTCCCATATTTCTTGGAGGCTTTATTAGTTTCTTTTCATTCTTTTTTCTCTAACCTTGTCTTCTTGCTTTATTTCATTAACTTGATCTTCAATCACTGATATCCTTTCTTCTGCTTGATCGAATCAGCTATTGAAGCTTGTGTGTGCTTCACACAGTTCTCATACTATGGGTTTTCAGCTGCATCAGGTCATTTAAGGTCTTCTCTACACTGGTTATTCTAGTTAGCCATTCGTCTAACCTTTTTTCAAGGTTTTTAGCTTCCTTGTGATGCATTAGAACATGCTTCTTTAGCTCAGAGAAGTTTGTTATTACTGACCTTCTGAAGCCTACTTCTCCATCAACTCATCAAAGTCATTCTCCATCTAGTTTTGTTCCTTTGCTGGCAAGGAGTTGTGTTCCTTTGGAGGAGAAGAGGCATTCTGGTTTTTGAAATTTTCAGCCTTTCTGCTCTGGTTTCTCCCCATCTTTGTGGTTTTATCTACCTTCAGTCTTTGATGTTGGTGACCTATAGATGGGGTTTTGGTGTAGATATCCTTTCTGTTGATGTTGATGCTATTCCTTTTCTCTCTGTTAGTTTTCCTTCTAACAGACTGGCTCCTCAGCTGCATGTCTGTTGGAGTTTGCTGGAGGTCCGCTCCAGACCCTGTTTGCCTGGGTATCACCAGGGGAGGCTGCAGAACAGCAAATATTGCTGCCTGATCATTCCTCTGGAAGCTTCATCCCAGAGGTGCACCCACCTGTATGAGGTGTCTGTCAGCCCCTACTGGGAGGTGTCTCCCAGTCAGGCTACTGGGGGTCAGGGGCCCACTTGATGAGGCAGTCTGTCTGTTATTGGAGCTCAAACGCCATGCTGGGAGAACCACTGCTCTCTTCAGAGCTGTCAGGCAGGGATGTTTATGTCTGGAGAAGCTGTCTGCTGCCTTTTGTTCAGATATGCCCTGCCCTCAGAGGTGGAATCTAGAGAGGCAGTAGGACTTGTTGAGCTGCGGTGGGCTCTGCCTAATTCGAGCTTCCCTGCTGCTTTGTTTACGCTGTGAGCATAGAACCACCTACTCAAGCCTCAGCAATGGTGGACGCCCCTCCCCTCCCAAACTTCAGCATCCCAGGTTGATCTCAGACTGCTGTGCTAGCAGTGAGCAAGGCTTCGTGGGTGTGGGACCCACCAAGCCAGGCATGGGAATCTCCTGGTCTGGTGGTTGCAAAGACTGTGGGAAAAGTGCAGTATTTGGACAGGATTGTACTGCTTCTCCAGGTACAGTCACTCACGGCTTCCCTTGGCTAGGAAAGGGAAATCCTCCGACCCCTTGTGCTTCCCGGGTGAGACAACGCCCTGCCCTGCTTCAACTTGCCCTCTGTGGGCTGCACCCACTGTCCAACCTGTCCCAGTGAGATGAACCAGGTACCTCAGTTGGAAATGCAGAAATCACCTGTCTTCTATGTCAATCTCGCTGGGAGCTGTGGACTGGAGCAGTTCCTGTTTGGCCATCTTGGAAGCAACCCCCTGTCCCCTCTTCTTAAAGGGGAGATTGCATTAGGATCCTCAACATGGCTGAGCACTGCATCATCCATCCTCCCTGGCCTTCTTCTTTGCATTCCCCGCAGCTGGAGCTTTCAGACAAAGCTTAGGATACGCACCCTTTCCTGGAAAGGATATGTCCATTTGCATGGTCAGTCTCAAGGTAAAAGCTGTTTGCATGGCTTAAGTATGGGTCACACACAAACTATAGCTTCTGTTCTGGCAAAGATACACAGTTTTTGCTTTGCACAGAAGAGATATTCACTTTGAGAAGGGTGTGTGCTTGTGTGTGTGTGTGTGTGTGTGTATGTGTGTGTGTAGTGAGGGAGCCCAGTCTGGGTCTCCTGGACATCTGACCACCACTGGGCTTCACTTGGCACATCTGGCACATGCATGGGGCCTCAGCTTTCTGAAGAAAACACAACCTATGAGAAGAGAAAGTTAATTAGGGACAAAGGTTTAGTTAACTAACAGAGCCTGAGGGAAGAGCTACTCAGGATATAATATGGTGTGTGTCACTTGGATTGTCCTCAAGCAGAAAACTGACATCATTACCGCCATGATGGACAGAAGGAGCTCTGCTCTGTTGCCCTGATTGCAAAGTGTGAGGTTGATGGGATGAGGTAGGCCTTCTTTTTGCTTGAGCCCTGCTGGTCAGCTTGGCTGTACAGAGGGCTGGACCTGGAGGTTCCTGGCCTTCCCATGGCCCCTATGAGAAGCTGGCATGTGGGTCACCCTCACGGTGGTGGCTGGAAAAGGTGACACTGCGGCAGGTGGGGGGAGGGAGGAGAAAAAGGACGTAGGTCATGAGATACGTGACAGGGTATCCTGCAGTATTTCCAAGACACTCTCTGGGGACCTTGAGAAATAACACCAGGGTGAGATGGGCATTGCAGGGAACTGAGGATGTCCCTCTAGAGCTGGAAACAAAGCCTGTGAAATGCAGATGCTATGTTAACACCTGGAGAAACAGGCTACATGTGAAATAGGTTAGTAAACTTAGGTAAGGTGCAGATAGACCTGTGTTCAAATCCTACCCTGCCATTTGGAGCTCTGTGATTATGAGGTTCTTAACCTCCCATGCTTTAGTTTCTTCAGCATAAAAATGAGGGAAAATAATCTGTCCTTGCAGTGTTGTTTTGAGATTTTGAGGTAATGAATTTTAGGAGCATAGCATAGCATAGCAGCTTCAATGAATGTGGCTATTCTTATCATTATTTGTGCTGCATTTGACACCAAACAGCAAAGGCAGTATGTGGTTTATGTCTGAATTCCTGATACATGGCACAGTACTTGACCAAACTCACCTTTATTCACTCACATGTATGGATGAATACCTAAGCATAGAGCAGTTGGTAAATAGGAAGGTCCTGATGTCTTTATGGAGGTACTTTCCTAGCAGCTGGGGAGCTGGGAAGTGTGTTCCTTCCCTTTCCCCAGGGGACCCTCCATTTGGGCCTCTGGCCTGCTGCCCAGGGCTCTGGCAGTGTGCTGCTGCTCAGAGCTGTGGCACACTGGGCAGACATTCTTACTCTGGTGTTTTCAACTGTGCCACTGATTCACAGGAGCCGCAAATGTCTTTCGGAGTATTTTCAGAATCCCTGGATCCATAACTTCATTTTACCTGTCTGGATCTAATTGGTTTAGCTTGAAAGAATCTTCTGAGGTTTCTTTTTTGTTTAGCCACATTCATTGTACAGAAGGAGTCAAATGAGACCAATCATCAAAGCACTCTCAAAGCCTGTGGACAAAGCTGGGTTAGACTGCGTGCATGCATATTTGTGTGTGTGTGTGTGTGTGTGTGTGTTTGTGAAGGGGGTTGGGGTGAGTTTGCTGAAAGGAGAACTGCCATGGCCATTGACATTCTTGCATTTTCCACAAGCCCACTGGGGCCTCAATTCCCAAGCTCTCAAAATCCAACCAGATGGAGAACCATGATCCAGAATTTGTGATTGCTGCCAGATATTTGTCCTTTAAAAAGCATCCTCCAACAAAATGCAGCCCCCCCATAAAGATGCATTCACACAGTGCTGTGTCCTTATGCACCCCTACATATGCTCATCCCAATACATCTCTAGAAGTCCTGGAAATACTGTTTATGTCTTTTTTATGAAATAAGCTAAAACATTAGTAATATGCTCAAATTTTTATCTGATCAGCAATATTTAATATGCTATTTTTAAGTTTAGAATAGAATACATTGGACATGACAAATATGATTAGATTTAGTGATGTCATCTTTTTTTTCAGACTATAGAAAAACTGATGAAGCAGGGAAGATACTGCCTCTTAACATACATTCTGTCTCTAGAGTTCCCTGCAATTGTTTTGAAGTCTTTATATCTCCATCAACGCATAGGTGGTGCCCTTTTTCAAGACATTGGATTGTAATTTGACATCCTCATGTTATTTAAGGCTAAGTGCACTAGCACTTTATCTACTGGAGAGAAAAAAATGAATTAAAATCTAAAATTATCTATGAAAGGCAAGAGTCATTTTGCAGGGACTTTGCTCTGTGACCATCAGATGAAAACTGATGACATAAGCCTGCATATGCTAATGCTTTGATTCAATGAAGCACAGACAATTTTTGAGTCTGTTTACTTTTTTTTTTTACAATGTAATGGTGAAAAAAATAAGGTGTTATTTAATTTTTGAAGAAGCAGTAAATGCAATCTTACCGAAAGATGCACTTCCTGTGTAATTCTCAGGGAGGGTGCCAATATCCCCTGTCCCCAAGAGGCAGCATTTTTTGGGAGATGAGGTCCATCAGCAAAGTCACTCATTTACTGACCTGTGTTAGACCCAGGGCTGGGAGTTGGGGACACCCAGTTTCTGCCCCAAAGGGGGACGGTGTAGTTAGGAGAGCCAGACAAAGGAGCCATTCATCATGGTCCGTGCAATAAACAAGAAGGGAGATTGCACAGCAGCGTGCAGCAGGATTCTAATCAGGGCCACTGTCAAAGCAGGAACAAATCCTGTCTCCAGAGGCTTAAGGTTTCCTCTCAGCCTCAAGAGCTTCAATGTCCCGACAAAGAAAATGAGGATTACAATCTAGTTTAAAAGTGGAATCTAGGAAAATAGATTTTTCTAAAAGGAAATCATGCATCTTATCAGATAAAGGTATTTAGAGCGAGGTGGCTCCAGTGAAGAGATGTTTGGTTAAATATCACAGACATAAGTATGTCTCAGAAACCAAGCATCTTTTTCTACACACCAATGGACTTGGTTTCCTCTATTGCTATGACTGTTATCCTTGTCTGAAGGCCTCTAAACATTATTCATATCTTTCTTCTAACAGCATATAGTCCAGCTAATTAGCGATTAGGTAGTGGCAGAGACAGGGGAAACATATTTTATTCCTAATTACATGTTTGATCCTTCTGAGACACTCCAGCAAAGAGAAATACCTTCTTCGTGCAGACATGGGGTTGCATTGCTTTTTTCCTTTCTTTCTTTCTTTTCTAATTTCCAGCCATATCCTAGGACCATTTTCTGCTGGGCTCCTGCCAAGGTACAGTTATTCCTATGGAAATCATGTCTGCTGTTTAAATCTTCACCCTAGGCTTTGAGTGTCTCCTGTCTAAACTTCATCTTCTGATATCAGGGCTTCTAGGTGCTATACAATGTCTAGGGTTAAGTTCTGAAGATTCCAGGGGTGGTTATCTGGAAAACATCCTTTGTCAAATCAATGGCATGGGGAACTTTAACCTCAAACTCTAAAGACCTCCTGACTCAATGATTTACAAACGGATTCAACAAGGGCTACATCTGGCAGTGGCTATCCTGGGGTCTATTGGTGGGAAGTCTTCACCATCAAAGGTAATAGGACCCAGCGAGCTTCCTTCTCGCTGGATCAAGAAGAGGCTAAGGAGGAGTTAGAGAAGAAGAAGACAATGTTCCCTTGTCCTGCCCTGGAATCCCAGATCCAGGAATCTCTTT
The DNA here is from genome assembly GCF_000001405.40 of Homo sapiens. Taxonomy (NCBI): domain Eukaryota; kingdom Metazoa; phylum Chordata; class Mammalia; order Primates; family Hominidae; genus Homo; species Homo sapiens. The sequence continues at coordinate 12,143,577 of NC_000002.12, forward strand.
AAAGCACTAAATGTGTCATTTAAGGGACATCATCAATGGATAACTTTATTTAAAAATCACATATTGTGTGCCTAACATGTTTCAAACACACTGACAGGCCAGCAAATATTAAAGTGAGTTGTACATGGTCTTGATCTGGAGGATCACATGGGAAGAAATGATTGTAAGGGAATGCACCACCATTTTACATGAGATATTCATTGGCTGCAAGGGAAATACATAGGGAGGGAAAATGCTTTCTGGGGAGTTTCAGAAATTGTCATTGCAGAGGTGAGTTTTGCATGAGGATATTGCTTGACTGGGATTTGGAAGATCATATGTTAATAGTTTGGGGAGATTTTTAAGCTTGAAAAGGGAAAAGCAGTGGGCAATGAAGAGGTCCCAGGGTTTATGGGGGGCACAGGGAGAAGTGGGGGTCAGGAGATGTGGCTGGAGAAGAAGGCAGGGTCACGGCACAAAGGACATCAAATGCCAAGTTGCAGAGCCTGAGCTTCATTCTGAAGGTGATGGAAAGTCCTCAAGGGAAACAAAGGCAAAGCAAGGCTTTCCTTTCACCACTGTAAGAAGTCACTTGGACTTTCTGCTCCATGGAGGGCCACAAATGAGCCGCTCCTCAGCCCCGAGCAGGGCACAATGAGCAGGTGGCTCTGCAGAACCCACAGCTTTACTTTCTCAGCCTCAGGACACATGGTGCCCTGGCTGAGGAATGCCTGCACTGTGAGTAGAGCTGTGATACAGGGGACTTGGCCTTGGGATAGAAATGTCACGGGCATATGGAAATCACATCCGCAAGCATCACCCTTTTCAGCAGCTCAGGCGAGTTTTCTGGGCCAGTTTCTTGGTCTTGATTCAATTTACAATTTCAGGACATGGGACGTATATTACAATCCTGGGATTTAAATGAAACCTTTAAAAGGGTAATAAAAATAATGAGCCTGTTTCTAGCCTTTCCTAGTGAATTTCATTCAGCGGAACTCCTCAATATTGGATTCAGGAGAGCCAAGTGAACTCATTATGAAGTACCTCACTCAAGATTTACTTCCAGTTTTCATCTTATGTTTAGAAGCATACAAGGCTTTTGGTTAAAATATGTCCTAATTCAAGTTTGGAGTGCACACCTGTCTCTACCTGCTGCCCCACACCTGTCGGCATCTACTCTCTTGGGTGTGCTCTGTGTTGAATACTGGCCTGGGAACTTGCTCATCAGTTGGATTCAGGGGTTCAGGACCACTTGGTAAATGGAGGGAGTACGATCCTGGGGGACATTGGAACCTGAGAGAAATGGCCCTGCCACTTTCCAGCCAGCTGCATGCTGCTGGGCCAGGTGTTTCTTAACTGTGAGCTAGAGTTTTGAGCAAACTGGGGCTATTATACCAAACTCTCCTGATGCGAGGGTGAGAGAGAATGGGAGAACGTCTGCAATACCACCCTAATAGATTAATTATGGAATACTGTTTCCCTTGCTCCCTACCCCACACTCGGTGACTGCAGATTTCCTGCCTGTTTCTTCTGGCATGGAAGCTTGTCATTTTGCTCTGAGTCAGTAGAGATGGAAGAAGGATACATTTGAGGAGAGAACTGTGTCAGCTTTACTGATGAGAGGTTCTTATACACTGGGCTAATTGAATTCTCTCTCTCAAACTTCACTGAAATCCTGACATTAAAAAGTGCTCAACCATCAAAGTGGATCAGAATTGTCCCCGTGGAAGCCATGTACCTTCTGGATTCAAATACAGATGTTGTCCAATGAAGTTAAGGGTTGAAATATAGATACCAGCCTGGTAAAGCCAAGTGAGGGAAAGGACAAAGGTGGAATTTGGCTTGTAAATGTAACTGGGAGTGAGCCACCTCCCACTCCTACCTTGACTAAGGTGAAATTGGCTGTCTCCAAGGGTGATCAGGAGGACTTTGGTGCAGAGTGACTGAGCAATCAAGGGTGAATATATGAGATGCTTAAAATGAGATTCGTTTCTGGTTTTGAGCCCAGTACTGCACACCAGACTGATATATGCCTCTTAAACCTTCTTCTTCCCGGCAGTCTCTCCCCATCCAAACTGTCAGTCAGGAAACAGAGATACCCTGTGCTTTCCAAGAAAGAAAGGGTGTTCATACAGGGAAGCAGTGGCTTATAGAACCACTGGACGGCTGGGAGATCCAGTCAGGGAGGCCACACCAAGGCCTGCAGCCTGCAGCAATGAAGATGGGCCTCCTGGGAAGTGTGCTTGGCCCCTGTTTGAACCACTCCTTCCACACATTTTCCGGCGGGCACTGTCTTCTCTCAACTTTCCATGCCTCTCTAAAGTCGCTCTCCCTTTCATCTGGAACCCAGAACCAGCAGGAGAAAGGGGACCTGGGAAATGCAGTTCCTGGTTCCTCTCCTGCAATGCAGAGGCCTGAGAAGATCTGTGAAAATGGTCTCTCTCCACTCTCACGGGGCACTTCTGACACTGCATGTACGGTTTTTTCCCTCACACTGACTGATTCTCTGATGCCATCTGGGTGTCCTACTATTTAATTGAATTCTAACTCCATTTACCTGGAGTTAGTATCAGATCCTGCAAGGTAAGTCTCAGTCCTGCAAGACCACAGTCCCTTCCCATGCCAGTGGCAAATCTGGTCCTCCCGTGCGGTGGACTGACTGGCTGTAAATCGGAAATTCCCACCACCGACCCCCTCCTCAGGTTTGATAATTTGCTAGGATGGCTCAAAGAACTCAGGGAAACAGTTTACTTGTGTTTATGGGTTTATTATAAAACATACCACAAAGCAGAGAGATGATGGGAGAGCTGCAGAGGGCGAGGGATGGTGGGGGCTTCTGTGCACCTCCACGTGTTCAGCAGCCTGGAAGCTCATCAAGTCTCATTGTTCAAGAGCTTTTATAGAGCTTCATCTCCAGCTCACCCCAGCCCCCAGAGGTCAGTGGGTGGGGACGAAAGTTCCAACTCTCGAATCACTTGGTCTTTCTGGTGACCAGTCCCATCCAGAGGCTATCTTGGGGCCCCAACCTCAGTCATCTCATAAGTATAAACTCAGGTATGACCAAAAGGGACTCATTATGAATATCAAAGGATACACCTGTCACTCAGGAACTTCCAAGTGTTTTAGGAGCTCTTTATCAGGGACAAAGACCAAATATATTTCCTATCATACTACAGAAGGGGTCATGGTCATGCCAATGCCATGGTCATGACCTACGGCCCAGTGCATGGCCCAGCACATGCTTGGGGACTCTAGCAACAATCGGAAGGGATCGCTTCAACAGGCAGCCGCCTGTTCAAAGTCTCTCCACTGTTTATCTCAGAAAGTACAGCGGTAAGAGCTTCTGCAACGGTCTTCAGTCTCACCTCCCACCATGGCCTCTTGAACTTGCCTCTTCCGTGAGTTTGCATATACCTTGCAGCCTTCCTCCCCGACCCCTCTGCAACCCTGCCTGGAGGATTTCCCTTTATTCACACACTTCCTTTTCCCTATACTAGTTTTAAAAAATGCTGCTTAGTCTTCATGGAGAACTCAAATGCCACCTCAAGCTTGGAGTAATTGCATTGTAACGTAATAAGCAATTTTTTTTATTATTGCAATCAGAAATGATTTCTATTCCTTATGAAGCCCAACAGTACTTATTGTGCAAGCATACATATGGGAGCCACTTCTCCTCTAACCTTGGAGACTCATGATTCATCTTTTTTTTTTTTTTTTTTTTTTTGGAAACTCAGTCTCCCTCTGTCACCCAGCCTGGAATACACTGGCACGATCTTGGCTCACTGCAACCTCCGTCTCCTGGGTTCAAACAATTCTCCTGCCTCAGCCTCCCAAGCAGCTGGGATTACAGGTGCTCACTATCATGCCTGGCTAAATTTTGTATTTTTAGTAGAGACAAGGTTTCACCATGTTGGCCAGGCTGGTTTTGAACTCCTGACCTCAGGTGATCCGCCCACCTCAGCCTCCTAAAATGCTGGGATTACAGGCATGAGCCACCATGCCCGGCCTTCATGATTTAATAGAAACTTTTTAATACTACTGTGTTTCTAAACTTTGAGGCTATGAGTTAAATCGTTCAGAATAAAATTATTCAATGTTTGAGTTTGAACTGTTTTTAGAAAGCCTGATAAGAAATCCCCCTCTCTTCAGAAAAGCACTGAATGTTCCGATGAAATAGTAGACACCAAAAGAAAATCATGCAGATTGGTTAAATGGCATATACAGTTATAGATATAGGCAAGAGTGTAATGCAGTTATTCTGAATTACATTTTACTGAACTGAGAAATCTAAGATGCCATTCATAGTATCTTCAATGTCTACGTGTATATTGTTTTATTTTAAGGACCACGTAGTATTTCTGAACGCTTTTATAGATTCACTTCCAATGACTATGCCCTAAGTCAATTTTACTCATGAGTTCCTAGGTTTCTTAATGGGAAGACTTCTTTCTTGCGGTTCTCAGAAGTAGAATTCTCCCGAATGAGGGGTGTACATATGTACATCGCAAGTGCAAAGTGACACTGAGTTTGGAGGCGCACTCACATCCATGATCCCAAAGCCTCTGGGCCCCTATTTGACAATGTCACACATGGTGTCCACCCATGGGAATAAAGCGTCCCTGTGAAACATTCATCAACTGAGCCTTCCTGTACACTTGACTCACAGTGATAACTTGGCTATGGAACAAAAGTGGAAGTTTCTATTCTCCAGATTACCTTTTGGGTGAATCAAGCTAGTGCAAAATTATAGCTTTAAAACATATATAAATGAAAAGAAGGAAAGTGCTGAGAAAAATGTCTTTGAGAATCTATCAGGTCCAAACTGTTTGAAGAGCTGGTAGATTCTAACGCTGTATCCATTGGACCAGCCAGCCTAGAGGCTTGGATACGATTGTTATGGACATCCTCCGAAACCGTGGATGAGACTTCATCATATATACAAACATATATAAATATATACACATTGCATAATGCACATATTCTAGAATGTCCTTCCACACAGAATTGATTAATTTTAGACAAGTCATTCCATCCAAGTCTGCTTATTCTCCTAAACTAGGACCAGTGTGGGAAATACTAAATTAGTAAGCGATCCAAAATAAGACCCCAAATTTCCTACCTCTCACCTCATGGCTGTCTATATGAAGTTAATTTTTTTTCCTTTCTTCAGATACGGAGGTGGAAAAGCCTGGCAGTTTTGTGAAGTGCGACATATGGTAGAATCTAGTATCTAGATTGAGAATACATAGTTACTTTCAGGCAGACCCTCTGGGGTAAACTTGAATCTCTCAGGGTCTCAATTTCTTTAACAATGCAGATGTAGCCTCTCAGGGTCATTGTGTGAGAATCAAAGGGATAAACTTAGTGACATAAACTGTGTATTTTTTTTTTTTGAGATGGAGTCTCTGTCGCCCAGGCTGGAGTGCAGTGGTGCGATCTCCACTCACTGCAACCTCCGCCTTCTGGGTTCAAGCAATTCTCCTGCCTCAGTCTCCTGAGTAGCTGGTGTTACAGGCACATGCCACCATGCCTGGCTAATTTTTGTATTTTTGGTAGAGGCGGGGTTTCACCATGTTGGTCAGGCTGGTCTCAAACTCCTGACTTCGTGATCTGCCTGCCTTGGCCTCCCTAAAGTGCTGGGATTAGAGGCGTGAGCTACTGTGCCTGGCCATAAACTGTGTTTTATATAGCTTCCACAGTTATATATTTGGTAACTCAAGATTTAATCTTGAGCTTCAGTTAAACTACCTTCCTCTGTTTCTTGGTTGAAACAACTGACTCCCCTCCCTCTCTTCTCCTTGTAGGACAGGTGAGGGATACATGAAGCTAAAACCCCGAGTAACATCTGATTCCCTTTGGAAGTCACGATCACTGTCAGCATCAAATTATGTATCTGACAGACCTCATGGACACTCTCCTTATTGAGAAGTTGGTAAATGTCAAAAAGTAACTACTAAAATAATTGAAAATAAGAGCAAATCTGAGTTTCTTGGCATGCTCCACAGTTCTGTTTGCATTACTGATCTTGGAGATCATCTTTAATAGGATGGCTCTGTATTGGGAATTCTCAACTTCTCTCCCTTATCTCAGGGACAATTCAAGCCCTGTAATTGAAGTTCCAAGAAAATTAAAGTCATTCATCTCTTTTTATCTCTAATGTAAAAAATATAGAAATACTGTAACTTTTGCGGAATAACCCCCACAACTGCACAAAATTATAATAATTGTCTCTGTTTGTCTTCATTTAACCAGCTGGGAAGATAATCTGGTGAACACAGCAATTTTCTAAATTCAGAGATAGTTAATTCATGAGAACAGCTGTTGCCCAATCAAACCCCAGTGCTTCTTTATTTCATATGAAAAACCAAACTAAGTGCAGGCTGCCACACAGCCCAGGAGTGCAATAGGGGTCTGCTCTTCTGAAACAACAGCCCATTTTTCCCTTGCAGTGAATCACTTTTTTGTTGTTTCCTGGAAAGTTCCACTAGATAAAGAAAATCTGAGGTTTGGGTTCACCAGGAAAAGATGTATGATAGAGTTTTGGAAGACAGCCCTGTCACTTTCTTGTACAACGTCATGGGCTTATTCAGGAAGAAATTCCCAAGCAATCATGGTAGCTCACATGACTGTGTTTCAAAAATGTTTCAACTTAAGTTTATTTAAAATGGTGTTGTTAACTGTGTGTGTGTGTGTGTGTGTGTGTGTGTGTGTGTGTGTGTGTGTGTGTCAGGGAGGACCTGGAGAATCTTAAAATGTAGAATTCTGGGTTTTTGCCTCTTAGATTCTGAATCTGTCGATCTGGGTGGAGCCGGGGAAGCTGCATTTTTGTCTGTGCTCACCAGGTGATTCTGATGCAACTTCTGTTGCACCTGCTTCTCCCCATGCGCACCTGTTAAGCTGCAGATTCCCTGCTCTGCTGTCTACTTTTGGGCACTCCAGCTTCTTTATGTCTCAGGGAGGTTTTGCTTGGCTCTGCCCTTTGCCTAGAATGCTCCCAGCTCTTCACATGGCTGGTTCCTTGTCAACATGTGGGTTTTACCTCAAATGGCACCTTGTCACAGAAGCCTTTCCAACTCACTTTCATTAAGTAGCCTCCCCTCAACTCACTCTGGCTCCTGCTGGCTTTGTTTCCTCCTCAGGTGTCAGCACTGTGTGTCCTCTTGTTTCTAGACTGTAACCGCCATGAGAATGGGATCTCATTGCTCTCACTACCAAATGTGCCTGGCATATATCAGGAACCTTGTCAATGTTTGATAATGGAAATGTGAATAAATGAAACATTATCTTAAAGGCAGGAGAAAGTGGGTTTCTGCAGGTCAGAGTTCCAAGCATTCTCTGCTTATGAAAATGCTTTTTAGAATGATTCCTTTCATCTTTAAACATATTGCAGTGAATTTTGCCTTCTATCCCACAATACAACCCAGTTTTTAAAATATAAGATTAATTCTTAAAAGTGCTTACCATGAAATAAAATCAACATTCCAGGAAGATGGGCCACGTCAGTTTCCCAAATTCCAATATCCATGGCACATCTCCAGATATATTAGGGAACATGAATAACTCAATCAAAGAACCACTATATAAGGATAGGGCCACTCATTTTAAAGCAAAATATAGGATCCTCCAGAAACATAGAACCAAATTATAGAAGGACACTGTCTGGCTCCAGGGGGGCTAGTGATTGGGCAGCCCTGACTCTGCCATCCTGGGTCTCAGCCCAGGCCCTCTGGGGCCCCACCCTCTAACTGCAGCACCCACTGCCATGCAGAGACCCAGGTGAACCCTGCTTTCCCACCCCATTATATTTTGACTGCTTTCCCACCCCATTATATTTGCCTCTGGTCAGAGGCATTAAGACGCGCCACATCTTCAAAATCCATATTCAGAGCCTGGGGAAAAATGAATAAAGAAAATGGAAAAAGAATACATTTTGTCTGGCTTACTGGTTACTGGTTTCTGACCATTGCATGGACAATACACTTGACAGCTGGTGACTTCACTATCTCCTGTGTGTCTTCTTCCTCTGGACAGAACGACATCATTGCACCTAACGGCCCACACTTGCTTCTGCTACTTTGCCTGACTCTTCATCTTTCGATGTCTCATTCCAACAGAATGTGAACTGCATGAGGGAAATTGTTCATTGCCTTCCCTCCTGGTGTATTTTAATATCTGGGGTGGGACCACGGATCTTGTATCTTATCATCAGCCAGATTAAGTATCCATTGTCCAGACACCTAACCGAGGTTGACAAATGACAAACTTTAGTTTCCAAAATGCTGCCTCCCCTTCAGTGCTCTTTTTAGAGGCCAGACTGAGGTGATTAATACAGCCTGCTGTGACCTGCCCTTTGGGTTAGAGCTCTCTTAGGGGAGTGGCCTCATCCTTACGACGGGAGCAACATTCCTCAGACCACGACCTAGAGAGCATCTGTAAAACAATAACAATAATAAAAGACATTCCCGTGGTCAAAGGAAAGTTGTCTTATCTGTTGTTAATTTATAATCTGATGTTTATAATCTGAAAAATAGGGGCTGGGTTCCAGGTGGCTGTGTGTGTATGTGTGTGGCCATTCATTAGGGGTGTCTTCTTTGAACAATTATTTATTGCTTCTTCTCTCATCTGTTAAGAGGCATTAATAGTTATCTAATAGAAATGTTCTAAGTATTAAATGAGATAATTCATGAAAAGCAGCTAAATCAGTAGCTAAATCAGTAGCTGGCAAAGTAGTTGTTAAGCTGGGTGTGGTTGCTCACGCCTGTAATCCCAGCACTTTGGGAGGCTGAAGTGGGAGGATCACAAGGTCAGGAGATGGAGACCATCCTGGCTAACATGTTGAAACCCCGTCTCTACTAAAAATATGAAAAGTTAGCCAGGCGTTGTGGCGGGCGCCTGTAGTCCCAGCTACTCGGGAGGCTGAGGCAGGAGAATGGCGTGAATCCAGGAGGCAGAGCTTGCAGTGAGCCCAGATCACAACACTGCACTTCATCCTGGGTGACAGAGCGAGACTCTGTCTCAAAAAAAAAAAAAAAAAAAGAAAAGAAATAACTAGTTTATGTGGTATGACCAAACTCTAACTTTAGGAGTATCTATAGTCATTTCAAAATTAAAATGTTATGATTTTAGGGGAAAATCTCAGTTTTTGAGATAGTGCCATCTGGTCTTATGAAAAACAGAAAAAAAAACTGGGTTCTCATTGAATATGGCATTTTGAATGTAGACATTTACCTCTACTCTCCCTGTAGCACTATTAAAATGGCATTAATCGCAAAAAAATAACAGAACAGGAAGGGAGAATATATCAAAAGACTTGGAACCAGAAAGCTGATGGACAGGTGATAATTGAATTTACAGACTTTAAAAAGCTTAATCCCATGGAAGAAATGGGGAAAAATAAAAAGGAAAAGCAGTTTGCAGTTCAGAACCTGAGGAAGCCTTCAACATTGGAGATAGTAGATATTTCTCAACGTAGGGTTTATGATGGAGCCGAAAACAGGCAGAGAGGTTGAAAGGCTGTGTAAATATCAATTAGACTCCCATATCCCCAAACACACACAGGCGACTGTCCCTCTCTCATGTGACAGAACTCTGCAGGAGTATTTCCTTTCTTCCTTTCTTCCTTTCCTTCCTTCCTTTCCTTCCCTTCCTTCCCTTCATTCCTTTCCTTCCCTTCCTTCCCTTCCTTCCTTCCTTCCCTCCTTCCTTCCTTCCTTCCTTCCTTTCTTTCTTTTCTTTCTTTCTTTCTTTCTTTCTTTCTTTCTTTCTTTCTTTCTTTCTTTCTTTCTTTCTTTCCTTCTTTCCTTCTTTCTTTCTTTCTTTCTTTCTTTCTTTCTTTCTTTCTTTCTTTCCTTCCTTCCTTCTTTCTTTCTTTCTTTCTTTCTTTCTTTCTTTCTTTCTTTCTTTTCTCTCTTTCTTTCGTCTCTCTTTCTCTCTTTCTTTCTTTTCTTTTCTTTTCTTTTTTTCTTTTTGAGACAGGTTCTCACTCTGTTCCCCAGGCTGGAGTGCAGTGACATGATCACAGCTCACTGCAGCCTCAAACTCCTGCTAAGTTATCCTCCCACCTCAGCCTCCGGAATAGCTGGGACAACAGGCTCACTATATTTCCTAGGCTGGTCTTGAACTCCTGGGCTCACCCGATCTGCCCACCTGGCCTCCCAAAGTGCTGGGATTACAGGCGTGAGCTACCATGCTTGGCCTGCAGGAGCATTTTCTGGAAAGAATAAATCAGAGGAAAACATTTTCATTTAAATCTTGTAGATATGTGTCACTCTGAATTTTCCTTCCTGGTCCTTCATTGACTTTTATTCTTCTGTTTACTTTTAAGAAAACATTGACAAACTTTATTTTTAGAGCTGTTTTAGGTTCACAGCAAAATGGAACAAAGTACAGAGAGTTCCCACTATGCAGAACCTCTTCTACTATCAACATCTCTGAGCAGAGGCACGTTTGTTATAGTTGACAACCTACCTTGATACATCATCATCACCCAGAGTTGATAGTTTGAGTTCACACTTGTTGCTGTGTACTCTTTGGGTTTTGACAAACATATAAGAACATATCCATTGTAGTATCTTACAGAATAGTTTCACTGCTCAGAATATCCTCTGTATTTCACCTATTTATCCCTCCCTCCCAGCTAATCTGCAAATCCCTAGTAACACTAATTTTGTTACTGTCTCCATGGTTCTGCCTTTTCTCAAATGTCATATAGTTGAAATTATACAGTACATAGCCTTTCAAATTGGTTTTTCTAAATAATATGCATTTAAGTTTCCTCCATGTCTTTTTATGGCTTGATAGCTTATTTCTTTTTTATTTTATTTTTTGGAGCTGGAGTCTCACTCTGTCGGCCAGGCTGGAGTGCAGTGGCATGATCTCGGCTCACTGCAACCTCTGCCTCCTGGGCTCAAGCAATTCTCCTGTTTCAGCCTCCCGAGTAGCTGGGTTTACAGGCACACACCACCACGCCCAAGTAATTTTTGTATTTTAGCAGAGACAGGGTTTCCCCATGTTGGCCAGGCTGGTTGATAGCTCATTTCTTTCTAGTGCTGAATAACATTGTATTGTCTGGATGTACTACCGTTTATTTGTCCATTCACTTACTAAAGGAAATCTTGGTTGTTTCCAAGTTTTGGACATTACGAACAAATCTGCCATAAACATCTGTGTGCTGGTTTTGGTGTGGGCCTAAGCGTTCAACTCATTTGGATAAATACCAAGAAGTACAATTGCTGGTTCGTATGATATTTGTATGTTTAGTTTTGTAAGAAACTATTGAACTGTCTTCCAAAGTGGCTGCACCGTTTTGCATTCCCACCAGCAGCAGCTGTGAGCTCCTGCTGCTCCACATCTTTCCTCTTGTTGCTGTCAGTGTTTTGTCCCTTGGTGTCCTAATAGGTGTGTTGTGGTATCTCATTGCTGCTTTAATCTGCAGTTCCCTAATGTCACATGATATGAAGCACTTTGCATACGCTTATTTGCCTTCTGTACACCTTCTTTTGTGAAGTGTCTTTTGAGGCCTTTTGCCTATTTTAAAAATCAGATTGTTCATTTTCTCATTGCTGAGTTTTAGGAGTTCTTTGTATATTTTGGATAACAGTCTTTTATCGGATATGTCTTTTGCAAATGTTTTCTCCCAGTCTGGGGCATGTCTTCTCATTCTGTTGATGTCTACTTTTAAAATCTTTGATTATACAGGGTTTTATAGCTCTCCGCAGTTTTTCAGACTTTCATGATATCCATGGCTGTAGCTACCTACAAAGGCTGCTGACTTTTAAAAACTTTCACTTCCAAACCTGACCTTTCTCCTTTGCCTCAAACATTGAGGAACATTCAGAAGCATACCCTACTGTCCACTTGACAACCCCACCCAGTGCCCCACAGGCCCTTGGTATACCACATGTTACAAATAAACTTACTGTTTTTCCATTCCCAACGCCTTCTTTGCATCTCATTCCTTATCTCAGTGTCTTGTCTTACCTCCCACTGTTTCCCCCAAGCTACGAGACTTTGAGTAAATACTTCCTTCTCCCTCTCCTCCCTCCACAATTTGTTATTCGTTATTAATTCTTTCCTATGTTTCCCATTTTGTCCAAAGGATGACACCAAATAAATATGAAAAAGTGCCAGGCCTGGAAGAGTTTGTGGTCTTTCCAGGCCACTGACTTATGAACAATTCTATGGCATCGGGACAGAAATGCTTTGAAATATGTATCTGTGAGGTTCCACAGGACAAAGAGAAGGAAGTGACTAACCTCTGGGTGGAGAGCAATTTGGAAAGTTTTCCGAGAGTGGATTATATTGCAGCTGAGGCTTGAAGAAAGAATAAACAGTCTCAGAAGGAGAAGCCAGCACAGGATGCAGCTGAGTGCTGGGCTGACCCATGGGTGTGAGTGGCTCCTTTGGAGACAGGCAAATCATTTGACCCCAGACTATGGGCTGCACAAGGAAACCGGAACCTAGCTGAGAGGTTTCAGTACAAATATAGATGATAGTGTGGATGCCAGGCTTGGGTGTCTAAACTTTATGCCAGAAGCAGACAGAGCCTACAAAGAATAATGAGCAGAAAATTGATGATATTTTTTGAAAGATTATTTGGGCAACAATGGGGAGAATGCACTAGATGAGCAAGACTAGACATGGATTTCTGAATTTTTAGAGTAAAGATGGAGAGTGCAGTGAGACAGGTGGGTTCTCCTGAAGACTGTGTCCTTGACAGGAGAATGTACATGGGAACAGATGTTACACGCCAATTATGATTTAAATGGAGTCATTTTGATCTTTCGACTCTATTTTCTTTGACTTGAGTTGGAGTGCAGGATCTGGTCTTGGGCATCATGCAGGCCGAGAACTTCATTTGGAAAGAAGACAATATCCTTTTGATGTCTAAGTGATTGTCAAGTTAGCATGAAGATCTCTCCAAATACACTTCAACCTGACATCTCCCTGCAGCCTTTCGCTGTGTGTTTTACATAGTAGATGTTTGGCCCTGCGGTTAAAAATTTACATATGCCTTAAGGACAGAATCCATGCCCAGAGGAGATCACCCTGAAAAGTAGAACTGTCTAGCAGATAGAACAAGTGGAGCTGAAGGTCATATTACTCCACAAAACTGTGGATTCTTGCAGAACCCGCATTCAAACAGACCTTGTCAGCCTGAATTCAAACACAGTTCTGAGTTAGCTCTACTGCTGACATGTTTCCTTGCCCAGAGGTTTCTGGAAATGGAGAAAGCAGCTCTGTTACTGACAAGAAAAAATATGTCTTATCTGAAAATACCAGAGAGTATTTTCTTCTCTCTTAAATTGGGTCAAATGCACTCAATCTAATTGGAAAATTTTATAACAAAAAATGAGAACTCTTCTACAAGTGGGCTTTCTGCTTAAAAATGCAGCTGAAAGCATTATTATAATAGACTATATATTAGTTATTGTGCAGGTCATCTGAGGATGGGCTTTGCTCATACCTGGTAGAAGGAAAGAAAGAATAGTCTCTGAAATGTGTAAATTATGGGTTGCAAAAAGAGGTGAGCATTTCCTAGGGAATGGAACTGAATAGTTCAGGGGAAGCTGGACACGGAGTTCTCTCAGACATGGGGAGCTTCAGTTCTCAAAGGGTGGGCAGAAACGAGCTTGAGATCCAAGGTCTCAGCTCATGCAGCATGAGAGACACAAAGGACATTCAGTGAGGTATTTAAGGGGGTTTTGTTCTCTTTTATTCAGAGTTTCTCTTTGTTT